>NW_025791797.1:600000-900000 GCF_000001405.40 Homo sapiens
CCTGGAAAGATTAGAGATGCTTCTAAACTAAAACTAAGCTAAAGAATAAAAACATCTTTGAATGCTATTAGAGGACACTGGTGTACATCTCCTTTAGGAGGAAAAATTCTACAACTGTGGATGGCACCTGACATCCCACCAGGCAGCTAGGTACATGTAGGTTATACAAAAGACTCTTAAACAATAAATGCAGAAGCAAATAAATCAAGTTTAACACATTCCCAAATGAATCTAGTCATGTGGATGACTAAAGGAGAGTTTTTCCCAGGAATGCAAATTTTTTAACACTTAAAAATATCTACTTTAAACAGATCATCACAGGTTGAATCCTCTCTGGAAGGATGTTTTTGTTGGTTTGTTTCTGTTTTTTTGTTTTTTCGTTTTTTTTTTTTTTTTTTTTTTTTTTTTGACACAGAACCTCACTCTGTTGCCCAGGTTGGAGGGCAGTGGTGCAATCTCAGCTCACTGCAATCTCTGCCTCCCAGGTTCAAACGATTCTCCTACCTCAGCCTCCCAAATAGCTGGGATTACAGGTACAAGCCACCATGCCTGGCTATTTTTTTTTTTTTTTTTTGCATTTTTAGTAGAGACGGGGGTTTCACCATGTTGCCCAGGCTGGTCTCGAACTCCTGACCTCAAGTAATCCACCCACCTCAGCCTCCCAAAGTGTTGGGATTACAGGCATGAGCCACGGCATCCGGCCCTGGAAGGAGTTTTTGTATAGTATATTAGTTGTCAACATATGTGGAAGGGAGGAAGCAAGCAGGATTAGACAGAGGGCAAAGGAGAACTGTGATGCAGGCCCACAAAGTCTCACCAAGCCCCCTTGAAACATATGTGACTTATTAGAGTTGTCCCAGGCTGACCCACAGTGGCCAGGCCTTCATGCCCCTGCCTCCTGCAGTCACTGGCTGTGGGCCTCTCTGGAAGGGGCATATGTGCTCTTGGGTCGGCGGAGACAGATTGTGAAGGGACTAACAACCAGAGGCTACCAGGAGCAGGGACACTGAGTTCCTCCTTGAAGGTTGATTTGGGTGGAGCATCTCCATCTCTACCACAGAGATTTAAGGAGATAAAATTTAGGATCATCTTAATAGATGTAGACAAAGCATCTGATAAACTTCAACACGAAAATGATATGAAAACCTCTTGGCAAACCAGTAATAGAAGGGATAATCTCTACCTTGATTTGCCTGTCAGAAACCTATTGTAAGCATCATACTCACTTTAATGGTGAGACTCAAACAGTCCCATTAAAGTCAGGAAAAAACATACGATGCCCTTTATCACTATATCTGTTCAACACTGCGTTAGCACTAGCCAGTGCAATAAGATAAAATAAATAGAAAAATTAGAACTAGAAAATTAGAAACCAAGACTAGATAACTAGAAAAATTATACAAAACTAGAAATATAAAAACTAGAAAATAACTACAAAAATTTCTTCTTATTTATAGATAATATAATTATCCCCATTTAAAAGCAAAGAAAATATACAAAGTTTTGGATCTCTACATTCAGAATAATTTCAATAAAAAAAGCAATCCTGTAGGATTGCTAGAACAAACTGATCCTATAATTAATATGAAAGCACATATGGCTGAGAATAGCCCAAACATTTTTTAAGAATAACAAGGTGGGTGAGATTTGCTCTATCAAATATAAAGACTTAGCATAAAGCTTGAGGGCTTACAGCAGTGTAAGAGGGATAGACAAATAAATGGAACAGAATGCGGAGCCCACAGCAGATTCAAGCATACAGTATATGGAAACTAAAATTTAATAGCAGTAGAATTAAAAACCAATAAAGGACAGACTAGTAAGTAAATTGTTATAGGATAATTGTTTATAAATATAAAAAACTCAACCAAAAATAAATTCTAATTGATTTAAGTGCCTAAAATATGAACATATTTTTAAAAATCATAAAATATAAGAGATGTCTTTATGACTTTGGAATGGAAAAGATACAAAAAATACAAGTCATAAAGTAAAACATCTATTGTATAGTGATGATGGGGTTGCACAACTCTGTGAATATATTAGAACTACAGAGTTATACTTTTAAAGGGTGAACTTTTTGGTTTATTAATTATATTTCAATAAGCTGTTATAAAAAACATTGACACACTTTGCTGTTAAGATATAAAAGTTCTGATCCCTGAAAGACATTGTCAATAAATTTAAAAGTCAAGCCACATTTCTGGCAGAAAATATTTGTTATATAGTACCAGAATATAGAAATAGCTTCTCTGAATCAATACAAATAAACCACTCAATATAAAAATGAGCAGTCCGGGCGCGGTGGCTCATGCCTGTAATCCCAGCACTTTGGGAGGCCGAGGCAGGCAGATCATGAGGTCAGGAAATCGAGACCATCCTGGCTAACATGGTGAAACCCTGTCTCTACTAAAAATACAAAAAATTAGCTGGGCGTGGTGGTGGGTGCCTGTAGTCCCAGCTACTTGGGAGGCTGAGGCAGGAGAATGGTGTGAACCCAGGAGGCGGAGGTTGCAGTGAGCAGAGATTGCACCACTGCACTCCAGCCTGGGCAACAGAGCGAGACTCTGCCTCAAAAAAAAAAAAAAAAAAAAAAAAAAAGAGCAAAAGATATGAACAGGCAATTGTCAGAAAGTGAAACCCTAATAGCCAATAATGGCATATGAAAATGTTCTCATTTCCACACTGGTAGGGAAAATGTCCTCACTGCTAAGGAAATTAAAATAGAAGTGAGATTCCATTTCATATCTATTGGGCAAAAGTTGGCACTACCAAGGGTTGGCAAGAGCATGGAGAAATAGGACATCATACACTGCTGGTCACAGTGTATATGTAATGAACCAATTTAGAGAACAATTTTGTAAAATCTGATCAAGTCAAAGATGCTCAAAACCAGACATTTCACTTGTGGATATAGCCCTGTTTTTGCAAAGAGAGTTTCAAGAGTGCATTGTAACATTGTTTGTAAAAGCAGAGAGAGAGAAGGATACATACCAGTGTCAGGATTGTTGGTTCTCCTGGGAGACAAAAGAAGAAAAGTTTGGGGATAGAACTTTAGCTCTAGCTGTAATCCTTTATTGCTTAAAAAAGGTCTGAAGCGGCTGGGCACAGTGGCTCACACCTGTAATCCCAGCACTTTGGGAAGTCGAGGCAGGTGGATCACCTGAGGTCAGAAGTTTGAGACCAGCCTGGCCAATATGATGAAACCCTGTCTCTACTAAAAATACAAAAAATTAGCCAGGTGTGGTGGCACATGCCTGTAATCCCAGCTACTTGGGAGGCTGAGGCAGGAGAATCGCTTGAACCTGGGAGGCAGAGGCTGCAGTGAGCTGAGATTGTGCCATTGCTCTCCAGCCCGGGCAACAAGAATAAGACTCCGTCTCAAAAAACAAAACAAAACAAAACAAAACTGAAGCAAATATAGCAAATATTAATGTCCATTAATTTTTAAGCAAATATAGCAACTATTAATGTCCATTAATTTTGGAGAATGGACTTTTTTTTGACATGTGGTTATCAGTTACATTGTTTTGTTGTTGTTGTTGTTCACCTCCTAGCCCTGTTTCCTGTAAGACCTTGGACCTATCACATAGTTTCCTTGCTCCTTGGTTTTCTGTTATAAAATGAGGAATTATGATGGGATGACCAGGAAGACTGTTTCCAGTCCTGAAATTCTATCTTGGACCATTGGTCCTTTGCAGGAATCTGGGACAAAATAAAAGTAAATGTAGAAAAAGTGCTTGAACTAAGATACCTGGCCAGTCAGGACTTAGAACTGAGTGCCAAGAGTCCTCACCTAGTATTGGGAGGGAATCTAGGAAGAAAAAAAAAAAACAAAAAAACTCTCTCAAAATACGTAGACACAATGTCCTTTACAAAGGAGTTCTTGGAGCTGCAATATCAGCCCATGAAAAATCCAGTTACCTATATGATGACTTGAAAACTATAGTTGTAGTAAAAAGAAAGGAACTAAATAGGCTGACACCTGTAATCCCAGCACTTTGGGAAGCCAAGGTGGGCGGATCACCTGAGGTCAGGGGTTGACCAGCCTGGCCAACATGGTAAAACCGTGTCTCCACTAAAAATACAAAAATTAGCTGGGCATAGTGGTGCATGCCTGTAATCCCAGTTACTCGGGAGGCTGAGGTTCAAGAATTGCTTGAACCCGAGAGGCGGAGGTTGCAGTGAGCCGAGATAGTGCCACTGCACTCCAGCCTGGGCGACAGAGCGAGACTCCATTTCGAAAAAAGGAAAAAAAGAAAGGAATCAAATAATAAAAGAGTCTGTAAATCAATGAAACCAGAATTTGATAAATTTGAAAAAGCCTCTTACTTACGTAAAAGCTAATGTTGAAGGTAAAACAAGTTCACTGGGGGGAAAGTAAGTAGAAAGGGTACTTTGAGGGGATTTGAACAGCCTTAGATGGAAATGACTCAGGTCTTGTTCATGTCCTCATGGCCTCAGAACGCACAGCTCTTTCTAGATGTCTGGATGCCAGCCACAGCCCTGTGTTTCCCAGCCTTGATCAGGCCCCTTCTTGCCTCCAAAAAGGGATGAAGAATAAACAGGGAAAGAGATTTTCCCTGAGATAACTAGATAAGATCTTACTGAAATAAAATCTTGAGAATTAAATATGGAAGGACCTTAGGAATCCATGAGTCCAGCCCTGTTTTGCACACAAGGTCCCCAGAGAAGAGGCTTGACCAAAGTAACAGGCCTAGACAATGGCAAGGCCAAGTTCCGAACCCAGTTACTGCCTCTGAAGCTAGTGCCCTTTCTGTTCTGAATGCTGCTTTTGTGTGTTTTCTTGTCTCATAAAAAGTAACACATCTCATTATAAAATATTTGGAAAGCATAGCAAAGTATCATGAGGCAAAAAAAAATTCCCATAATCCTGTCAAAGACACAACCATTATTTCTATTTTGTTATATTCCTGTAACCCTTTCTCTAAGTCATGGAATTTTCTCATGTTATTAAAAATTCATAAATATCATTTAATAGCCACACCAGTGTATCATTGTGTGAATGTAGCATAAATAAACCCTTCTCTTGTTTTTGGAAACTTAAACCATTTGTACTTCTTTACAGTTCCATACAGCAGTGTAAGAAACCTTCTTATGCATATAACTTTTTGTGTCATTTGGATTATTTTTTTAAAAAAGAGTAACAGGAATGGAATTGTTAGGTCACAGGACATTCAACATTTTTGTAACTAAATAGGGCATTAAAATTAAAATGTCTAGAATTCTAAATACATTATCGCCAAATTGCCAGCTAGGAAGTCTGAATCTACTAGCGGGGTATTTTTAAACCCTACCCGCCCCCTGTCATTGTTGCTGCTCATTGATAGGAGAGAATGAGAAAAGGTAGGTAGAAGTTACAGTTTCCTGATTAATTCCACACGGTGCATGCACAAACAAATGATGGGAAGTGAGCATCTCACTGGGTCAAAGCAGGGCACTTGGTGCTCCAAGAGGTATGTGGAGGCAAGGAGGCCCTTTGATATCTATGGGAGGATGGTCAGTTTCAGAAGAAACATATCACATAAACTTAAAAGGATTTTCTTAATCGGGATTTTTTTTAAGGGATAAAATGCTGTGGAATATACCTAAGAATTTTATTGATGTCTAGGCGAATTATTAACTTTCTTTACTGGGTTTAACAATTACCCTTTCAGGGGAGGATCTTGAGAAAATATTTGTGGTGCAGCAGGATTATGTGGTTAAATTCCTAAACATGGTCTCATTGCTCTGACAATTATTTTCCCCTATCAACTGCTAGTTTATATTATATAGGGTGGAATTTAATGGTAGTGATTCTCATATGTCTTTAAGTCATAAATCCCTTTGGCCAAAAAAAAAAAAGAACTATCTCTCCAGAAAAATGTATTTACCCACCAGTTTTTGCATATACTTTTCAGAAGACTTAAAAAGAAATCTAAGATTATCTGCTTGCTCTTGTTTTATGAACTGGACATTTTGGTGCTTTTGACTATATTCTAAATTACAGTGAATTTATTTCCCCTGATCTGTGGTTTTTGAAATATATCCTCTCTTCTATACTGTTATCTCTTTTTAAAACTCATATACAATCTTTGAAATAGCTAAAATTGTCATTTTGAAATGTATATTTAAAATGTCTTTCCCTACTCAAAAAGGCTCCCCTTCCCCTTTTTTCCTTCCTCTGTCTATGATACAGAAATCTTCCCACTATCCTCTCTTAACCCTATATTCAGTCAAACAGCCAATCATAGATGGTTGGAAATTCCATCCATCTTTTCTTCCCTTCAACAAGCATTCACTAAGCATTTACTAAGCCCAGTCTAGTTCCTTAGCATGCAGAGATGAATACAATCTGGTTTCTGCAGCTATATAGACAAAGGAATTATGATATGATGTCATAATGCAAAAATAGAAGTGTTTGTGAAGTGTATCAGACACATTAAGGAGAGACTAATTAAGGCTTCTAACTAAGGAGTCAGAAAAGGTTTATTAAAAAGATGAATTGCAACCAGCCCACTTGTAACAAAAAGGAAGGGCATTTTAATCAAAGCAGCATATATGCAAAAGCACGGAAACATGAAAGCACCCTGCTTACTTGCAACATCACAAGCAGATCTGTGTGACTTAAAGCAGAGGATGTGAAGGGGAGTGGGAAGAGGTAGGTTTGGAAGTGTAAGTGTGGACCAGAATGTGAAGGGCTTTAATGTCATGCTGAAACCGATGGACTTCATTTTATTGGCAAAGAGGAGACAAGAAACATTTTGAGCAGGGTAATGGTGTGAACCAATCTGTATTTCAAAATGGATGAAAAATTAGAGGAGAAAGAAGCTGCAGAAAGCTGTAAATTGAACGCAACTAAATTGCATCAATGGTCATTGATTGGATTATTGGACCCCAAAAAGCCTGCCAGTCACTCAAGATATTAAGCTGACGTTACATGTATCTGATTTATCCAGGAGTCAGCAGACATATCTGGCATTTAGCAACGGATGCGTCATTAATTGAGGGTGTGGGACACAGGTGTCCCGAGGCTAGGGCTAGGGTGTTGACAAGTAGAGTCATGCATGGAGGGCAGCCATATTGCAAAGAGCTGAGGAGTATGTGCTAATAGGCAGCATGTCAATAAATAACATGTTGGAAAACCATCAAAGCTCATCATCAAAAATAACAATAACTTGAGCTCCTAATGTGTATTGGCTTCAACAGCATACAAAGTGGATATTATATTTGTTTTGCAGATAAGGAAGCAAACTCAGATACACACAGTTACTTGTCTTTGTTTATGTACCTAATGAGTGTGTATACCAAGATTTAAACCCAATCCTGTGTGACTCCAAAGGAGCTAGACAGAGAATGAAACTGTGTTTGAGACAGCAGAATAGGCACCACGCAGGAGGTCTGACCAGAGAGAAGACTGTCAAAGCGAGGTGTGAGGCAGAACCTAGGAAGTGCTGCAGCCTGGTGACAGAGTGTCATTGGCTTAGGGGTGGGCAACAGGCTCAACCTCCAGGGCTCAACCTCACCTGAGGACTGCCCCATGGTATGAGATCCAGGGAGAGTACACTGGGAGCCTGGCCTCTTGCTGGGCCACAAGATGCCAGCCAGTATCAGGCCAAAGGTTGGCCCATTGTGCTCAACCAGGCACATGACCTTGACACATGCTTCTGCCATCACTGCAGCAGTGGGAAAGAATGTGGCAAATTATGCACTGTCTGGTAGTGACTATGGACTCCCTCACCTCACCCTTAATATATTTGCCCCAAATCTCTTTGGACTTGTATTTGGATTATTGATTTAGCAGATTAAAAAGACTCATTTATAAAACAATTATCTGCTCTTTAAAGATTCACTGAAGCTCTATTTTGAGTGCTTCTTGAAAAAATGATTTTCTTTGCATTTTTTATCAATCTCAGTTTCTCATGTGGTGAAAACATGGGCCTGTATACAATCAAGAAGTAGAAAGAAATCTAGAATAAGTTAGCTGGATATGCAATACGAAAAAACAGGAGGGGCTCTTCAAACACCTATCAAATTTCAGACTTCATTGCAAAAAACCTTGTGCTTTGGCTTATGGGTCTACATGTATTGAGTGTCGCCATGTCTTGAAGCATTCAAGTACAGCCTTGATGGTCCAGTCCTATTGTTAACAACACTGCTTTCATCCCCAAAATCTATACCCCATCCCTGTCTTCAGTGCCACCAGTACATTTCTCTGTCCTGAAAACTCCACAGTCACTCAGCCCCATGTTAATGTTTAACCTATCACATGGTAACAACAGACTGACCCAAAAGGCCCCATATATTGTCATCATGTAGTTCCACATTGTGTGCCCACCCATTCCCTATCCTCCAAACAACCATGCACCTTTCTTCCATGCACCATCATTAGACCAATGGGTAAACCAATGGTTTTCAGACTATAGATTCCATGGAGCCTTGTCAAGGACCCAGCCTTCCCCTTCTACCCTACCTGTTCCCCGTCCCCCAACATATAACCCAACCAAAAGACCTCTATGCTTTGCAATTTTATGAATCGGACTTTCTTATAAAAAAAATTTTAAAGAACTTGTTCTGATACTAATGTTTGAAAGTCATGGATTCCTGTGACCATGGCAGATTCCTACTGCCAAAAGAACATATGAACACTCCATAATGATATCTTATTTAAGATTTCAAATAGATTTCACCTCCATAATCTCTCTTTTTTCTTTCTTTTCTTTTCTTTTCTTTTTTTTTTTTTTTTTTTGGCTTAGAGACAGTGCTTCATTCTTGCCCAAGCTGGAGTGCCACTGCAGTGCCATGCAGTGGCATGATCATAGCTCACTGCAGCCTCAAACTCCTGTGCTAAGGCGATCCTCCTGCCTTAGCCCCTTGAGACTACAGCCATGCACCACCACATCTGACTAATTTTTTTTTTTCTTGTAGAGACAGAGGTCTCGCTGTGCTGCCAAGGCTGGTTTAGAACTCCTAGGCTCAAGCAACCCTCCTACCTCAGCCTCCCAAAGTACTGAGATTACAGGTGGGAGCCACGGTGCCTGGCCTCCCACTTTTTCTTGGTTACCATATTTCTGATATTAAGACTCATTTAGCTCCCCTAAGTTTTAACATTAATAAAATGGCCCTGGATCAGTCCTGTTGAGCCTGTGAGATGGTGCACTAAACACCTGTACAATCCACAGGGCAGGAGCCTCGTATCCTCCTCTGCTCTTGGACAGAAGCTCTTTCCTCAGTGATCTTCTGAAGTCCAGGCTTCTAAAGAAATGAGTTGCTTTAATTCCATGAGTCTCTGAGTGGTGCCTCCTGGCTGGCCTGTGTTCCCTTGGCTCCTCGTATTGGTGTCAGAGCAGGAGCCAGAGTGGCTAGTCCGGAGTTTCCCAAACCTGTATGAGATTTGATAGCAATTGGGAAGCTTTTCATACCAGGCAGTAAAAGTGAAGGGTTTTGAATGCCCTATACCACTCAAATCTACTTATACTGTAAGAAATGCCTTTGCTTGCTCTCTGCCCTCCAAGACTCTCTGCTTTTGGTTCTGTGTGCTGAGACCCCCAGGCAGCAGCAGAGAGCACAGGACAAGTGTGCAGCATGGAACAGCATCCATTATAAAACACAGGGAACCGTCAGAAGCCCCTGAATGACCCACTAGTTCATTCCGGCTGCTATGACCTAACTATGCCTTCACAGCAAGACCGAGAGGCCCACAGCACCCACACAGGGTGGGGACTGAGGGAAAGGGAATTTTGTTGGAATTCAACCCCCGGAAATAAGAAAGCATGCAAGCTTCTGAGTACAGTCTGAGAAAACCATGCAGGACCTTGTTAATGGAAGAAAAACACTCCTTTATGGGAAGAGCCCCATAGGACCTGTGTAGAATTTTGGCCTCTCTAGTAACATCCCAACTTATATAACCCTGTTTTTTTTCTTTTCATTCATTTATTTCCCCTAGTTATTAATTCAATACCCAGTTATTCATTTTGATGACTGACACATACTACAGTCAGGTCATTTTATTATTTTGGTTAATGTCAGTTCAGGCCTGGACACCACAACATCTCCCCAGCCCTGCCCTGAGAGATTCTGATTTAATTCATCGGCAGTATGTCCTGAGAACCAAGGATTTTTAAAGCTTCGCCAGAAGATTCTAATGTGCAGCCAAGGTTAAGAACCACTGATTTAGCCAGTAAATGGGGCCAAAGAGGTCCCTGGAAATTATCTCAAATATCCTCTCAAAATGAGAGACTCTTCCTCAGGAATTAGTGGGTAACCAGAGGTCAACTAGAACCAGGAGTAAACCAGGAGTAAACCAGGAGTGAACCAGGAGTGAGTAATCAGGAGTAAACTAGAATTAACCAGGAGTGAGTAAACAGGAGTAAACTCAAATTAGGAGTGAACCAGGAGTGGGTAACTGGGAGTGAACTAAAAGCGGGGGCTAAATGGTAGAACCCAGCTCCATGCTCTGGGCTCATTCTGAAGGTAGAATCAGGCATGCCAACAATTGATGCCTCAGTGTTCAAAGGTTCACACAGGAGAAATCAGCTGTCAATGTCCAAGAGGATCAAGGAAGTGATTTTGAGATGCGTCTTTAAGAATGAGGAGAAATGTTCCAGGTGGTGAAAGGGAATAGCAAATGATCTGCAATGGCGAGAACAGCACATAGAACAGCTTTACAGCCAGTGTGGTGTGTTTGGAGAACAGTGCAGTTCCCGGGCTGGAGGATAGCTGTTCTTAGCAGTGACTCCCCTAAATTGAAAAGGCTTTTGTGCTTTTCTCCTCCAAGAACAGGAAAGGCTATAGAGCTAAGAAAACTGACTCTTACTCCCTACCATTCCTGAGGAGAAAAGACCCCCCAGAAATAGAGTGAGAGGTGCAGCTCAGAAGAACCAAAGGCAAGAGTTAGTGGTTTAAGGAAAGAGGAAATGGAGTCCTGGGGAATCAACACGGCCTTGAGATGTCACCCCAAGACACCAGCAGCCCACACATAGTCCTCTGGGGTTTTGCTGGTGATAGCAGTGGAATCCACTTGGAGATTTTGGTGCATGATCTCCAAATAACTAATATTTTTAACTGGCTAATAGCTATTTGTTCATCTATATCCCAATGTTATCTTGATAGATTACCAGAATTGCTGATTATCAGGAAGGGCCTCAGGAATGTCCATGGTTCTCCCTTTGAGCTGCTGTTTAGGAGTTCCTCCTATCCCCTTTACTGGAATCAGTAGTTTACACCACTTGCATAGCTCCAGCATGTATCGCTATGCTTGATTTGCACCAACTCTTGACTTTCTTCTTCAAGGAACTACTGAAGGTTTTTGGTTTTGATATAATAATTTTCACTGGCACTTTCTAGCCTATAAATAAGACTCTGGAGGACAATATCCAGCAGTGAACTGTGTGGTGCTCATGAGATATGTCTGGTGGCGTTAAAGAACTGCCCAGGCTCGCGCAAAGCAGAAGCCCAGGGTACGTGAGAGATGAGAATGACCACACCAGGAAGAGGACTTGTTGACACTCTTCTCCATGTCAGAAGAAACACAGTTCAAAACCTTTAGGGAAGGACTTTTAATGATGGAGTTGGGAATAGATACTATGACCCAGATGATTTCTAAATCCTCAGAAATCAAATTGATTGGGGAACAGATTATGTCAATCTAAACATGAGTTTACTAGAGAAAAGAAAGTACTTAAACAGCTATTCAAGAGAATTCTGTAAATAGTAAAAGCCAGAGCCCTCTATTTGGAGACAGTTCTGGATATGGCATCAATGATGGATAGTCCATTGTATCCAAAAAGCATACATAACGTATTTTTCAAAAAGAACAAAAGGGTATGCAGTTAACTCAGAAGAGGAACGTTCCTTACAAAATTTACTCTGCTGCACAGATTGGCCCTGCAGTTAAGAAGAGTGCATTCATTATTCTAGTAGCTTTGAGATACTTTCTCTGACACTGAACCCTTGAACTCTTATTTCTTTCTTTCATTTATTAGTGATGACTCCCTTTGTCTATCCTGTGTTTGATTTGCCTTTTATAAATTGGCAACATCATTTCTTCATGATTCCCCAGAGATAACTGATGGTAGCTTAAATCTTCATTTGTCGTATATGAAAAAGTAATGCAGAATTCTGAGTGAGTTTTGAGTAGCTGGAAGAAACAAACATGAGAAAAAAATATAGGTATAATATATATTTATTTAAAGATCCAGCATTTCAGGGCAGTCTGAACAGGCCAGGGATTTATAGTGTGGAATATTTCATGGGCCTTTCAAGGATGAAGGAAATTTGTTTTTAAACACTGACTAGTTTAAAGACACCCCCGAGGTGCAAACTTTTTGCAACACATGTTTCACAGCCCCTCCGGCTCTGAACTTTTTTCCACAACATTTGTCTTCCAAAACAATTTCAGCATTGTGGAAACAGAATGTTGAATATATCAGAGCTGCAAGTCTTGGGGGAAATAGCCTGTCTTTAAGGTTAGATAAATAAGTTTAAACTATTTCTGACGTTTTATAGCTGTTGCAACAGAGCAAATGTGTTATTTTGAAACACCATAAAGAGCAGTGGTGCGAAGAAATCTGTCTGAATTTCCTCTGGCCTGTTCAGTTCTTTGAAAATGTTTACACGTGTAACGATGCTTCTAGGTGCTGAACAGACCTGTGGGGTAGGAGAGGGAGTTGGAGTTCACTATGGGACTTACGGAGTTTGAGGTGCCTGTGGGACATGTTGTGCCAATGGGAGATGTCCAGGAGTCTTGAATTCAAGGGAGAGATTAAGACTGGATAGGTAGATGTGGGAGTTTTCAGCATAGGAATTATCACTATATTTCCCAAAGTAGATGAAATGGCCCCTGGGACAGTGTGTAGTGTGAAGGAAGGACTTGGTCCTGTACTCTGGTGTGGTCCTGTGCTCTTCATTTCAAACTTCCTATTTCTGACATTTTCTTTTGGAATGTAACTTTGTCAGTTTGTTCTGAGAAGCTTGCGCTGGCATGGCTGTTTGGCCATCTTGGTTGTTTTCATACCTTAGTTTTTAGTCTAGACTCCCATGGTCACGTGGAACAGAGAACCACCTCGAACTGGCTTAAGAAAAAATGGAGGAACTATTGGCTAATAAAACCGAAAAGTTCTGGAGTGTAGACACTCTGGACATAATTTTAGATACATCTGGATTCAGGAACTTAAATGATTTAGTCAAGAATCCACCCCTTAGCCAGGCACAATGATGCATACCTATAGTTCCAGCTATTCAGGAGGCTGAGATGGGAGGATCCCTGGAGCCCAGAAGTTTGAAGCTTCCGTATGCTATGATCATGCCTGTGCATAGCCACTGCACTCCAGCCCAGTGAGACCCCATCACTAAAAAAATAAAAATCCATCTCTCTCTGGCTCTGTTTTTTTTCTGTGTTTTGAGGTGGTTGGTGGGCAAGGGTTGAGGGAAGACCATGTATGTTAGCAGATCATAAAACATCATAAGCAGTTTATTTTTTGTTCTAAGTGAGATGGAAGCCATTAGAGGATTCTAAGCAAAGGAGTGTCATGATCTGAGCTACCTTTTAGAAGAAATACTATGGCTATTGTGTTGAAAATAGACTGTAAAAAATCAGAGAGTAAAAGGAAGGCAAGGGTGGAAATAGGGAGATGAGATAAGTATTCCAGGTGAGCAAAGCCATCCCTAAATTCCCTGCCCTGGACTCCACTTCCCTCTCCAGCTATTGCCTTAGTTCTTGATTTCCATTTATAGCAAAGTGCCTCAAGAGTAGTTTATACTTGCTGTCTTCAATTTCATTTCTCTTCATTCTCTCTTGAATCCACTCCAACCAAACATTCTCCATACCATTACCTTCATAGCTATTGTCAAGGTCACCAACAGCTTACCATGTAAGTGTGAATTGCTAACTTCAGTTGTCAGGTTTGTTTGTTTGTTTTTTGAGACAGATTCTCACTCTGTTGCCCAGGCTGGAGTGCAGTGGTGTGATCTTGGCTCACTGCAACCTCTACCTCCTGGGTTCAAGCAATTCTCCTGCCTCAGCCTCCCGAGAAGCTGGGATTACAGGCTAAATGTTTTTTGTATTTTTAGTAGAGACAGGGTTTCACCATGTTGCCCAGGCTGGCCTCGAACTCCTGACCGCAGGTGATCTGCCCACCTCGGCCTCCCACAATGCTGAGATTACAGGTGTGAGCCACCACACCAGGCCCCGTGGTGAGTTCTTAGGCCTTACCTTACTTGCTCGTTTGACTACACTAGCATTGGACAGTTGCTACGCCCTCCTTCTCTGCTTTGAGGAAACCACTTTGTTTTCTACCTACCATAGTATCTGTTCCTGTGTAGCCTCCTTTGTCCCACCTCTTGTCCCTGATCTCTAAGTTGAACTACCCGAGGCCTCAGTCCTCAGACGTTTTCTCTTCTCTATATATACTCTCTCCCTATTGGTCCCATACCTGCAGAAGGACTCAAATATGACATCTGTATGCTGGAAACTGTTAAATTTATATTTTCAGCACAGACCTTTCCCCTAAGCTCTAGATTAACATGTCCACATGCCTGCTCAGCATCTCTCCGTGGATATGTAATAGTTATTTCAAACTTAACATGTCCAAAACTGCTCTCCTGAGTTCTGCTCCCAAACTTACTTCTCTCATAGTGTCCCTCATCTCAGTGAATGACAAGGCAGTTATTTAATTTGCTTGAGCCACAAATCCTGGAGTCGGTTTTTACTCGCTTTCCTCTCTCACACTACCCCACCCCCATCAAATTTTGTCTGCTCTACCTTCAGAATAGGCCCAGAATCTGACCGTCTCTTACCACGTTCATTGCCACTACACTGGTCCAAGTCACCGTCATCTCTAGGCTGGATTATCTTGACAGGTTCCTCACTGGTCTCCCTGCCTCTGCCCTTGCCCCCTGCAATCAACATAGCTGTCAAAGCAGTCCTTTAGAAACACAAGTCAGCTCATGCCATTCTTCAAAATCTTTGGAATAGAAACCAAAGCCTTACGATGACCTATCAGGCTATGACCTGAGCCCCACCTGCCACTTCTCTGACCTTGTCACCTACTGCTCTTTTCCTGGCTCACATCCCTGCAGCCACATGCTCTTTTACTTTCCTCCAAAATTGGAGGAATGTGTCCTGGACCAGTCTGATGAAGCCTATGGTACTACTTCTGAAATAATATTTTCAAAGGTATAAAATAAAATATACTGCATTTAAAGAAAACCAATTATAATAAAAATATAGGTATCAAAATATTAATAAACCAAATGTGTGATCGAATAATATATGTACTTCATTACTAATGCATCAAATTCAAAATCTAGCATTGGGTCCAATAGTTACCATATTTTTGAAGTAGTGTTGGCATAAAAAATATTTTGAGAGAGCTGGTCACACTTGTAATGTGATACGAAAATATCTGTGACTTCCATTGGTGAGAGAGTTAAAGATACTACTACCTTGGTCTGTGCTTACATTCATAATTGATAGAAGTGCTACATTTCAACTAGAGTTGGTGAAAAGGTCACCGACTCCTGAATCCTATCTGTGGACCCACGTGAGTCTCATGGTCCCCGGGTTGAGGACCCCGTTTCAGGGCCAAGGTACTTGCTGTTCCCTCTGCCGGAAATGCTCTCCCTGGAGATCTCCACACAGCTTGTTTAGCCTGGCTGAAGGCCTCTGGTAAACCTTGTTTCAATGTAGAATTGACAGCACCGCTTACCAGCTTCTTACCGTGGAGGAATAATGAATAAGCCAATGTATCTGAGATTGTTTAGGGTCTTTCACTGTAAGAGGCTTTATGTCTTGAGAAAACCTCACTAATTTGGACTGATTGTAAGAGGCAAGTCTGAATTAATAAACATCCCTGAATTGTAAAATGCTTTCAAGTCTATGAATTGCTTTTAGAAATGTTCAGTCATTTAAGCGAGAATTGCTTAGGGTCTTAAAGGCAACCACTTTAATTTATAAATGTCGATTTATACTCACATAACAATTGTGTATATGTTGTGGAGGCCAGTGAAGTATTTGAAGGAATTTCTGAAATGATTTGCACTTTTGCCCTCAAATATGTAAGGAGATTTTTTTCTCTTCCTAGCTAGTATAGCCCTTCTCTAAATTACCATAGATTCCAAAATAATAGTGTCTGAGTTTATGAGGATTTTACTATACAGTCAGTGCTTTATTATCTTTGCTGCTTGGAAGAGAGCATTGGTATGAATAACCAAAAAAGTCACGCTGATGTATCTTTGGGATAGAATATGGTTTTCTTCTAGTAAATGCATTCCCTAGTTTATTCATTTATGCATTCAGCAAACATTCACACATCTAATCTTTGCCAGGCCTATACTCATGATCTGCTGTGGAGAACTGAGATTAATGCAGTAATAATGCTATAAAAGAATTCTGGTCATAGAGAGTGAATAATGAGAGTGAATTAAATAATATATGAAAGAATAGATGGATGAATGAATGAATTGATCTCACACATATCTTAGAGCTAAAAGGGACCCCAAGAGAAAATTTAACAAGAAGTTAAATCAAAGTTGTTTCTGAGCTCCATTATTAACTTTTTAAAAGTTGGGGATAGGTGATCCAGGTAATACATTCAATCAAAAAACAAGGCACTATACCATGAAAAGTCTGGCTCCTGCTCCTGTTCCCATGCTTTCCTACATCTGCACTCTATGTTCCTCCTTGCAGGTATCTTCCCTTTCTCTCCAGTCTACATGAGGTACAGCTTCTGTGCTCCAGTGGCATCCAGTATTTTACCTTTATTGCACGCTCTTATCTCTTTGAATTGCAGCTGGCTGTTTTGATGCATGGGCCCACTCTAGATTAAGGTCCGTGAGGAACTTAGTTTACCATTATATCCTTAGCATTGCCACAGAGTCTTACATAGAGTAGGCACTCCATAAACATTTTTCAAGTGAATGAAATAATGGCAATAGTTGTATTGCATTTCAAAACATAAGATATGTAGCCAAAGCTGTACTCAGAATAAAATTAACAGCTTTAAATGATTTACTTTAAAATAAGCAAATTAAATGTTAAACTCAAAGACTGAGAAATTTTCTTGTAGGCTAGAAATAGAAGGAAATTTATATACCAAAAAAAGCATCATGCTTAAGAAAGAAACATTAGTAATATTCCCATTAAAGTTGGAAACAAGACAAATATGCCTGCTGTCTTAGACCACTGGGGCTGCTATAAGAAAAATGCTATAGACTGAGTAGCTTATAAACAACAGAAAATTTGTTTCTTACAGTTCTGGAGGATGGGAAGTCCAAGATTAAGCTTTTCATGTTGAAGGAGGTCCAAGATCAAGATGTGGTGGGGAGGGACACAAATATTCAGTCTAACGTACCTGCTATAGTGGTTATTATTCAGCATTGTTCTGGAGACACTAATACAATAAGACAAGAAAAAGAAATCAGAAGTATACATATTGGAAAGGAAGAGAAAATTGTCATTATGTGCAAATGATATAATTATTTACCTTAAAAAACAAGAAAATCAATTAGAAAAACTATTCAAAATAATAAAGTTCAGTAAGATGACTAGAAACAAGATAAATATGCAGATGCTTATAGCTTTCCTAAGTGTTGGCAATAAACAACTATGAAATACATTTTTTAAAATCTTGTTTACTGCAACAACAAAGAACTATAACATGCATTGGAATAAATATATTAAGAGATGTATAACATCTACCTATGTTGTGGTTAAGAAAGGTTCTGAATCAAATTGTATTGGTATAAATCTCAGCTCCAATGTTTAATAGCTGTGACCTTTCAGAAAGCTTAAACTTTCTGTATGTGTATATGTGTAGAAGAAAATGCTAAAAAAGATATATGCACATGTGATTAGCATTCCTTCAGCTATTTAGGGCTAGCCTAGTTTTTATAACAATATTTAAAACAAATCTCTCGGTGTATTGGTTTTCTATTGCTGCTGTAACAAATTAACACAAACTTAGAAGCTTAAAACAATACCCATATATTATGTCACCTATGTTGCACAGAATTGCTGAACTGACTGTTACACTTAGAGTATCTAAGGCCAAGATCAAGGTGGTGGCATGGCTGCATTCCTTTTTGGAGGCTCTGGGAATAAATCTGCTTCCAAGCTTCTTCAGGTTATTGGCTGAATCCCTTATCATTTTAGAACTGAAGTTCCCATTTTCTTGATAGCTGTCAGCTGAAGGCCACTCTCAGCTTTTAGAGGCCACCTGCACTCCCCAGCTCAGGTCCCTTTTATCTTTAAAACTAGCAATGGTGGGTTAGGTTGCTCTGACACTTTGAATCTCTCTGAACTCCTCTTCTGCCTCATCTCTCCTACTTTCTCTTTCTCCATATGTCCCTGACAGCTTCTGTCCTTCTCTTCTGATTTTAGGGACTTATAGAATTACAATGGGCCCAACCAGATATCTCCCCATTTTAAGGCCAACTGATTAGTAACCTTAATTACATCTGCAAATTCCTTCACACCAGTGCCTAGATTGACATTTGATTGAGTAATGAAAGGATGAGAATCTTGGGGCAATGTCTTTAGAATTCTGCCTACCATACTTGGATCATACAAAGCCACAGGATTAAGGACAAAAAGTCCCAAGGGCAACCATCTCAGACTCCAATTTTGAAAACTTCAAATAGTATATCTGAACATAATGAAGTTCCTACTCTTCTTTCAGATTCCTTTCACAGACGACACAGTTGAAATCTAAAGGGCTTTGCCCAAGGCTACAGAACTAATAACTATTGAGAATGAAAACAAAGCCTCACCCCAACCCAGCCAAGATAGTGCTCCCCCTATGCATTTCCACCTCCTCTTTGAATAGAAATTTAGTCTTTTTTTCACCTTGAGTTTTCAGGCAATACTTCAGTGCCAATATCAGTCTTAGGTTTCTACAAGTAAATTTAAGCATTTCTAGATAACAGTTTCCTCCAAAGCCACACAATGACTTCCTTAAGAGACTTGAATAATCAGCTTGATGTAATGGACAGAACTGGACCTGAAGTCAAAAGGCTTACCAGGTTCCTCAATTGTGAGATACAGCTAACAATGACTGCCTCCCAGGAAATAGGAATAACTATGAGAATTCAAGTGTCACCATGTTCATGGAGCACGCATTTTGCCTACTGTAAGGTGTGTTGCACATGTCATGATAATAGCGGTCGCATCTATTTTTTAAGTCAGAAAACCATACCATGGCTTCTCCATTCTCACTAACCAGAGCACTGTAAGAGGAGAAAACATCCCCCAAAACAGTTGTCTAGAGCAATCTTGGCATCATCTGAAGCTATTCCAGCTCTTAAGAGCCAGATGAGGTCAGGTGCAGTGGGAGGCTGAGGCGGGGGATCGCTTGAGCCCAGGAGTTCAAGACGACCCTGAGGAACATGATGAAACCCTGTCTTTACAAAAATTACAAAAATTAGCTGGGTGTGATGGCTTGCACCTGTAGTCCCAGCTACTTGGAGGCTGAGGAAGGGAGGGTCACTTGAGCCCAGGAGGTTGCAGTGAGCCAAGATTGTGCCACTGCACTCCAGGCTAGGTGACAGAGGGAGCCTCCATCTCAAAAAGAAAAAGCAAAGAAGAAGAAGAAGAACCAAATGAAATTTCTCTATTCCTCTGAATCTTAAATTCCAAAGCCCAGCAAAATGCTAAGCCTTCTGAAGACTTGGGGAAAGAAATTCTTTCAATTCCTCATGTTCCCCTCTGTGTCCAGGCTCCTGCAATGTTGCTTACAGTCCCTGCATCTCACTGCATTGACCCGGAATTGAAACTCAGCACTTACTTTTGCTCCCTGAAGTTATCCTCCTTTACAAAGAATTAATGAACTCTGTTTCCCTGGATGTTGTATATTCTTCCTGAGGGAGGAATGTTTCATTGCTTATGCACAGCAAACAACTTAAAGACCTCTAGGAAATATTTATGTTTTCCAAAGACTTCCTTGTGACAACCTACCCCCTGGGAGTTTCTCACTGTGTCTCTACCTCCACATTCCCCCAGCTTCACCGACTCCTTCTTTCCAACCACACTCCCACTACCCTACCCACCTTCAAAATTCTCTCCCTTCCCAATACAGAGCAATCCTACTCCTTGGTTTCCATTCCATAACTTATATGTGTAAACCAGTCACATGCCCTGTAGACCAAAGCCCTTTGCTTTAAGAGGATCCTCCATCTGCCATAGAGTAGCTATAGAAATAGAAATAGCCATTTTTCCTATTATATATGATTAAACCCATATGCTGACTTACGGTCAAAACAGTGAATGGTATTTGTCAAGTGGTTCTGTGGCCCTGTTCTTAAAGGAATTGCCTTTGTCATATTTGTTTTTGTTCCAAAGGTGTCCCTCAGCCTAATATAACTTGGTTGAAGAGAGGAGGATCTCTGAGTGGCAATGTTTCCTTGCTTTTCAATGGATCCCTGTTGTTGCAGAATGTTTCCCTTGAAAATGAAGGAACCTACGTCTGCATAGCCACCAATGCTCTTGGAAAGGCAGTGGCAACATCTGTACTCCACTTGCTGGGTAAGTGTCAAATTCTTATTGCTCCTTAAGTGCCTCCTGTAATATGCACAAAGTAGGCCCCAGTTTTGTTGATTTTGGAGTTGAGTGAACGAGATGGACATCAGATGGTTTTAACCATTGCTGCCACTGCCTGCTTAAAAACGAGCACTAAATTCTAACACCCTATTTTACCACCCCGTATTCCCAGCACCTAACACAGATGTTAGTGTTTGTGTGTGTGTGTGTGTGATTTTTTTTTTTTAAACGGAGTCTTGCTCCGTCACCAGGCTGGAGTGCAGTGGCACAATCTCGGCTCACTGCAACCTCTGCCTCCTGGGTTCAAGTGATTCTCCTGCCTCAGCCTTCTGAGTAGCTGGGACAATAGGCGCACACCACCATGCCCAGCTAATTTTTGTATTTTTAGTAGAGATGGGGTTTCACCATGTTGGCCAGGATGGTCTCAATCTCTTGACCTCGTGATCTGCCCGCCTTGGCCTCCCAAAGTGCTGGGGTTACAGGCATGAACCACTGCGCCCGGTCAGATGTTAGTGTTAAGTAATGGTTTCATGAAGGAATGAAATTGAACCATTGGCAAAATTAGTATAAGAGTATAGAATCCATTGCTAAACCAAGAGGAAAAAACATGAAAGAGATTTCTCCATAGCTTTCCTTGGGGCAGTTAGAGGAGCCCAGAGATATAAAGAGATAGGGGGTGCCAATGCAGGGAGTTGGAATAGCTGTCATGCACAAAGCATTTTGATGAGCGTTAATTCTTGTGATACTTATGATAGCACAGTGTTGTGGGTGGTATTTTTTAATCTCATTGTATTTATGAGGAGCCTTGGGCTCATAAAGAGTTTGAACTAGTGCCCAAATATGTAGTCTGCTCTTTTGGTGCTCTCCCTGCTACCCCTCATGGACTCTTAGTACTGACAAAGGCAGTGGTGTGCCACCACGTGGCTCTTTCCAAAAAGCCTCTGTGTGATCTTCCAAAATCTTCGAATGGAAGAGTTGCAACAGATTGGCTAGGCTAACCCTGTCTGGTTCTTGAATGATTTATCCATGCTCCCTGAGAAACCCCAGCCTTGTTTCTTTCTTCTGCCCATTTCCACTCATGAATCTGCATGCTTGTCTCACTCCTACCTGGCATACCTCTTCTCTCAGGAATCCCCTCAAGCCAAGCAGCTCATGACTTTGGTAACTTGATGGAGAGGTCAAATCATGGCATTCCTCCACCATCCTCTGCTCTTATGTGCAAGCTTCACAACCTTCCTAAAAGCCCGTACTCCTCACCATGCAAACCTAGGGAACATTGCCCGTTCTCTTGCTCCCAGCATTCCTCTTAAGAGGCAGAGCTCTATCCAACCAATCTGCTTCCTCCAGTCCCTTTTGGAATTCTGCTGAATACATTTTTTTCATCTTGCAATTTAGGCTAGAAACCCTGGAAACATGCAGAGATGCCACATGCTAGCACAGTGAGTAACTCTAAACTCTATAACACCCCACACGTCCATACTTATACACACCTCCCAGACCTGTGGTCATGAGCTTGAGTATCCAGGAGCACAGTATTATTATAGAGGACTCATTTTCTAATAGCTGTCTTTAAGAACACCCAAGCTGGACCAATAATTAGATAATGTCTAACTGGTAAAAGTGCTACTTTTTTTTTTCCTCAGAACGAAGATGGCCAGAGAGTAGAATCGTATTTCTGCAAGGACATAAAAAGTACATTCTCCAGGCAACCAACACTAGAACCAACAGCAATGACCCAACAGGAGAACCCCCGCCTCAAGGTCTGGGATTTTGACCTTTTCAGATTTGCTATGTGTGAGGCATGTGTAAGGAAAAGGATTTAGCTAAAAGACCATCTGTATTTTTCACTTTGCAATATGTAAAATTATTTCTAGGCATTTGGCCAGCCTTTTTCTTGACCCTCAGTCTTTAGTGGTTCAACTTATTCTTTCCATATTGAAACACTTTTTAGAAAAATCCACTCCTGAGGAAGCCTACAGAGCTCATATCTCAAATGTGCACTATTATTTGTGATAATATAGATATTGATTTCCAGTTTCAAAACTATTGCCAATTTGGTAAATATTAATAGATATTAATAGTCTGCTATGAGTATTGGAATTGATTTTTTAATTGTTCTTTTTTCAAGACATAGTTTTCCATACACACCAACTTTGTTATGCATCAGTGCTTAATCAGGAGAACCTAATCTAAGTATTACAAGCTTATAAAACTCTGCAGAAGGCCAAGGGATCAAGGCAGAGTTAAGAAAATCAGAAATGCTAGAAACGCAGGAAACCATTACTGGTCATCTCAGCTCCTTGTAGCTCAAAAATGGGTAAATCGCAGAAGGACACAAACTCTTTTTTTAATTATTTTGTTATTTTATTTTGTTTATTTTGTTTATTTATTTATTTGAGACAGAATCTCGCTCTGCCTCCCAGGCTGGAGTGCAGTGGCGTGATCTCAGCTCACTGCAAGCTCCGCCTCCCAGGTTCATGCCATTCTCCTGCCTCAGCCTCCCAAGTAGCTGGGACTACAGCCACCCGCCACCACGCCCGGCTAATTTTTTGTATTTTTAGTGGAGACGAGGTTTCACCGTGTTAGCCAGGATGATCTCGATCTCCTGACCTCGTGATCCGCCCACCTTGGCCTCCCAAAGTGCTGAGATTACAGGCGTGAGCCACTGTGCCCGGCCACAAAGAAACTCCTTTTAAACCTCATGTTGTACTCGTTATATAGGAACAATAATGGCCACGTCATTTTCACCTTTTAAATCTTGAGAAGTGCCTCTCATTTGCATAATGTATCATGCAGAATATAACTCTACCGGTAGAGATTTTAAGAAATGTAGTTTCTAGGCTTTCACCTCCTGAGGTGCAAGAGAGAGCACAGAAGGGGAAAACAGTGTTGAGCTGCCAATCAGCAATCCATCACGTTACTTATGACATCATTCTCTTATAGTATTTGTATGACACATTTCTTCTCCTCTTTTAAACATAATACTAACATTATTGTATACCCAAATATCCATTTATTGGACATTCAACAAATATTGCCCAGTGCTTACTCCTCCCAGGTCTGGGGTTGCAGATGACCTCCTCCTTGAGAAGCTCACAGTCTGAAGAGGGAGGCAGTCACGTAAACAGATACTGTAAAGCACTGGGACAAGTTCCATAATAAAAAGATGACCAAAGTACAATGGTAGCACTGAGGAAGGGGCCCTACCTCTCTCTAGAGAAGTCAACTGAGTTTTCATGTAGGTCATGATGTTTGTTCTGGGAAGAGGAAAGAGGAAATTCCAGTCAGAGAAACCATGGTGTGTTGCATGTGGCATGGAACATGAAGATCAAAAGAACTGCCTAAAATAAATTAATGAAAAACAAAAAGGATATGTGTGAGGCTGAAGCTATTGGTGAAGGTGAAGCCTTTGGAATAGTCAAACTCTTGGTTTATTGGGACTACTTGCATTGTTCTGCCACCTCCTACACAGACACACACAAACACATGCCCAAATATACAATCACACACACACACATTGTGGAATGTCCCAGCCCTTCAAAGGATCCTTAGCTTAGCATTTCAAAGAGACTCCTTTATTAATTTAACAAATACTGCTTGCATGGCTAATATTTCACATACCCTGTCCTAGTGTTGGACAGGGTGGTGTTTATGGTCTTGACATTCCAGTAGGAAAGATGCACAAGAAACCAGTAAACAAATAAGTATTTAAGATATTTCTCAGTGGTAAGGGCTATGAGATACACAGTGATAGGAGGAAGCCACTTTAGTGAAGACAGTCGGGATGGGCCTTCTAAGAGGTTATATTTGAGCCCAGACCTAAAGGATGAGGTGAAACCATTTGTGCAGAAAAATGAGAAAGAAGCAAAGACCATAAAATTGGAATAAGGTTAATGTGGCCTCAGAATGGAAATAAGATTCATGTGACTAGGGTACAGTTGAGGGAGAGGGAGAGGGATATGAGATGAGGTTGGAGAGTGGCTGAGGACCAAATCATTCAGAGCTTTGAGGTCCAAGGTAAAGACTCAAGAGTTTACTCCTAAAACATGGGAGGTCATTGAGGAGTCTTATATGGTAGTGATATGGCATGATCTGCTTTTCAAATGCATTTGTGTCAAAAAGCACTAAGTAGAAAACAAAAACAAATTATCAAATTGGACTGACCGCATCAAAATTTTAAAGATCTCCTTATCAAAGACACCAATAAGAATAATGAATACATAAGCCATAGACTGGGAAAAATATTGGCAGAACATATGTCTGATGAAGAACTTATATCTAGAATATATAAAGAACTCCCACAAGTTATCAATGAATATCCCCCACCACACACACATACACACACACACACACACACACACACACACACACACACAGTGGGCAACAGACTTGAACAGACGTTTCACAAAAGATGATATATAGATGGCATCAGGGAAATGGAAATTAAAACCTCAGTGACATACAATTTCATACCCAGTAGGGTAGCTAAAAACAAAAAGACTGACAATGCCAAATTTTGGCAAGAGTGTGAAGCAACTGAAACGCTCATGCATTGCTTAGTGTGTAAAATGTTTAGACCACTTTGGAAGACGATTTAGCAGCTCCTAAAAAAGTTAAGCGCACACCTACCCTCGACCTAGCAGTTTCACTCACAGGTATTTACCCGAAAAAAAAAATGTTCACAAAAAGCTTTGTTCATGAATGTTCAACTTATTGATAATAGTCATTGACAGGAGAATAGATTAAAAACTATGGTAGATTTATACAATGGGAACATTATTCAGCAATAGAAGAAATGAAATGAACTACTGATATGCACAATGATATGAGTGAATCTCAAAAACCTTATGCTAAGCAACGTAGGAAACCAAAGGCCGGGCGCAGTGGCTCACACCTGTAATCCCAGCACTTTGGGAGGCAGAAGCGGGTGGACCACAAGGTCAGGGGTTCGAGACCAGCCTGGCCAACATGATGAAACCCCATCTCTACTGAAAATACAAAAATGAGCCCGGCGCGGTGGTGCACACCTGTAATCCCAGCTTCTCAGGAGGCTGAGGCAGGAGAATCGCTTGAACCTGGGGAGGCAGAGGCAGCACTGAGCTGAGATCATGCCACCACACTCCAGCCTGGGTGACAGAGTGAGACTCTGTCTCAAAAAAAAAAAAAAAAAAAGAAACCAAATACACAAGAGTACATATTATATGAAGTACAAGAATAAGTAAAACTAATGTATACTGATAGAAATGGACGAGTTGCTGCCTGGGAGGGGAGAGCAATTGATTGGAAAGAGACAAGAGGGGGATGATGAAAATATTACATCCCTTGCTTTGGATCATGGTTACGTAAGTGCTTACAATTGTGAAACCTTGTAAAACTGCACACCTGAGATATAATCAATTTATTGTGTATGAATTATACCTCAATTAAAAAAACACACACATTTTAAAAGAAATGCACATGTCCTGCCTTGAACTGCCAAGGTGTCTTTGTGAAATGTGGCATAATAGAGTCAGACACACTTGGGATCCAGTCCGGCTAACAGGTGACAGACCTTGGGCAAGGTACTCAGTTTCATTCAGTTTCCACCTCTGCAAATAAAAATATCAACTTCACAAGATGATCTTGAAAATTAAATGAAAAATTGATTATAAAGTGTCTAACTCAGTTCCTGTCACCTGGGAGGTTCTCAGTAAACGTATCTACTTTTAAAAAATTATTTTTAAATAAACTGTATTCCTGAGTGTCCAACTAAAAATGTATTTTACATTTTTGCTTTGCAAATGATGCCATGTACAACTTAAAACGAACTTCAAAAATCAGAAGGAAAAAGTGGAAAACAAGTGAAAGAAATCACTCTGCTATGTGAGAGAGCCTGTGGACACAGCTGGTAGCTATTAATTACTTGTAATTATTACAGGAAAATCTGGCACCTTCTGTGATCACACACAAATCCATCATCATCATGTCCTACCTCATCTTTTGCTGAGTGTCAGCAGGGAAGGGAAAGGCTGTTTGGAATAGGGATTAAAATTTTTAAAAAGCTGGGATTACTGGAGGTGGTCGGCTTCTACTCTTGTAAAGGAAACTCCTACATTTATCTCTTCAGATGTCTCTGTGACAAATTATTTATGCAGTCACAGGATCAATCTGAAGTTTAGATTAAGAATTAATGGAAAAATAAGAACAGAACTCAAATGCATCTTTAACCTTACTGCTTAATCCCTAGTCCCTGTTCCTCCTGCTAAATCATCTTTCATTTCTCTGCCTGATCCACTTTTGAGAAATTGAACCCGTTAGGGCATCCCCTAGAGAGGCCCTCCTCTCTTGTCCTGTTGGCTGTGGTTAGAGAACACTGAGGAGGCAGCCCACTGCTGAGAGTGCCTCCTCTCTCTCTGGGATTTTTCTGGCAGACCCAGCTGGCCGATGATAGTCCCTCTCCAGACTGTGGTCCAAGGACCCCATTCTGGCCGCCATTCTCACCAGTTATTACAGTAAATTAGTTGAGGGAAAATAAGATTTAGAGGACTCCCTTGCACTATGAGATGGCTTTCTCTCCATATGCTACTTAAAGAACCAAAAAACATCTCATGGTGGTTTTTGGCCATGTCTTCTCCAGCTCGTCGTCATTTCTCTTTTGGGGCTGGCATGATATTTTGTTTTCTTTCTGCAGAGCCTTTTTGGGAGCCTGGTAACTGGTCACATTGTTCTGCCACCTGTGGTCATTTGGGAGCCCGCATTCAGAGACCCCAGTGTGTGATGGCCAATGGGCAGGAAGTGAGTGAGGCCCTGTGTGATCACCTCCAGAAGCCACTGGCTGGGTTTGAGCCCTGTAACATCCGGGACTGCCCAGCGAGGTAAGTGAAGTCACTCTTTGTATCTCATCAACACCAAGTTTTTGTTTGTTTTGAAAGGTGCAGTGATTTGGACATAATAATTCAATAGCTAAGTTTTTTTTATCACTTACTGTATACTAGGCATCCTGCTAAGTGCTTTACATGGATCACAGTGTCCTGTGAGGTAGATGTTGTTAATTTCCTGTTTCGTAGATGGGGAAACTCCCCTAGGCCATACAGTTATAAGGACCAGGATTCAAATGGTGATAGTCTGATTTTAGAGCCCCTGCTCTCAATCACTAACCAAACCTGCTTCCTGCACACACAATCCTGTCAGTTCTTTAAGACTTTAGTGAGGCTAATTTCTTGGGTTTACTTAGGAGATAATTCAGTGGGCCAGAATCACCAGAGGCACTAGTGAAAAACACAGTTCTCTAGACTTGATCCCTGGAGGTAAAACCATTAATAAGCTTTCTAAGCAATAGGTAATACAAATCAGTAATTTTTAAATGTCCAAAATCAAATTCATGGTCTCCAGCAAACTTACTCCATCCCCAGTATTTCAGATCTTGATGACTACATCCTAGATGCCCCTCTTTCTCTCACTTCCATCCATTCTTGTCCATTTCCACTGTTACCACTAAAGTCCAAGCCGTCATTTTTTCTTACATGGACTACTCCAGGAGTCTTCTGGTTCTTATCTCCCTCTCTGGAGTACTTTGTCCACTCTCTAAGAATAAAGATATTTGAAACAAATTCATCATGATGGTTCTCTTAGTTTCATTAGGTTTCTACCTCTGCAAATAAAAATATCGACTTCACAAGATGATCTTGAAAATTAAATGAAAAATTGATTATAAAGTGTCTAACTCAGTACCTGTCACCTGGGAGGTTCTCAGTAAATATATCTACTTTTAAAAAATTATTTTTAAATAAGCTGTAATCCTGAGTGTCCAACTAAAAATATATTTTACATTTTTGCTTTGCAAATGATGCCATGTGCAATTTACACATTTATCTTAGGACAAAGGCCAAAATTCCCAGCACTGGGGTTGTGACTATCTTGTACATCTTTTTATCTCATGTTTGAAACAGTGCCTAGCAATAGTAGGTGCTTAGTAAATATTTGCTGACTGACTGAGTAAATGAGTGGAAGAATTGAAGTCCCTTCATATTTGGGCCTTGGGCTATCTCTTTTATCGCTTGTCTCTCCCACACTGGTTATTTGATCTCCTTCCATGCTGGTCTTTTTTTGTCCCTTAGATATACTATTCTGTTTCCTGACTCAGAGGCTTTGTGCATACTTCTCCCTCTGCCTAGGACACTGTCCCCTCTCTCTTCACTTAATCATTTCTGTTCATCTATATATACCTCAATACATGCTCAGGGAAACCATCCCTGAACTTAGCCCTCCAAAGTAAATCACGCCTTATGTTATATGATTTTTATATGTCCTTATCATTCTTCATAATTCTTACCACAATTGTCTGTCTTGCTCTCCCACTAGACCGTAAATTCTATGGGGAGTAAATCCACAGGTATTTTGCTCAATAATTTATTCCTAGCACTTAGCACAATGTCTGCTGCATCATATACTCCCTATAAATATTTATGAAATCAATGAATGAATGATTACAACACAGACCCTAGCAGATAGTTGACCAAATAGTACCAAAATCCATAGTAAAAACAATTAACAAATAAAAAAGCATTTGTTGAGTACAAACCAATGAAGAAGATACTAACATTTTACTGATGAGAAACTGGAGAAATGTTTAATGTTATATAGCTCACTGCCCTTGGGCAGATGTCCACACTAGATCCAGTCTCTAAGAGTGCCTTGGAGGAGAGTGGGAGGCAGGGTCACAGTGTAAAGCAAAATAGGTTCCTTAGGACATGTTCTTAGGAGGGTTATCAATATTGCAGGCACCCTAACTGATAGGTCTTCCAGTACCCTTTGTAATTCTCAAAAGGAAGATCTCATGTTAAGGTCATCCCTCAGAAAGCAGCAAACTCATGCTTCAGTAACTTGGAGTAACCTGATTGAGAAAGCTGTTTTATGGCATTTCTTGATTTTCAAAACGCGGAGAGAATCCACATTGGGAAATCTGTCAGCAGTCTTGTTTCTCGAATATTCTAAAACCTTTGCACACTCCTAGGATAAACAGTCCCACACTTTCATACCTAGAAGAGACCATAGAGATCATCTAATCCCAGATCCCTCTACATCAAGGCTTCTCATCATTTCTGTGCCACAGCTCCCTCTGGTGGTTTGGAGAAGCCTGTGGATACCGTCTCAGAACCAGGTTTTTGAATATGTAAAATAAAATACATTTGATTACAATGGAAACCAATTATATTGAAGTTCACTTAGTGAAATATTTTTAAAGATCTGATATATCGCCGGGCGCAGTGGCTCACGCCTGTAATCTCAGCACTTTGGGAGGCCGAGGCGGGCGGATCACGAGGTCAGGAGATCAAGAACATCTTGGCTAACACGGTGAAACCCCGTCCCTACTAAAAATACAAAAAAATCAGCCGGCCATGGTGGCAGGCACCTGTAGTCCCAGCTACTCGGGAGGCTGAGGCAGGAGAATGGCGTGAACCCGGGAGGCAATGGTTGGAGTGAGCCGAGGTTGCGCCACTGCACTCCAGCCTGGGCGACAGAATGAGACTCCGTCTCACAACAAACAAACAAACATACAAGATCTGATATAGATTTACTTCTCTATTAACACAAAAAATAACAAGATATAGTTGTGCTTTAATTTTAATATGGTGATGAATATAAATGATATTTTGAGATACCTGTCATAATGTAATGTGTAAATATCTATGATTTCTATTGGTAACAAAATCACAGGTATTATTAATGCTACTGTACTTGTGGCCTATGTTTCTATAATTGAAGGAAATATTAAATTTCAGTTAGAGCTTAGTGACAATGAAGACGGAATTCTTTTTCCATCCAAGTATGTGGTTTCCTTGGATAACCATGGACATCATGTTAGAAACCCCTGCTCTGCAGTCTCCCAACAGCATCTTTGTCCCAACAGACAAAGCACTCAATATCTCAAAGGTGTCCAGCTCCAAGTTCAGTCTCCTATAATCATTAAAGCATGAACTTTAGAGTCAGATAAATCTAGAATCCAATCCCAGCTCTGCTGGCAGGTTAGTCATGTGGTCATAGCTAAGTTATTCAGTTCAGTGGACATCCGTTTCTTTTCTACAAGAATGGGAATAACATGAGAATTATACAAGCTAACATGTAAGTATCTTGCAGGGTAAACAACACTTAGATGCTGGAAATATATTTTCTTCATTTTAGTTTCAGTGAGTTGAACTCCACCTTTTGGAAATTTCCTCCTAAATTTGCCCCAGCTTTACCCTCTAGGGCCACACAAGTAACAGCTCTTCATAAACCTGAAGACAGCTGTACCCCATTCCTAAAGTAGTCATCTCTACATGATGACACTGTTTCTCCCGAGTTAAAGAAGGTCTGAGAAAAAGGCTGGGAGTCATCTGTGCTGCTTCCCATTCCCATAGAGACATGTGACAGCCTAAGATAGCCATGGTGTTGGGATCAGCTTTTTCCTTTGATGAGACGCCCCCTCTAAGATCTGGCATACCAGTCCTTACTAAAGTCCTGTAGTTTTTGTTCCTAGGTGGTTCACAAGTGTGTGGTCACAGTGCTCTGTGTCTTGCGGTGAAGGATACCACAGTCGGCAGGTGACGTGCAAGCGGACAAAAGCCAATGGAACTGTGCAGGTGGTGTCTCCAAGAGCATGTGCCCCTAAAGACCGGCCTCTGGGAAGAAAACCATGTTTTGGTCATCCATGTGTTCAGTGGGAACCAGGGAACCGGGTAAAGCTAACACATCTAGTTTGTGGACAGCACTATCTGTCCACACAGATAGTGTGATAATAATCACCTTGTTTCCAATAAACTACTTTTGGGGCGGGGGGCAGGAATCTGACTGGTCTCTGAAATGAATGTATGTCTTTGACCTCAAGGTTTACATTTAGAAATCATAGTATCTCTGTCTTCCAGTACAAAAGTGAACCAAGTTTGGGTTCTTTGAATGCAGTGATGCCATAACAGAAGCTCCAAGTTAGACCAGTTTAGGGCAGTAAGAATAAAAGTAGCCTTCAGGAAAATGAGGAGGGGAACATTAGTGGTATCTGCACAAAAGCCTCAGAATCTTCATCCCAAATGCCACCTTTGATAATGTTATAATAAAAATACTTAGGAAAAAGTTTAATGTGTAGGAACCCATAAATAAAAATATAACACATTATTGAAACACATAAAAGTTGAGCAAATAAAAGACTTATTATACTCCTGAATGGAAAATCTCAGTACTACGAAGATGTCGATTTCCTTAAATGAATATATGCACGTAATACAATTCCTATTAACATCATAGTAGAACTTTTTGTGGAATTAAAGATAATTCTGGCATTCACATGGGAGATAATATGACAATAAAGACATAAATTTTTATTTTAAAAAAGTATTGGAGGTATAGAGAGACTTTCCTCATCCTATGTCAGAGCATGATGCAAAACTGTCATGAGTAAAATAGTACAGCATTAGTGCAGAAGAGACACAGGTTATGGTGTATAATCAGAGCTCAGAAACGGACCAGATTGACTTTAACATTTAAAGGCAGTTAATCATAGGAGAAAACATTGTTTTAAAAATAGAAGATATAAAACTACAAAATATTTTTCAAAGAAACTAAAGAAGATCTAAATAAATGGAAAGCTGTAAGACTTATTATTACTAGTAACACAATACTCTTGAAATTTATCTACAAATTCAATGTGATCGCTATCAAAATTTTATCTGGTTTCTTTGCAGACATTGACAGTCTGATCCTAAAATTCATGTGGATATAGAAGAGACACAGAATAACCAAAACAATTTTGAAAAGGAACAAAGTTGCAGGACTCAGACTTCTGATTTCAAAACTTACCAAAAAGCTACAGTAATCAAGATAGTATGGTACTGACATAGGATGGACATATAGATCAATGAAATTGAATTGAGTCCAGAGATAAACCCATATATATATATCTCAATTGTTTTTGTATAAGGTTGAGAAACCATTCAATGGGGGAAGAATAGTCTTTTAAACAAGTGATGCAGGACAACTTCCAAAAAAGGAAGTTGGACCCTTTACACCACATACGAAAAAATAAAATGAATCAGAGAACTAAATTTAAGAGCTCAATATATAAAACTATTGGAAAAAAATATAGGTGTAAATTTTCATGGCTTGGATTAGGAAATGGCTTCTTAGATATAACAACAAAAGCATAAGCAACAACAACAAAAATAGATAAATTGGACTGCATCAAAATTAAAAACTTGTGCTGCAAAGGAAACCATCAAGAAAGTAAACAGACAACCTATAGAATGGGAGAAAATGCTTAAAAATTGTATATCAAAAAGGAGATTATCTCTAAAATATGTAAAGAATACTTACAACTCAATAATAAAAACACAAATAAACTATCAGCAAGATATGCAAATGGCCAATAAGCACACGAAGGGATGCTTTCCATTAGTCATTAAAAAATGCAAGTCAAAACCACAATAAGATACAAGTTTAGGCTCACTGGGATGGCATTAGTGAAAGAGATAGTGACAAATGTTGATGAGGATGTGGAGAAATTGGAACCTTCATGCTGCTGATGGGAATGTAAAATGGTACAGACACTTTAGAAAACACCCTAGCGGTTCCTCAAAATGTTAGATTAGATCTATTATATGACCCAGAAATTCCACCCCTAGGTATGTATCCAAAAGAAATGAAACATTCAGGATCTATATCCTAGGGCAAAAAAATACAAATAAGAAACGGAGGCCGGGCGCGGTGACTCACACCTGTAATCCCAGCACTTTGGGAGGCTGAGGCAGGAGGATCATGAGGTCATCCTCGCTAACATGGTGAAACCCTGTCTCTACTAAAAATACAAAAAATTAGCTGGGCGTGGTGGCGGGTGCCTGTAGTCCCGGCTACTTGGGAGGCTGAGGCAGGAGAATGGTGTGAACCCGGGAGGCAGGGCTTACAGTGAGCTGAGACCACGCCACTGCACTCCAGCCTGGGCGACAGAGCGAGACTCTGTCTCAAAAAAAAAGAAAAAAAGAAATGGAACATATGTCCACACAAAAACTTGTACATGAATATTTGTTGGAGAATTATTAATAATAACCACAATGTCATTAAGTAGAAACAACCCAAATAACAACACCCCATAATAATAAAAAAAATGGAAACAATTGGTGAGTAGATGAGCTGTGGTATGCTTGCACAATTGAATATTTGACCATCAAAAGGAATGAAGGACTGATATATGCTACAATAGAGCTAAACCTTGAAAACATTATGGTAATTGAAGGAAGACAGATGCAAAGGACCACTCTGCATGGCACCATTTATACAAAGTGTCCAGAACAGGGAAATTTGTAGAGACAAAAAGTAGACTAATGGTTGCCGAGGCTTGGGGAAAGAAGCAATCAGAGGAATTAGGAGTGACTGTTAAAGGTATGGGGTTTCTTTGGGGATGATGATCATGTTCTAAAATTGATTATGGTAAAGGTTATACAACTCTAAATTCCGTTAACATTCGATGGCAAATTGTATAGTTTGTAAATTGTATCTCAATAAAGTGGTTAGCCAAAAAAAGAAAAAAGGCAGTATAAGACAAATCGGCTAGCTAATGTAAGAAAAATAAGTAAAATCAGAGCACAGACTCAGAACATACACCAAAATAAATTCTAACTTGATTAAAGAGCTAAGTGTATCAGTAAGTAAATGCAAGTAGAACTATCATGACAGTAAAGACCTTTTTAAGCATAAAATAAATTATAAGGACAAATTAATAGGTATTATTATAAATAAGTAAAAATTTTAAGAACTGAATGTCAAAATTTTAAAATTTTTTTCCTGTAATTGAACCCACCTTAGCACACAAGTCTTCATTTTTGCTCACAGCAGAAAAACCCAAACTTGGCAGACATTTATGGTTTTAAGCATAGTCATTTCCGGACTTAAACCCAATTGATTCAAGATTTGCCCTGTCATTTTTTCCTTCTCCCCAGAGGTGGTCTAAGTTTTGTGGGAGAAAGGAGGGTGATATGGTTAGGCTTTGTGTCCCCACCCAGATCTCATCTTGAATTATAATCCCCATAATCCTCAATATCCCCACATGTCAAGGGAGAGACCAGGTGGAGGTAATTGAGTCATGGGGGCAGTTTCCCCCATGCTGTTCTTGTGACAGTGAGTGAGTTCTCACAAGATCTGATGGTTTTATAAGAGGCTTTTCCCCCTTTGGCACTTCTCCTTCCTGCTGCCTTGTGAAGAAAGTTCCTTGCTTCCTCTTTGCCTTCCATCATGATTTTAAGTTTCCTGAGGCCTCCTCAGCCATGCAGATATGTGAGTCAATTAAACCTCTTTCCTTTGTAAATTACTCAGTCTCAGGTATTTCTTTATAGAAGTGTAAAAATGAACTAATATAGTAAATTGGTACAGCAGAGAGAGGGATGTTGCTATAAAGATACCCAAAAATGTGGAAGCGACTTTGGAACTGGGTAACAGGCACAGACTGGAACAGTTTGGAGGGCTCAGAAGAAGACAGGAAGATTTGGGAGAGTTTGGAACTTCCTAGAGATCTGTTGAAGGGTTTTGACCAAAATGCTGATAGTGGTGTGGACAATAAAGTCCAGGCTGAGATGGTCTCAGGTGGAGATGAGGAACTTCTTGGGAACTAGAGCAAAGGTGACTCTTGCTATGCTTTAGCAAAGAGAATGGAGGCATTTTGCCCCTGTCCTAGAGATCTGTGGAATGTTGAACTTGAGAGAGATGATTTAGGGTATCTGGTAGAAGAAATTTCTAAGCATCAAAGCATTCAAGAGGTGACTTGGATGCTCTTAAAAGCATTCAGTTTTATGCATTCACAAAGAGATGACTTGGAATTGGAACTTATGTTTCAAAGGGAAGCAGAGCATAAAAGTTTGGAAAATTTGCAGCCTGAGGATGCAATGGAAAAGAAAAACCCATTTTCTGAGGAGCTGAGGAGAAATTCAAGCTGGCTGCAGAAATTTGCATAAGGAATGAGGAGCAAAATGCCAATACAATGGGGAACATGTCTCCAGGGCACGTCAGTGGTCTTCACAGCAGCCCCTCCCATCACATACCCTGAGGCATAGGAGAAAAAAGTGGTTTCCTGGGCTGAGCCCAGGAACTTGCTGCTTTGTGCAGTCCGAGCACTTGGAGCCCTGTGTCTCAGCCATGGCTAAAAGGAACCAACATACAACTCAGGCCATTGCTTCAGAGGGCGCAAGCCCCAACCCTTGGCAGCTTACACATGGTGTTGGGCCTGCAGGTGCACAGAAGTCAAGAATTGAGGTTTGAGAACCTCTGCCTAGATTTCAGAGGAATGTATGGAAAACCCTAGATGTCCAGACAGAAGTTTGCTGCAGGAGTAGGGTCCTCATAAAGAACCTCTGTTACAGCAGTGCAGAAGGGAAATGTGGGGTTGGAGCCTCCACACAGAGTCTCCACTGGTGCATTGCCTAGTGGAGCTGTGAGAAGAGGACCACCATCCTTCTGACCCCAGAATGGTAGATCTACTGACAGCTTGTGCTGTGTGCCTGGAAAAGCCACAGTCACTTAACACCAGCCCATGAAAGCAGCCAGGAGTGAGGACTGTACCCTGCAAAGCCACAGAGGAGGAGCTGCTTAAGGCCATGGGAGCCCACCTCTTACATCAGCATGATGGAAGACACGGGGTCATGTCTGGATGTGAGACATGGGGTCAAAGGAGATCATATCGGAACTTTAAGATTTGACTGCCCCATTGGATTTTGGCCTTGTATGGGGCCTATAGTCCCATTATTTTGGCCAACTTCTCCCATTTGGAATGGGTGTATTTATCCACTGCCTGTACCTCCACTGTATCTAGGAAGTAACTAACTTACTTTTCATGTTACAGGCTCATAGGCAGAAGAGACTTGCCTTATTTCAGATGAGACTTTGGACTTGGACTTTTGGGTTAATGCTGGAATGAATTAAGACTTTGGGGGACTGTTGGGAAGGCATGAATGCTTTTGAAATGTGAAAGGGACATGAGATTTGGGAGGGGCCACGGGCAGAATGATATGGTTAGGCTTTTTGTCCTCACCCAAATCTCATCTTGAATTTTAATCCCCACAATCCCCACATGTCAAGGGAGAGACCAGGTGGAGGCAGTTGGATCATGGCGACAGTTTCCCTCATGCTATTCTCATGATAGTGAGTGAGTTCTCACAAGATCTGATTGTTTTATAAAGGGGGCTCTTCTCCCTTCACTTGGCACTTCTCCTCTTTGCCGCTTGTGAAGAAGGTGCCTTGTTTCCCCTTCACCTTCTGACATGATTGTAAGTCTTCTGAGGCTTCCCCAGCCATGCTGACTGTGAGTCAATTAAACCTCTTTCCTTTGTAAATTACCCAGTCTCGGGTATGTCTTTAGAGCAGTGTGAAAATGGACTAATACAGAGGGGATGGTAAGCTTAGGCAGTTTCTTCCTGACTCTGAAAAAGAGGTGTCTGGTCCACAGAGCTGTACCCTAATCCTCTTTAACTCCCCCCTGGGGACAGTTGGTTACAGTCCCCTTGTAATAGGTCTTCAGCTATCCTGCCTCAGTACATGATCTTAGTACACACAGCATGGATGAGCTTGCAGGATTTACACTGCACTGTGCTTTTTTGTTCCAGTGTCCTGGACGTTGCATGGGCCGTGCTGTGAGGATGCAGCAGCGTCACACAGCTTGTCAACACAACAGCTCTGACTCCAACTGTGATGACAGAAAGAGGTAGGGGCCCCACCCCAGAGCAGCACACATTCTCTCCTGACTCACTCAGGACAATGATTATAACTGCCTGAAAATGGAATCCTTTCTAGTTTCTACCAACTCTCATAATTGACAGTTTTCAATTATGATTTATTTAGTGTCATCTTCAATAGTATATATTATACTGAAATACTAGTTAATGTGCACTATTTATAACTATAAATTGTTTGGATGTTAAACAATAAAGGGACACCACTCTATGTGGTAAAAGGGGAAAAGGATATCATTGAGAAAACGGAGATACTTCTCCCTCTATATACTAAGTTAATCAAGCCTAATAATATTCCATTTAGGCTTACAGATTAAATCTTCTTAATGCTTTTAATGAACTGCTTTATTTCTCTGTTTAGAAAATGTTTTGATTAGGATATTGTCACAGTGGTTGGCAGATAGTAAAATAAACTTTAATCTTGTTGAGGAGGTTAAATAAGGGTGGAGTTTGCTTTCCTCCTTTTATAAAAGTCTGAGCTGGTAGATGGTTTAGGGATAGAAGAGCTTTTTTCATGGGGTCATCCAGAGATCCAGATGCCCTCCATCTGGCAGCTCTACCATCCAAGAGAACAGCACCCCAGCCAGCAGAAAGTGGGGAGAGAGCCTAGAAGGCACACTAATCGGGGGCTTGGGAGTTCTATTATATCACTCACTTACTGTGTGACCCTGGACTGCCTAGCCACCTAATCTGCAAAGTGGGATATTATCATCCATGTGAACTTATGTTTAGAAAGTTTTAATGATTTAGCTTAGTGTGAAACACGAGGCAGCCTGGGTCATGGAAGATGCTCAATATCTGGCTATTTCTTCCTTTTCCATGTCCTGAGTCTTGCTGGAGAAAATGAGATGACCTTGACAGTTGGCTGGGTTACCATTTTGAGCCTTCAGTAAGGTTTGGCAATGTAGGGTCAGTTGCATTTCCTATTCCCCACAAAGTGATTTCAAGCCAAAACCATTCTCCTCAAATGGAAAATGTTTGGAACGGCTGCTCTCATTCTCAACAGACAACCTAAGTTTCCTATTTTCCTGAGAAGATACAGACCACACACAGATTGATATGCATCATCCCAGGTGCTTTACTTTGCATTCACAAAGATATACTTAAAGCACAAATACATACATGGGTCACATACATATTTTTCTGAAACTTGCTTTTTCTACCTAAGAATATATTATAGATAATTCCCATCAAGTAAAGATTAACTTTATTCTTTTTAATTTTGTACTTAATACTCTATTCTACTCAATATTCTATCTAAATTTTGTACTTAATATTCTGTTGCTAATGGACATTGGATAGTTTCAAACTTTTTGCTATTATAAACTAAGCTTCAGTAAATATCCTGGAACATATATCTTTGGGTACAAAGGGTAATATTTTTATAGAGTAGATTTTTAGATAATGGAATTGAATTGGTAGGAATGCTCATTTTGATGCTATCAAATTGCCATCAAAATTTCTATGCCAGCAATATGTGAGAGTTGCCCCCTTTTCATCAACATGATATAGGTTTGCAGTCTTTTAAAATTTTTGCCAATCTGATGGATGAAAATTTATCTCATTGTAATGTGTACTTTCCTGATTACTTTTTTATATGATTTTTTATTCCTTATATTTTTTTTCTTGAACTCATCTTCATTTTTTCTTTTCTGCCACCATTACCCTTGGCCAAACCACCATCGTATCTCACCTGGTATACTGTCACAGCTGTCCAACTGGTCCCCCTTCATCCATCCATGCTCCTTTCCAACCCAGTCTCCACAGTACAGCCAGAGTGAGTTTTCCCAGATGCAAATCTGATCCTACCACCACCACAACCCATCTCCCTGCTAGACTAAAATTACTTTAGAGGTTTTACTTGCTCTTAGGAAGATTGACCAAATCCTCAATGTGACCTATAAAATACCACATGCTTGGCTGGGCATGGTGGCTCACACTTGTAATCCTAGTACTTTGGGAGGCTGAGGCAGGCAGATCACTTGAAGTCAGGAGTTTGAGACCAGCCTGCCAACATAGTGAAACCCTGTCTCTACTAAAAATACAAAATTAGCTGGGCATGGTTGCACATGCCTGTGATCCCAGCTATTTGGGAGGCTGAGGCAGGAGAATTGCTTGAACCTGGGAGGTGGAGGCTGCAGTGAGCCAAGATCACACCACTGTACTCCAGCCTGGGCAACAGAGCAAGACTCTATCTCAAAAAAACAAACCAAAAAACAAACAAAAAAACGTGCTCAAGTCCTACTTTTCTTCACAGCCTCATCCATTATCTCATGCTGTCTCACTCTTCATGTTCCAGCCACACTGTCCTTCTGTCAGTTTCTCAGATATGTCACATACTTTCCAATCAAAGGTAGCAAAAAATAAGAGGCAGAAAATGTAATACGGAAGATAAAGAGTATAGAAGGATCTATCAAGAGGCTCAAAATCTGATTAAATTGGGTTTTAGACCAAGAGATATGAAAGTGAAATTAAAGGGTAGACTTTTTTTTAATAATGGAAGAAAATTCCTAGAGCTGGGGGTGAGTCAGAGTGGCAGGGAGTCAAGTTACCATTCATTTTCTCTTTTATTTCTGTTTCCTCCAGGATTGGCTGTTCTGTTTTTATAACCTGATGCTTTTCTTTCATGGTGTTAATATTTTTTCCTCAGATATCTGGTGGTTTATGGATGAGGGATGAAGTTGGTTAGTATAGAGAGCTGTCGAGGGTTTCTTCTGCAGTGTTTTAGCCCCCTTTTCCCCACAGACCTCTTCTGCTGGATTGGTTTATGACCATGGGCTCTCTGTAGGTAGGTGAGGTGTTAGATCTCACTTTTGAGTGGGTGGACAGGGAGCAATGGAGACCCCCCATTTGCCATAGTAGGGCCTCAGGAAATGTTAGAGAGTGTTGTAGAAGGAGTAGCATTAGTGGCGTGGGCAGAGGATCAGTGGTGGGCAGGCTGTCTGCTAGTGTTTACTATATGCCCTGGGAAGGTTTTGGGAGCTGTGGCTTCCATTGAAAAGTTGTAGAGGGAATGGGAATTGTCAGGGTGGAGCTAGCCCAGACTTATGGCAAGGTGACAACATGGGGACCTATAGAATGCTGAGGACACAGAAAGTTGGTTTCTCAAAGTGGCGATTTCTAACTTCTGAAATCAGAATCACCTAGGAAATTTCTGTAAAATAAAGATGCTTGGGCCTCACCTCAGGCAGTGAATCAGAACCTTCATGAGATTGCCTGGCCATCTACAGCATTTTAAAGCTGTGTGCTTCTGCCTGCTTCGAATAACCAGGCAGGCTTGGGATCTACTGCCGTCAGAATCAGCAGTTCCATCTGGCTGATGGTGAAAGGAGTTACTTGAGGCAGAAGTGGAGCCAGACTGAATAGAAGTGAGAAATTGAAAAAAGCTAGTAGAAACAGGGTTCCTTTATGATTTCTGCTACCATTTCTACACTCATGCTTCATGTAGAAAAACACATGAACCCCAGTTATGTGCATAGTGCAGGTGCCCAGACTGCATTCACCTGGCTCAGGTGTCTCTGTCCTGAGTCCTGTCCCTGGCCAGGAGGAAGTTACGCCCTCTACTGGACAGACCTTGCTTTTTATTTATTATGATTTTTTCTACTGTATCCTTAGTGAGCAGCCTCTTAGCTTTCCTGGGCTTCAGCTTCTGTGTTGGTCCATAGCTCCCTGTGCCCCTCTCATTCTTTGTATTTAGAAAGCTCAATAGTCCTGTCTGACTTCCCACTGGCCCTGCCTTTCATCAAAGCAAAAGGGGCTGTTTTACAATCCTTTGGGCTAGAAGCAAAAGTCAACTTGGCATGATTTATGCAAAAAAGGGTGAGGGATTTATTAATAAGACAAGACCACCCAAAACTTGTGCACAATAATTTGGTATTCTTTTAAATATATTATTTGAATATTTGTTCAAGTTTCTTCAGTGGAAGGCTGATCTCTATATAGGGATGGTTGAGGAGTACTCAGTCTCTTCTCTGTTGTTCAAAGTGACTCAATTTTTGGTCCCTAAGATTCATACCTACTGGGGAAAACAAAAGCAGCTAACAGGACACCCACCTCTTCCATATATCGTATGAACAGTTTGGTAGGACAGCACTGTGTTAAGTAAACCCTTTGATAGAGTCTCCTCCTACTGGCTAATGATAGGATTACTTCCAACTACGTGCAATACTCTCAGAGTTCTTGGATATCACAAATTTCTCCATTTTATTACATTTCCCATAAAACACTCCTTATGGATTTATGTGCCCTGATAAGGAACCTTTAATGGGATAACAAAAATATCTCATAGAATCCAAAGGGAGAACAGGGAGCATGCAGTCAGACCTCAGGAAGGACTACAACTAAGAAATGGGAAGTCATTGTTTTTTTTCTCTTCTCTCATCTCTGCAGTTCTGTGTGTTTCTGCTTCATTATTTGCTCTTTATGAAAACTGGTTTTTTTCTATATTTCTGGCCGATGTGGAAGAATATAGCCACCTAATACTCCACACTTCAGGTTTGCATGCCTGGTTCTAGCAACCTCCAAATCCTAAGAGAAATACATTTCTTCAACCAGCTCAAGTTAGGGCCCTCTTCCAGTCATCTTTGGAACTGGGAAGACACTCTCAAGCAGTGCAAATATGTCTTCAGGAGCCCTGCCTTAGGGAACAAGGGCAGATACCCCAAAGTGGGCCCACTAAGTTTGGCTCTATCCTCTTTAGCATGTGTCTTTTCAAAAATCAGAGGGTATTAACTTTCCATTCTGTTTTAAAAGGCAAGGAAATCAGAGATAGATTCTTATTCTCATATGGTCTTCAGTAGTTTCTGACTGCAAGTCTTGGTGTGACCTAAATGTAAAAAAGAGTACTTCTTTTAGCAGACAAGGTTGCTCACATAGAAAGTCATACACCGCAGTATGTTTTGAGCGCTTACAAACAGAAAATTGAAGTCTTGTTAATGAATTTGAGGTGGCTTATTGTAGATCATTATAGTAAATAATTCTCTTCCTTGCCAAAATTGATTTCTTCCAGCTAGTCAGGATGTGTGTGCCTTGACTTGGTGTTGGAAGTCAGTGGAAACACATGGTTTGCTTGCCATGCCCTCTTCATCAGAGCACATCTAAGCAGGCGCACTCCACCCCAGGTGGTGGAGAATGTTGTCACTGTCGTTCTAGCCTGTATGGCATAAAAGCAGAGGAATGTCTTGGTCTTAGACTCTCCATCCAACCTTTAATACGTAGTATAGAGTAAGGTAAAAAGGCTTGGTCCCAGCAAAAAGTTACACCCTGCCTCTCCTATTTTTTGTTTTTCCGTTTTGTTTTATTTTTCACTTCAGACCCACCTTAAGAAGGAACTGCACATCAGGGGCCTGTGATGTGTGTTGGCACACAGGCCCTTGGAAGCCCTGTACAGCAGCCTGTGGCAGGGGTTTCCAGTCTCGGAAAGTCGACTGTATCCACACAAGGAGTTGCAAACCTGTGGCCAAGAGACACTGTGTACAGAAAAAGAAACCAATTTCCTGGCGGCACTGTCTTGGGCCCTCCTGTGATAGTACGTACACCTCCCAGGTATCTCCACTGCCCCAGAGGCCTTGATGGCATCAGATCCTGATGCTACCATCACGGCACCAAACCCTGCTAGTGATTACCTCATCAGTGTCCCAACTGAGGGGCTATTCAGAATGGATTTGGTAGCTTGGGACATCAGGGGATGAACTCCTTTATGTGGGTGCAGCTGCATGTTCTCTAGAGAAAAGGCAGTTGGATTAGTAGCATGCCAGCATCATTGGTTACTGCCTTTCCGACAAGCACTGTCAGTCTCTCCACACACTTCTCTTCTGCCTGGTAGTCTTACGTGCTAAGACAAAGATTCCATGGATGGGCTTGGGTAGGTATGCTGATGTCCTGAAGTTATATGTAAAAACTGTAGGTTTATTTTTCTAGGGAGTAGGTGTGTAGCATTCATAAGTTTTTCAAGGAGTCCATGACCCTGCAAAAGTTAAGCATTGCTGCTCTGAGAACTCAAAGGAGCAGCATGGGCCAGAGGGACTGGGAGGGTCCAGAGAGCAGCAAGAGGTCACTTGGCTGAGCTGAAAGGGAATCCAATGCACTTCTGACTCTCATGCAAAACAATGGCCCTAACCCAAAGCTGGTTTCTTCACCTCACTCTGTGATCTCAATTTATGGCTTTTCATAAAGTCAAATAATTTTTAATTAGGTCTCTAATAAGCTATATGTTACAGATATTTGTTTCTTTTTTGCAGGAGACTGCACAGACACAACTCACTACTGTATGTTTGTAAAACATCTTAATTTGTGTTCTCTAGACCGCTACAAACAAAGGTGCTGCCAGTCATGTCAAGAGGGATAAACCTTTGGAGGGGTCATGATGCTGCTGTGAAGATAAAAGTAGAATATAAAAGCTCTTTTCCCCATGTCGCTGATTCAAAAACATGTATTTCTTAAAAGACTAGATTCTATGGATCAAACAGAGGTTGATGCAAAAACACCACTGTTAAGGTGTAAAGTGAAATTTTCCAATGGTAGTTTTATATTCCAATTTTTTAAAATGATGTATTCAAGGATGAACAAAATACTATAGCATGCATGCCACTGCACTTGGGACCTCATCATGTCAGTTGAATCGAGAAATCACCAAGATTATGAGTGCATCCTCACGTGCTGCCTCTTTCCTGTGATATGTAGACTAGCACAGAGTGGTACATCCTAAAAACTTGGGAAACACAGCAACCCATGACTTCCTCTTCTCTCAAGTTGCAGGTTTTCAACAGTTTTATAAGGTATTTGCATTTTAGAAGCTCTGGCCAGTAGTTGTTAAGATGTTGGCATTAATGGCATTTTCATAGATCCTTGGTTTAGTCTGTGAAAAAGAAACCATCTCTCTGGATAGGCTGTCACACTGACTGACCTAAGGGTTCATGGAAGCATGGCATCTTGTCCTTGCTTTTAGAACACCCATGGAAGAAAACACAGAGTAGATATTGCTGTCATTTATACAACTACAGAAATTTATCTATGACCTAATGAGGCATCTCGGAAGTCAAAGAAGAGGGAAAGTTAACCTTTTCTACTGATTTCGTAGTATATTCAGAGCTTTCTTTTAAGAGCTGTGAATGAAACTTTTTCTAAGCACTATTCTATTGCACACAAACAGAAAACCAAAGCCTTATTAGACCTAATTTATGCATAAAGTAGTATTCCTGAGAACTTTATTTTGGAAAATTTATAAGAAAGTAATCCAAATAAGAAACACGATAGTTGAAAATAATTTTTATAGTAAATAATTGTTTTGGGCTGATTTTTCAGTAAATCCAAAGTGACTTAGGTTAGAAGTTACACTAAGGACCAGGGGTTGGAATCAGAATTTAGTTTAAGATTTGAGGAAAAGGGTAAGGGTTAGTTTCAGTTTTAGGATTAGAGCTAGAATTGGGTTAGGTGAGAAAGAAAGTTAAGGTTAAGGCTAGAGTTGTCTTTAAGGGTTAGGGTTAGGACCAGGTTAGGTCAGGGTTGGATTGGGTTTAGATTGGGGCCAGTGCTGGTGTTAGTGATAGTGTCAGGATGGAGGTTAGGTTTGGAGTAAGCGTTGTTGCTGAAGTGAGTTCAGGCTAGCATTAAATTGTAAGTTCTGAAGCTGATTTGGTTATGGGGTCTTTCCCCTGTATACTACCAGTTGTGTCTTTAGATGGCACACAAGTCCAAATAAGTGGTCATACTTCTTTATTCAGGGTCTCAGCTGCCTGTACACCTGCTGCCTACATCTTCTTGGCAACAAAGTTACCTGCCACAGGCTCTGCTGAGCCTAGTTCCTGGTCAGTAATAACTGAACAGTGCATTTTGGCTTTGGATGTGTCTGTGGACAAGCTTGCTGAGTTTCTCTACCATATTCTGAGCACACGGTCTCTTTTGTTCTAACTTCAGCTTCACTGACACTGGGTTGAGCACTACTGTATGTGGAGGGTTTGGTGATTGGGAATGGATGGGGGACAGTGAGGAGGACACACCAGCCCATTAGTTGTTAATCATCAATCACATCTGATTGTTGAAGGTTATTAAATTAAAAGAAAGATCATTTGTAACATACTCTTTGTATATATTTATTATATGAAAGGTGCAATATTTTATTTTGTACAGTATGTAATAAAGACATGGGACATATATTTTTCTTATTAACAAAATTTCATATTAAATTGCTTCACTTTGTATTTAAAGTTAAAAGTTACTATTTTTCATTTGCTATTGTACTTTCATTGTTGTCATTCAATTGACATTCCTGTGTACTGTATTTTACTACTGTTTTTATAACATGAGAGTTAATGTTTCTGTTTCATGATCCTTATGTAATTCAGAAATAAATTTACTTTGATTATTCAGTGGCATCCTTATAAATGTAGGCAGCTTATGTGTGTTATTTTTTGGTAGCCTTCGGTCTTGTCATCGTGGCTGCCCCTTCATCAGTCCAAGAGCCACCCCAGTGGGTTTGATTCCCTGGACTGTCCTTCAGAGTGTGGATTACAAGACTCAGAGCAGATCTCACAAAGATTCACTCTAATGCCCTCATTTTACTCATTTACATATTGTGAATCATTTTTAAAAGAATCTCAAGAGCAGCAGAAGAAAGAAGTCCCAAACAGACAACCTGAAACAGGTATTGAAGTAAGGGGTAGTTGGAAGAGCAAGCGGTACTAATAGCCTTTTAATTTTTTAAAGACTTTTTTTAGAGCAGTTTTAATTTCACAACAAAATTGATTGGAAGGTACAGAGATTTCCCATGTATACCTCATGTCCCAACACATATATAACATCCCCCATTATCAGCATCCCCCACCAGAATGGTACATTTGTTACAATTGATGAACCTCCATTGACACATCATCATAGTCCAAAGTCCATAGTTTACAAGAGCTGGGATAAATCCCACTTAGTCATGGTGTATAATTCATTTTATAAATTGTTAGATTCAACTTGCTAATGTTTGTTGAGTATTTTTGCATTTATTTTCATGAAAGATTGATCTGTAGTTTCCTTCCTTCCTTTTTCATGAGAGATTGGTCTGTAGCTCTCTCTCTCTCTTTCTTTCTTTCTTTCTTTCTGTCAGCAAGCCTCCCTCTATTGCCCAGGCTGGAGTGCAGTGGTGCGATCTCGGCTCACTGCAACCTCCGTCTCCTGGGTTCAAGCATTTCTCCTGTCTCAGCCTCCTGAGTAGCTGGGATTACAGGCCTGCGCCACCAAGCCGGCTAATTTTTATATTTTTAGTAGAGACAGGGTTTCACCATATTGGTCAGGCTGGTCTCAAACTCCTGACCTCAGGTGATCCACCCACCTCTGCTTCCCAAAGTGCTGGGATTACAGGCGTGAGCCACCATGCCAGGCCAGTTTTCTTTTCTTGTAATGTTTTGTCTGGGTTTGGTATTAGGGTGATACTGGCCTCATAGAATGAGTTAGGAAATATTAACTCTGCTTCTGTCCTCAAGAGATTGTAGAGAATTGCTATTTCTGTCTTAAATGTTTGGTAGAATTAACCAGTGAACCTGTCTTGGCCTAGTGCTTTCTGGTTTTGAAGATTATCAATTATTGATTCAATTTATTTAATAGAAATAAGCCTATTTGGATTGTCTGTTTCTTTTTGTGTGAGTTTTGGCACATTGTTTCTTTGTATGAATTTTGACAGATTGTGTCAAGGAATTGGTCTATTTCTTCTAGGTTATAAAATTGTAGGCAGAGTTCTTCATGGTATTCCTCTATTATCCTTTTAATCCCCATAGTATTTGTAGTGATGTCTCCTCTTTCATTTCTCATATTAGTAATTTGTATCCTTTCTGGTTTTTTTTTTCTTAGCTTTGCTGGAGACTTACTGAATTTATTGATTTTTTTCAAGTAACCAGTGTTTATTTCATTTCATTTCTTCTATTGATTCCTTGTTTTCAATTTCATTGATTTCGGCTCTAATTATTTCTTTTCTTTGTCTTACTTTGGATTTATTTTATTTTATTTATTTATTTATTTATTTAGGAGACAGATTCTCATTCTGTCACCCAGGCTGGAGGGCAGTGGTGTGATCTTGGCTCACTGCAACCTCCTCCTCCCAGGTTCAAGCAATTCTAGTGCCTCCACCTCCCAAGTAGCCAGGACTATGGGTATGCATCACCAAGCCTGGCTAACATTTTGTATTTTTAGTAGAGACAGGGTTTTGCCATGTTGCGCAGGCTAGTCTTGAACTCCTGAGCTCAGGCAATCTGCCTACCTCAGCCTCCCAATTACAGGCATGAGCCACCGTGCTTTACTTTGGTTTTTTTGATTTTTTTTTTGAGATGGAGTCTTGCCCTGTCACCCAGGCTGGACTGCAGTGGCTCAATCTCGGCTCACTGCAACCTCTGCCCCCTGAGTTCAAGCGATTCTCCTGCCTCAGCCTTCTGAGTAGCTGGAACTACAAGCATGCACCACCATGCCCAGCTAATTTTTGTATTTTTAGTAGAGACAGGGTTTCATCATGTTGGTCAGGCTGCTCTCAAACTGCTGACCTCATGTGATCCACCCCACTCGGCCTCCCAAAGTGCTGGGATTATAAGCGTGAGCTATGGCACCTGACCTACTTTGGATTTAATTTGCTCTTCTTTTCTACTTTCTTCAGGTGTAAACTTAGAATACTGATTTAAGATCTGTCTTCTTTCCTAATATATGTATTCAATGCCTTATATTTCCCCATAGCACTGTTTTTACTGTATCCCACAAATTTTGATAAATTGTGTTCCCATTTTCATTTGGTTCAAAATATTTTAAAATTTCTCTTGAGATTTTCTGATCCACATGTAACTTAGAAATATGTTGTTTAATCTCCACATATTTTGAGATTTTCCAGTTACCTTTCTGTTATTGATTTATAATTTAATTCCACCACGGCCTGAAAGCAGACATTGTATGATTTCTAGTCTTTTAAATGTGTTAAAGTGAAGAAGAGGGTGGAGTCAAGATGGCCGAATAGGAACAGCTCCAGTCTACAGCTCCCAGCATGAGCGACACAGAAGACGGGTGATTTCTGCATTTCCAACTGAGGTACCGGGTTCATTTCTCTGGGGAGTGTCGGAAAGTGGGTGCAGGACAGTGGGTGCACTGCAGCAAGCCTGAGCCGAAGTAGGGGGAGGCATTGCGTCACCCGGGAAGTGCAAGGGGTCAGGGAATTCCCTTTCCTAGTCAAAGAAAGAGGTGACAGATGGCACCTGGAATATCGGGTCACTCCCACCCTAATACTGCGCTTTTCCAATGGTCTTAGCAAACGGCACACCAGGAGATTATCTCCCACGCATGGCTCAGAGGGTCCTACGCCCACTGAGCCTCGCTCATTGCTAGCACAGCAGTCTGAGGTCAAACTGCAAGGCGGCAGCAAGGCTGGAGGAGGGGCACCCGCCATTGCGGAGGCTTGAGTAAGTAAACAAAGCGTCCAGGAAGCTCAGTTTGAGCCCACCGCAGCTCAAGGAGGCCTGCCTACCTCTGTAGACTCCACCTCTGGGGGTGGGGCACAGCCAAACAAAAGGCAGCAGAATCCTCTGCAGACTTAAATGTCCCTGTCTGACAGCTTTGAAGAGAGTAGTGGTTCTCCCAGCACGCAGCTGGAGATCGGAGAACGGACAGACTGCCTCCTCAAGTGGGTCCCTGACCCCCGAGTAGCCTAACTGGTAGGCACCCCCCAGTAGGGGCAGACTGACAGCTCACACGGCCGGGTACTCCTCTGAGACAAAACTTCCAGAGGAACCATCAGGCAGCAACATCTGTTGTTCACCAATATCCTCTGTTCTGCAGCCTCCGCTGCTGATACCCAGGCAAACAGGGTCTGGAGTGGACCTCCAGCAAACTCCAACAGACCTGCGGCTGAGGGTCCTGACTGTTAGAAGGAAAACTAACAAACAGAAAGGACATCCACACCAAAACCTCATCTGTACGTCACCATCATCAAAGACCAAAGGTAGATCAAACCACACCAATGGGGAAAAAACAGAGCAGAAAAACCGGAAACTCTAAAAATCAGAGCGCCCCTCCTCCTCCAAAGGAACGCAGCTCCTCACCAGCAACAAAACATAGCTGGACGGAGAATGACTTTGACGAGTTGAGAGAGGAAGGCTTCAGACGATCAAACTACTCCAAGCTAAAGGAGGAAGTCTGAACCCATGGCAAAGAAGTTAAAAACCTTGAAAAAATTCAACAACGCTTCATGCTAAAAACTCTCAACAAATTAGGTATTGATGGGATGTATTTCAAAATAATAAGAGCTATCTATGACAAACCCACAGCCAATATCATACTGAATGGGCAAAAACTGGAAGCATTCCCTGTGAAAACTGGCACAAGACAGGAATGCCCTCTCTCACCACTACTATTCAACATAGTGTTGGAAGTTCTGGCCAGGGCAATCAGGCAGGAGAAAGAAATAAAGGGTATTCAATTAGGAAAAGAGGAAGTCAAATTGTCCCTGTTTGCAGATGACATGATTGTATCTAGAAAACCCCATCGTCTCAGGCCAAAATCTCCTTAAGCTGATAGGCAACTTCAGCAAACTCTCAGGATACAAAATCAATGTGCAAAAATCACAAGCATTCTTATACAGCAATAACAGACAAACAGAGAGCCAAATCATAAGTGAACTCCCATTCACAATTGCTTCAAAGAGAATAAAATACCTAGGAATCCAACTTACAAGGGATGTGAAGGACCTCTTCAAGGAGAACTACAAACCACTGCTCAATGAAATAAAAGAGGATACAAACAAATGGAAGAACATTCCATGCTCATAGGTAGGAAGAACCAATATCGTGAAAATGGCCATACTGCCCAAGGTAATTTATAGTTTCAATGCCATCCCCTTCAAGCTACCAATGACTTTCTTCACAGAATTGGAAAAACCTACTTTAAAGTTCATGTGGAACCAAAAAAGAGCCTGCATTGCCAAGTCAATACTAAGCCAAAAGAACAAAGCTGGAGGCATCACGCTACCTGACTTCAAACTATACTACAAGGCTACAGTAACCAAAACAGCATGGTACTGGTACCAAAACAGAGATATAGATCAATGGAACAGAACAGAGCCCTCAGAAATAATGCCACATATCTACAACCATCTGATCTTTGACAAACCTGACAAAAACAAGAAATGGGGAAGCGATTCCCTATTTAATAAATGGTGCTGGGAAAACTGGCTCACCATATGTAGAAAGCTGAAACTGGATCACTTCCTTACACCTTATACAAAAATCAATTCAAGATGAATTAAAGACTTAAATGTTAGACCTAAAACCATAAAAACTCTAGAAGAAAACCTAGGCAATACCATTCAGGACATAGGCATGGGCAAGGACTTTATGTCTAAAACACCAAAAGCAATGGCAACAAAAGCCAAAATTGACAAATGGGATCTAATTAAACTAAAGAGCTTCTGCACAGCAAAAGAAACTACCATCAGAGTGAACAGGCAACCTACAGAATGGGAGAAAATTTTTACAACCTACTCATCTGACAAAGGGCGAATATCCAGAATCTACAATGAACTCAAACAAATTTACAAGAAAAAAACAAACAGCCCCATCAAAAAGTGGGTGAAGGATATGAACAGACACTTCTCAAAAGAAGACATTTATGCAGCCAAAAGACACATGAAAAAATGCTCATCATCACTGGTCATCAGAGAAATGCAAATCAAAACCACAGTGAGATACCATCTCACACCAGTTAGAATGGCAATCATTAAAAAGTCAGGAAACAACAGGTGCTGGAGAGGATGTGGAGAAATAGGAACACTTTTACACTGTTGGTGGGACTGTAGTTCAACCATTGTGGAAGTCAGTGTGGCGATTCCTCAGGGATCTTGAACTAGAAATACCATTTGACCCAGCAATCCCATTACTGGGTATATACCCAAAGGATTATAAATCATGCTGCTATAAAGACACATGCACATGTAAGTTTATTGCGGCACTATTCACCATAGCAAAGACTGGGAACCAACCCAAATGTCCAACAAATGATAGGCTGGATTAAGAAAATGTGGCACATATACAGCATGGAATACTATGCAGCCATAAAAAAGGATGAGTTCATGTCCTTTGCAGGGACATGGATGAAGCTGGAAACCATCATTCTCAGCAAACTATCACAAGGACAAAAAACCAAACGTCGCATGTTCTCACTCATAGGTGGGAATTGAACAATGAGAACACATGGACACAGGAAGGGGAGCATCACACACCGGGGCCTGTTGTGGGGTGGGGGGAGGTGGGAGGGATAGCATTAGGAGATATACCTAATGTTAAATGATGAATTAATGGGTGCAGCACACCAACACGACACATGTATACCTATGTAACTAACCTGCACGTTGTGCACATGTACCCTAAAACTTAAAGTATAATAAAGAAAAAAAATGTGTTAAAGTGTGCTTCTATTGAAACAGATCGTTTATTCAAAATAATAATTAGCAATAATATTTGATTATAAATAAATTAAGAAGAACAATAAAAGTTTTCATTTTATCTTCACTTATTCTTATTCCAATGCTCTTCCTTTCTTGATATACATCCAAGTTACTGACATGTATCATTTTCCTTCTTCCCAAGGAACTTTTCTTTAACATTTCTTTCAAGGCAGGTTTACTGGCAACGAATTCCCTCAATTTTTGTTTGAGAAAGTCTTTATTTCTCCTTCACTTATGAAGAGTAATTTCACAGAATATAGAATTCTAGGTTGGTGATGCTTTTTTTTCCCCTCTCTCAACACTTTAAATATTTCACTCCACTCTCCTCTCGCTTACGCAATTTCTGAGAAGTTAGATGTAATTCTTATCTTGACTTGTCTATAGGTAAGGTGGTTTTTTTTTTCTTCTGGGTTCCTTCAGAATATTCTCGTCATCTTTTAATTTTTTTTTCATAGTTTGTAACTTAGGTGGCTACATGTAGTTTTTCTGTAGGCATTTATCCTGCTTGATGTTTTCTGAGCTTCCTGGATCTGTGGTTTGGTGTCTCACATTGAGAGAAATTCTCAGCCATTATTGCTTCAACTATTTCTCCTGTTTCTTTCTCTTCTGCTTCTGGAATTCCCATCACATGTATGTTACATCTTTTGCAGTTGTCTCACAGTTCTTGCATACTCTGTATTTTTTTCAGTCTTTTTCTGCTTTTCAGTTTTGGTGATTTCCATGAGATATTCTCAAGCTCAGAGATGTCTTTCCTCAGCAGAATCCAGTTTACTAATAAGCCTGTCAAAGGCATTCTTCATTTTTGTTACAGTGTTTTTAATCTATAGCATTTCTTTTTGGTTCTTTCTTACAATTTCCATCTCTGATTAAACTGCCTATATATACAGAGCATATATACCAACCTGTGAATGCACACACACACACATCTATTTTTTTGTGTATCTATGAATTCATACTGAGACCCTGCACACTATTTCAACACCATAGGGTTCATTATAATCCGCATCTTTTTATTTTAAGTTCCGGGGTACATGTGCAGAATGTGCAGGTTTGTTACATAGGTAAACGTGTGCCATGGTGGTTTGCTGCACCTATCGACTCACCACCTAATTATTAAGCCCAGCCTGCATTAGCTCTTTTCCCTAATGCTCTCCCCCACCGCCTTCCCCTGACAGGCCCCAGTAAGTGTTGTTCCCCTCGGTGTCCATGTGTTTTCATTTTTCAGCTCCCACTTATGAGTGAGAACATGTAGTATTTGGTTTTATGTTCCTGCATTAGTTTGCTGAGGATAAGGACTTCCAGCTCCATCCATGGCCCTGCAAAGAACATGATCTCATTCCTTTTTATGGCTGCATAGTATTCCATGGTGTATATGTATGACATTTTCTTTATCCAGAGTATCATTGATGGGCATTTGGTTGATTCCATAACTTTGCTATTGTGAATGGTGCTGTCTGCATCTTTTTCTTATTTGTAACTTATTTCTCTGATAGAAGCCTGGCTCTCATTATTTACACTATATTTTCTCAGTTCAACCTTATTATACTCATAGTTTAGAATTGATAACACATACCTCTGTCAGAGAAAAAAATTAAAAACTAGAGTACAATGTTCATATACAATTATTTTTGTCTTTAGCTTTATAGTAGCCAATATGATCACTTGTCCAAAATCACTTAGGTAATCTCCTTTCTTCTCAATGCCACATCCTGGGTGTCAGTTTTCATAATTTACATACTGTAAAATTAACTTGGTGGTTTCTAATGGTTTTGACAAATGCAGAGTTGTATATCTACCACCAGTTTCTTAGTTCCACTCCACCCCACATTCTTTTGTCCTGCTTCTTTGTAGTCAATTGCTTCTACCCCCACCCCTAGCAATCACTTACTATTTTCTGTCCCTACAGTTTTGCCTTTTCCAGAAATTTATACAAATTGAATAATATAACATGTAGTCTTTTGGGTCTTGCTTTTTTCACTTACCAAAATACATTTAAGTTCCATGCATGCTGTTGGGTGAATCAACAAATGTTGAAACAACAAAATGTTGTTTGTTCCTTGAACTGGCTTTATATATGGATAGATGTTCACTCATTTACCAGTTGAAAGACCTGTGGGTTGTTTCCAGTTTGGGGTGATTATAGATAAAGTTCTATAAACGTTCATATACACATTTTTGCATAAACCTACATTTTCACTTCTCTTTGAAGAACACCTAGAGGTGAGTTTGCTGGGTCATATGATATGTGCATGTTTATAAGAAACTGTTAAACTGATTTCCAAAGTAGCTGTACCATTTTCATTCTAATGAACAATATGTGAGTGTTCCTGTTGTCCCAGACCCTTGCTAGTATGTGGTATTATCAGGTTGGTGTGTGCGGTGGTTTTTTTGTTTGTTTTTGTTTTTCTTTAAGCCATTCCAGTAGGTATGTAGTGGTACCTTAGTGCAGTTTTAATTTGAACTTCCATAATGACTATTGATGTTAAGCATCTTTTCATGTGCTTCTTCACTGTCTTTTCTGGTTGAATTGTGTCTCCTCCAAAAATGAAATTCTAACCCTCACTACCTATGAATATAATCTTATTGGAAAATGGGGTCATTGCAAAAGATCAAGTTAAGGTGAGGTTATCAGGATGGGCCTTAATACAATGTGACTGATGTCCTTATAAAAAGGGGAAATTTGGAAACAGACGCATGCACACAGGGAGGATGCTGTGTGAGGATAAAGACAGAGCTCTACAAGCCAAAGAACACCAAAGATCACCAGCAAACCACCAGAAGCTAGGACAAAAAAACAGAACCGATTTTCCCACACAGCCTCAAAACCAGCCCTGCCAACACCTTGATCTTGGGATCTGTGGTCTCTGGAACTGAGAGATAATACATTTCTATTGTTTAAGCCACCCTGTTTGTGTACTTTTCATAGTAGTCTTAGCAAATTAAGACACTATCTGTATATCTTTTTTGGTGAAGTATCTGTTTAGAACTTTTACCTATGTTTTTGTGGTTGGGTTTGGTTTGCTTTGGTTTTGCTATTGCTTGCTTACTGTCTGTAAGCAACTCCCAGCCACATTTCCTTCTTAGTCATTATAGTTCCATGATGGCTACAATTAAAGAAGTCTTGGCCACGTGCGGTGGCTCGCGCCTGTAATCCCAGCACTTTGGGAGGCCGAGGCAGTTGGATTGCTTGAGGCCAGGAGTTTGAGACCAGCCTGACCAACATGGCAAAACCCCATCTCTACTAACAGTACAAAAATTAGCCGAGCATGGTGGCATGCACCTGCAGTCCCAGCTACTTGGGGCTGAGGCAGGAGAATCGCTTGAACCCAAGAGGCAGAGGTTGCAGTGAACTGAGATCGCACCACTGCACTCCAGCCTGGGTGACACAGCAAGACTCCATCTCAAAAAAAAAAAAAAAAAGAAAAGAAAAAGAAGTTTTAACACAGATATTGGATGGGATGGAGAAATGCCCCTGGCCACCCTAGAGAGCATCTATCAAGCTGTGTGCTGTGTTTATGAGAAGGCTGGGGAGGGATAGTATTGATGAAAGTCCTGTGTCTGATACAGGGTGAAAATCTGCACTTGCATGCAAAAGAGCATTGAATGACAGGGAAAAAAAGCAAAAACCTGAACAAAATGAAAGAGTCCTGATGTTTCACTGGACACCGCAACCCTTTCAAAAGCATGTTATCAGCATGTTTTTAAACAGCGTTTTTGAAGTTACTCACTCATGATTGCAAGGTTCACTTCCTCGACTCTGTTTAACTTTCAGAGGTCTCCCCTCTGCTTCCTGAGTATCATGAGGATCTTCTCACACAGCGATTCTCAGAGAAGGCCTTAGATTATAGTTTTGTATAGAAGCAAACCTGCAAATGTGAGATATTCAGAAGCTGGGATGTGGGTTTCCCAGCCTCTGACTGAACACCTCCCTCCTGCCTTGAAGGGCTTTTAAGAAAACTTTCAAAATAGACTTTATTTATTTGAGCAGTTTTAGGTTCACAGCAAAACTGAGTGGAAAGTACAGAGTTCCTATATGCCCCTCCCCACACACATGCACAGCCTTCCTCACTATCAACACCCCCAGCCAGAGTGGTACATTTGTTATAGTTGAGGAACTTACATGGACACATTATCACTCAAAGTCCATAGTGTAGGTTAGGGTTCACTCCTTACATTGTCTGTGCAGTTTTTATAAATCATAAAGCCTTTATTTCTAATTTCAGTCTGTGGTCTCGTTTTACACAACAAGGGTTTCCAGAGAGATAGGGTGGGAATGGGATGGGGCTGGGGTAGAAATCTACCGACTTTTCTCTCTGAATTTTCCTCCTTTCTTCATTAGATTTATCCAAGTTTGGCGTAGTGGAATCTGGCAGATTGCTAAGTAATATTACTAGTTTCCAGCCCTGTTAAAATGTTTTTTTGTGTGTGTTCCTGCATAGTATTTCAAGGAGGCCTAACAGGAGAATGACTCAGGGATTGCTAGCTTTCCACCAACATAGCTTGGAAGTCCCTTTAACTCTTTCACAGAGATAGAGGGTCCCTCTGTAACTATTTTTATGCTGTTCCCACCTTCCCATTTTTCTTGATCTGGCAATTTCCTACTTATCTTTCAAGATTCAGCTCACCTGTCTATCCTCTCCCTAAGGCAGACTTTCCTGAACTCCTAGGCTGAATGTCTTACATTGTTCTCTGTTTCAATCTCTATTATTTTCACACCTGTTATACTGAGTGTTAGATTATGGGGAAATGCCATTATTCATCTTCAATCCTTATGATGGCAATTTGCCTCTGGAAACTCTAGTAGATGTCTTATTAAGGGTGACCTTTGTCCAGGGAGGAGACCACCCCCATTAAATTATGAAGGGATTTGAATATCCAGCATCGGAATATGGGACGGGATGACAGAGTGCTGTAGTATTTCCTTATTTTTAATTCTGGTTATACATTATTGTTTTGTATTTAAAAATAAGAACATCTACTTATGTATAGGTTAACCTAGACAGGACTTTATTAAAATGCTGTCTTTAAAAAAAAATAGGTACAGAAATCTTGAAAATCTGTTCCTTTTATTGATTTTATTAATGTTGCATAGAAATATAAAGTTTCACACACCATACTTTTACTAATAAATGTAAATAAGAACAAGTTACTTTTGAACAATTAAAATAACCAAATATTAATGATTTTCAATAAAATACATTTTAAAATAATTCTGAAGCCATAAAAGACTAAAATTCACTTTATGCTAAAATAAATCATATTCTCCCATAATGCAATTATTTAATTTTTTTAAAAAAAGAAACCACCCAATAAGAGTTTAATTCATTCAGAAATTTTTAGCATTTATAAATGCAATAGAGTGTTTCTACTATACTTACTGGCATCATTCTTTACCTTATCACTTATCTTCACACCGGAAGAGGTGAACCAGGTGATTATGCCCCCTGCTGGGGCTGGTTCTTCCTCTAAACAGTGACTTGGCCTGGCAATTAGGTGCAAAATTACCTACATTTACCCTAAAGATTTCTTCAGAGCTGTCAGTCTTCCTAAAACTACCCTAGCAAATAATACTTTTTCCTTTCTGCAAATACTGTTATTCAAACCACTGTATTTACCCCATTCCAAGCTTTCCATTCTCTGTTAAGAATTTCTCAGGTGCTCATGAAGTTTTAAAGGACAAGACTCCTCACATACTACTCATAGCTCAAAACAAATTAGGTTATTTTACAATCCTTGATACAGGCCAGAAAATGAGGATTGGGTAAGTAATTATCCTAATTTGAAAAGGAGAAAACAAGTACAAAAAGAGACTGAGTGATTTTTTTTAACAATCCCCTACATTTATACTTTTACTTTAAGGATTAAAATGTACCATATAGTCTGATGCTCAAAACAAACGTTTTTGAAAACAGACATCATTTTACAAACAAAGACACTGAGTCTCAGAGATATGAGTCACTGCCTAAGGTAGTACAAATAGAAATCTATATTATTAGAACTTGAACTTAGGCTGGGTATAGTGTCTCATGCCTGTAATCCCACTGCTTTGGGAAGCCAAGGCAGGATTCAAAAGCAGCCTGGCCAATATAGCAAGAACCTATCTCTACAAAGTATATTAAAAAAATAGCTGGGTGTGGTGGCACACCCTTGTAGTCCCAGCTACTTGGGAGGCTGAGGCAGGAGGATCACTTGAGCTCAGGAGGCTGAGGCTGCAGTAAGCCATGATCATGCCACTGGACTCCAGCATGGGTGACAGTGAGACCCTGTCTCTAAAAATAATAATAATTATTAGTCAGAACTTGAACTCAAGTCCTTCGATTCCCAGCACACAGAGCCTTTCCTTGCCACACCACAATGGCTCTTACTAACTTGAACATGGTGAGGAGCAGTGCAGCAGTCTGTATACCACCAACCAAAACTTGACTCAGTGGATGCTATGTAGATGCCGTGAAGTCTGAGTAAAATGAATCCTGTTGCCTTGGAAGAGGAATCCATGTATCATTTTCAATGTTGTTCTAGATAATCCTGATGTGCTTGATAAATGACAGCTGCTATGTGAATAACCATACAATTGCCATAATTATAAACAGAATTACAAATGATAGACTGGGGACAAGCTACTAAGCAGTATGTTGAGTATTAAAATGGTACGTATGGGAATCTATATTATTCAACCTTCCAAAATGCATATTAAAGAACAATCTTGGTTAAAATATCAATACAAAATGGTTTTAAGATTCTGATTTATGATACATTTTCCAATTTTCTTGTTTAAAAATATAAAAAATGATTTATTATATCGGCCGGGTGCAGTGGCTCATGCCTGTTAACCCAGCACTTTGGGAGGCCAAGGCGGGCAGATCACGAGGTCAGGAGATTGAGACCATCCTGGCTAACACAGTGAAACCCCATCTCTACTAAAAATACAAAAAATTAGCCGTGTGTGGTGGCGGGCACCTGTAGTCCCAGCTACTCGGGAGGCTGAGGCAGAAGAATGGCATGAACCCAGGAGGCGGAGCTTGCAGTGAGCTGAGATTGCACCACTGCACTCCAGCCTGGGCAACAGAGCGAGACTCCCTCTCAAAAACAAACAAACAAAAAAGATTTATTATATCATAAATTTTTTTCACTACAAAAATTGAGTTTTCTCTTGGAAAACCAACAACTTATTAGTAGCTTCCTTTTAAGCACAATTTGGTTATTAGAAGGCCTTCACTGCGGGAGTAATCTTGCAGAAGAATTTATGACCTTGGGAATTTGTATTTTCAAAAATATAACCTGGAGGAGAGGGATAGCTAGCTGGGCAAATTTCCTGTTTTTTCGGTGTGTACTCTACAGAGTACATGGTTACATCATCAAATGGAACAGAACTCTTAAAAGCAATATTTAAAGGTTTGCAACTCTCTGTTGGAATCAATTCATGTTGCAAATAGTGAGATCTGAAAGTGCTCAAACCATCAAATTTTCCAGATGGGTTGGGAATCTGCTGCTGCTTCTTAATAAGTCCTTGACGACAACTTTCCCATGCTGGAAAATCTTTCATGGTGCTTTTTCCTTGGAAAGGAAAACTGTTACTTCTTCTACGAGAAACTGGCCTGATGGGAACAACACGGTTGGCCTGATACGGAACATAGTCAAGATGGCTTGTGCTGTTTAACAGCATGCTACCTGTAGGAGGCACATACTCTGGTACTTTCTTGACCTCCGGTCGTGGGATTTCCCATGGTTGAAAACTTTCACGGAATTCAGTGCTTCCTTCAAACCGAGCATTCTGGGTCACTCTGGTGTGTACAGGTCTGCAGAGTTTTGCAGTTTCACCAAATAAGACCCCAAAAGTCATACCGGTGAGTTGTGAAATCCTCAAAGCGTTGGTCAGTTGGTTTGTAAACTTCTTTTGGCCTTTCAAACTTGAGTTCAAGCTGATGAGGTATATAATCAAGGCGATTACTTGTAATACCATTAAAAGGGGCTGTAGAACGTTTGACCACAGAGAAGGGTTTAAAGCTTTGCCTAGGCTTTATCTCCTGAGGAACAAAGTCATCCTGGAATGTAGTTGAATTTCCAAATTTCACAGTAGGGGGGTGGTAAGTTCGTTCTGGCTTATAAAGTTCACTTTTACGAAGGTCCCAAGCTTTATAATCGTCTTCAAAATTATATCAAAGCAAAAACAGTTTTAAATGCTGAAGAAAACAACCATCTTCTAAAAATCATAACTGACTTCTCTCATTGCCAAACATCTTTCCATTTCCTTTAGAAATCTAAACAATAGTATCAGAATACAGTTTCTCTGATTCCTTTCAGATTTGTTCTTTTTCTTCATTTCCACCTTCCTCTACCCATCTCCTCACTTTAATACATGTAACTTTCCACTTTCAGATTCATCTGATTACATAACAAAGGAAAAGCACATCTGAGCCTGATTGTGGATAGTTCTTGAAAGCCAAAAGGACTGTGTTGGAGGTGAGGACAGAGTTTAGGAGATTATGGTTGTATTCCTAGGAAGAGGTTGGGATTTTAATTACAACTCACAAAATGCTAAGGTACGTCTAAAAGCCAGGGCTTGAAATAAAATCAAGTGCCCTTCATGGGTGGGCAAAAGTAATACAGGTATTACTCCTTGCTTTGGAGAGACTCTTCAAAGGGGAGAAAAATTTAATTCTGGTATCCTCTAGGAAGCCTACAGAAAGAATTCCTTGAGCAAAGATACAGGGTAACTTGTGCTATCCCAGAAAGATCACTGGCTTCAACTTTCCCTCATGAAATGGACTTTAAGGCATTCCCAAAAGATAGAGGGCCATCTAGAGGCCAGAGGCCTTAACTGAATGTCTTCAGAGGTGTTTGAAATTGTAGAATTTCAAGTGACCATCAGAGCAGAGATCTGGGGTTTGGAAGTTAAATAACCTTAAGCTTACTTCCTGTAGTTTACCTAGACTGTGGAGCATTTTGGGTCACGCTAGTGTATACAGAATGATGACTTGTAACACCATTACAAGTTGGTAATGGTACACTTCACTAAAACTAAAATGTTTATATTTCAACTAAGGATTATTTGTGTTTTCTATTTCTCCATGAGGAAGATAGTAAGCTAGGAAATATCATAGAATAGACTTCACGCCAAAATATATATTTCTAAATACCAAAAGTTAATTTATAAAAGGTAGAAATTTATTACACAAGATAACGTACTAAAATCTGGACTAAAGTCTATGCAATATTTACAGGAAAGGCCAAACTTTGAAAACTTATTATGTGGATATCTTCTTTGAAGAGAAAAAATGCTTAGCCATTTTTGCCAAAATGGCCAAGTTTTGGACTAAATGATTAAGTTACTGATGTCTGGATGAGAGACTGCACCTGACTCAAGAATAGGCGACCTTTAGGCTAGCAGAGACCTTTAAGACAAACTGACAGAAAAGATGAGCTAGATCAAGCATTCTTATTCTTGTAAACCTAAAATTGAAAATAATGAGTGAGATAGAAATGGGAGAATTGAAAAGGATGCCAGGAAGTAGAGCTGAAGAACTATGGAAAGCTGAAGTTACATTCAAAACAGACCTTTAAAGAAACAGAAATGATAACTAGGCAGAGGTGGCCAGTTAGTAAAGCAGCAATCAGAGCAGATGAGTGAAGGGAAGTGAAGATGCTGTGAGAGAAATCATGTAGCTCATTGCGGAGATGAAGGGAAAAGCTCTTCCTTCAAGCTCCCTGGGCACCTGATAGCTTTCCATTTTCAGTTCACATGAAGCTTTACCAGAGCCTTTTTTTCTTGAGGTATCATGAGGGAATCTCTCTTCTTTGCAGACTAAAGTATAAAAGTATAACACTATTTTTCACTAACTAAAAGGAATCAGAGATGTTATCGAAGGTTTATAGTTCCACACAATCATATAGGGAGAATTCTTGCTACCACACAAGAGAAAAAAGATTTTCATTATAAGAGAGTAAACAGAAGAGAATATTTCTCCCTCACCAAACCAGCTTTGGTTTTCAAAATGGAAGCAAGAATTTGGACACTGAGAGATGGATGTGATAGCATACAATAGTATGAATGTAAGTTCTACATAATTGCAGAAAATTGATTTTCTCCCTATAAATATGCCTATGCTCATATGCCTGGAATATTTATTATCTGTTATGGAATATTTGATAACATTCTAGCAGCATCTTTAAAACATCATAATCTTTATCATCTGTTTTTAGTGTTTTATGATACTTATGGAAAAAACAAACAAGAAAACAAACAATGCTGTCCACGTCTAAAAATACAGTTTGGTTATGTGGCAGCTCCACTATTGCCCTTGTTAGATGTTTCCTCAGCTCACTTTTTATGTCTAGCCACTAAAATCTGGATAGAAAGTTTATTCTCTTCTGAACAGGTTTAAGTCCAAGAAGTGTCTGAATGCACTTGCCCACTATTTGTATACACAGCTCCAACCCCATTTTAATATAGTGAGCTGTTCTAGGTTCTTCTTTGAGGACAAAAGTCTTGAGTTGCTTATGCTAGCTCTTTTTCCTGGTACTTGGGACTGCTCCCTGTGGTGTCTTGTGGTACCAAGGAATTGGAAACTACTTTTAGAAAGTCAGGGGACATCATCCTTGGCCTCAGCTTTTTCAATCTACATATCACCAATCTACTCCCATGGTTTTAATACTACCTGTAAGGTGGTGACTCCCAAACTTGAATCTCTACTTCAGACCTCCCTTCAAACACCAACCCACATATTTATCCACCTACTAGACATCTTTATTTGGATGTCCCTCAGATAAATGAAAACTTAGCATGCCCCAATTAATTATCTCACTCAGACTCACGTTCCCCAGAAAATAACATACCTACAAAGTTTCTGTTGTGAATTTGGCAAGTCAGGCTAAGGTTCCGTTTAATTGACTTTTTCTCCCTCATTTCCTTCTCTCCTTTTCAAGTAGTTTTCAAATACTGTTGATATTACCTTCTAAATATTAATGTCTTCCTTCTTGAAGCAAACATGGAATGAATGGCAACCTGATAAAATTGTCAAAAATAAGAAAAAGAAAAAAGAAGAGGCCACAATGTAAAATAAACGTCTATAAGGTCTGTAGTGCTATTCTCTTTCATTCTTGATATTTGTAATTGGTGTCTTCTCTCTTTTGGTTTATCAACTTTATTATCTTTTAATAGAACCAATTTTTGGTTTCATTGTTTTTCTGTTTTCAAATTTATTGATTGCTGCTGTTATCCTCATTTATTTCCTTCTACTTTGCTTTGGATTTAATTTGCTCTTATTTTTCTAGTTTCATACAATGAAGGTTTAGACTGTTGATTTAAGACTTTCTTTTCTAATATGAACCTTAAATGCTATAAATTTTCCTCAAAGTATTGCTTTAGATGCATCTCTCAGATTTTGGTATACTATATTTTCATTAAATTCAAAATACTTTCTAATTTCTTTTACTTTTGCTTAAAACCATTCGTTATTTAGAAATTTGCTGTGTAATTTCCAAATATTGGGGGATTTTCCCACTTTTTTTCTATTATTGATGTTTAATTCAATTCTGTTATGATCAAAACCACACATTGCATGCTTTCAATTCTTTTATATTTGTTAAGGTTTGTTTTATGGCTCCGAATATAGTTTATCTGAATGAACATTTCATGTGCACTTGAAAAGAATGTGTATTCTGTTATTGTTGACAGAAGTGCTTTGCAAATGTCAATTTGGACAACTGTTGATAGTGTTTTTCAGGTCTTTATATCCTTATTCATTTCCTGTCTATATTCTATAGATTACTTAAAGAGAGTGTTGAAGTCTCCAACTACAAATGCATGTTTTTACATTTCTTATGTTAGTACTATAAGTTTATGTTTTGTGTATTTGAAGCTCAAGTGTTAAGGGCATACACATTTAGAATTTTGTGTTTGGGAAATGGAGGGTGAGTGTGTGGTGGTTTCTCTGTTGTCCTGGTTCAGCTTCAGTCTTAGGCAGTCCCTGTGCCCCCGGGCCTCAGAAGCAGGGCTCTCTCAGTGCACCTGCTCCTTCACTTGATGTAGTAGGTCTCTAATTGTTGGTCCCGAGACAGTTTCCTGTTCTTTCTTCATGTTCAAGGTTTGGTTTTATTTTGCTTCTTGTTGTTGTTTTTCCTTTATCTTTCCTCAAGGTACAATACATCTTCAGCTATTCATTGGGGTTGTCAGAGTGATGTCTCTCCCGCAGTGGATTAATGCTTTTGTTCTGTAGGTTAGAGTCATTCAAATGGAGCTTCCTGCTATTTTTTTCTTTCGCAACAACAACCATTCTTCTCTCCATGCCCGCACTACAAAGGAAACTTTCTGTGGCCTCCAGCCTTTCTCCCAATCTTTCTGATGATCACAGAGTGAACATCCATAGGGAAGAGTCTATGAGTGGTTTTGAACTCCCCCTTTAGTGTCTGAAGTTCTCAGAGCTTCTATACTCTCACAGTAGTTCACACTCAAGTCTTTAGCAACTAAAGATGTAAATGAATTATTTTATCCACTTTTGTAACAGCTAGTCTTCATTCCATGCCCTGCTTTGGGTGAAACAGTGCTTGCCTCCTGTCTCAACTGGGTGGAAGTTGTTTTTCCTTAATGTCAGGCTAATTGGTTAACCTGTGATCTCAGGTTTCTAAAGGATTCATACACATTTATGATTTTGTAGATTATCTGGCTTTTTCTTATTGTTATGTTGGGGACATAATCTTTCTGACTTCCTGCATCCTACACAGAATCTGAAAATTCTGGAATTCTTTATGGTGAGGTTTAAAATTACACCTTCAATTCTACAAATTCAATTTCCTTTACAGATATAGGGCTATTTTGAATTTTTATTTCTTCTTGGGTTACTTTTGGTAAATTGCATTTTTCAAAAAATTTATCCATTTTATGTAAGTTGTAAATTATTGGCATATTTTTAAAAATAATATCTTTTTAATGTGTGAAAAATCACTCTTTGAGTTTTAATCAAAATATTTTGTTCATTTACACTTAATGTAATGATCTAGCTGGGCTTAAGTTGACTGTATTGCTATTTGCTTTTGATTTTTCCCTTCTTTGTTCCCATACCCCTTATTTCCTGCCTTCTTTTGTATTACTAAATGGCATTTTTATTATTCTACTTTACTATTAGAATTTTATCTTTCTATGTTTTAAAAATAAAAATGAATTTTTGACTTGTCATGAGATTTTTCTGGCTCAAACTTAAATGGACATTTTTACCACGTCTACCATGGAAGAACCTGTAAGCAATTTAATTCTATTTAACTCCTCTTGCCTTTTGTGCCACTGTTCTAACATATTTTACTTTCATATTTGTGTAAAAACATAATATAGTAATTTTGACTTCCAGTTGTCAATATTCTTTTATATTTACCCACATATTTACCCTTTCTGTGTGCTTCATTCCTTCCTGCATTTCATGCTTCTATCTGGAGTAAGTTTCCTTTTAACTAAACAATTCCCTTTAATACATTTGTAGTAGGCATCTCAGCTTTTTCTTTTTTGTCTGAAAACATTTTTACTTTGCTTAAATTTTTAAAGGGCATTTTTGCTAGATATATAATTCTCAGATTTGCTGGCTTTAAAATTCTAGATCCTTCTGGCACCTTTAGCACTTTTAAAGTGTCATTTCACTGTCATTTAACTTCCAGAGCTTCTGTTGAAAAGTCATGTATCATTCTGTTTAAAAGTCAGATATAACTTTTTCTTTTTGTAGATAACGTATAGTTTTTCACTTGCTACTTTTAAGACTTTATCTTTACCTGGTTTTCCGAAGTTTGACAATAGTTGTCTAGGGTGGTTTCCTATGTGTTTATTTTGGAGTTTGCTGAGCTTCTTGAATCTGTGGGCTGATTCTTTCATCAATTTTGGAAAAGTCTTGACCATTATCTCTTCAAATATTTCCTGGTTCTTCATAGGCCTCATAACATTTTACTATATGCTAGATGTTGTGTATAAGAGAATCATAAAAACTAAAATCAGTGTTATTTTCAACAGAGACAATTTGTTCTTTCCTATGGTAAAATACAGGGCAGATCACCTCATTCTTACCAGAGTCTGAGCTAGATTAGGGCTCAATGGCACCTTTAGTTAGACATAGTCTTACTCTAGTTTCAAATGTCTCAAGAACAAGGCTTGAGGTGTGTTTGTAGTAAGGCCCTCATTCTAGTGGAACTCTCTTCTAAGCATTTACTCTCAAATAAGACTGTGGGATATTCCTGTGGGATTTTTCTGGCCCAGCCTCTCAGCACACCACACTCCCTTCCCTGCAAACACGCAGTGAATGTCTCACATTGAAAACCAGCCATGTATCTAGGGCTCTTCTAGATTTCAGTTAGTCCTATCAGCCCACATTCAAGTGTTCCACTGCTTTCTCTTTCCCCTACTAGAGTTTCTCTGCTTATGCCAAGCTCAATCCTCAGCATAGGCCTAGACTTGACAAGTGTTCCCAGAGAAGTAAATGGCTGGCCATATCAACTCACTGAGGAAGGGCTCCTATCTCTCTGAAGTTTTAGTTTTTTGCTTCTACAGCTGTCTGGTGCCCTTAAAAGAAGATTTTTAAAAATCTATACTTATGTCAAGCCCCTCAGCCTGGCAATCAAGGTTCTTCCCAAACTGATCTCAGTCTACCTTTATAGAATTACACCCCAATCTCTCATCCCTGAAACCTTCTGGTCCTCACCATGTGTACTGAATAACTTTTATTTTTTGGTTCTATGCTTTTTTACTCATTTCATACCAGTTTTTAGAAAGTTCCTCCTGTTTCTATATGTCAGTACTTACTAGTCTCTGATGCATTCCCAGCCTGGCCTGAAGTGATAACTCACCAAGTATAAATTCTTGAAGTACTGTTTGTTCCACTAATTTTCCAGTGAATTATGTCTTCCCCTCATGATATCTCATATAGTATGGCAACTTCATTTTTCATGCTATTGTTTTTTTAAATTCACAATTATAAAGTTTCTTTTTATATAGTCCATATTTTATTTTTAAATAAAAATTGTATATATTTAAGATTTACATGAGGTTTTATATATACACACACAGTAAAATGATTACTAAAGTGAAAAACATATCCATCTCCTCACAGTCACCTTTGTGTGTGTATGCATGTGTGTGCATGTGTGTGGTGAGAGCACCTGAAATATACTCTCAGCAGATTTCCAGTATACAGTACAGTATTATTAACTAGAGTCATGATGCTGTACATTAGATCTCTAGATTTATTCATCCTATACAACTTCAACTTTGTACCTCTTGCCCAATATTTCCCAATTTCCCCCACTTCCCTGCCCCTGGTTACCATCATTCTATCCTGTGCTTCTATGTATTCAACTCTTTTAGATGTATACATTATTATTATATATATTATTACATAATATATAATGGAATATATGTGTACTATATATATATTCAGACATATATTTACACATCACATTTATTTATTCATTGATCGATGCACATTTACGTTGTTTCTTATCTAGGTTATTGTGAATAATGCTGCAATAAATAAGAGTACAGCTATTTCTTCAAGATACTGATTTCATTTCCTTTGGGTATACACCAGAGGGGAAGTTGCTGGATCATATGAAAGTTCCATTTTTAATTTTTGAGAAAACTTCATATTGTTTTCCATATGGCTATACAAGTTTACATTCCCACCAACAGTGTACAAGGATTCCTTTTTCTCCATATCCTAACACCTGTAATCTTTTATCTTTTCTATAATAGACATCATATCTCATTGTGGTTGTGGTTTTGATTTGCATTTATCTGGTGATTGGTGATGTTGAGTACCTTTTCATGTATCTATTGGCCATTTGTATGTCTTCTTTGGAAAAATGTTTACTCAGGTATTTTGGTCAATTTTTAATCCACTTTTTTTTTTGCTATTAAGTTGGGTAAGTTCCTTATTTTTTTTAATATTGACCCTTTATGTGATACATGGTTTGCTCATATTTTCTACCAATTCATAAGTTGCATTTTTTTTGTTGATTGTTTGCTTGCTGTACAGACACTTTTTAGTTTGGTGTAATCCATTCGTCTATTTTTGTTTTTGTTGCCTGTGCTTTCGGAGTCATATCCAAAAAACCATTGGCAAGGTCAAAGTCAAAGAAATTCCCCATGTTTTCTTCTAGGAATTTTATGGTTTGAGGTCTTGTGTTTAAGTCTTCAATTCACTTTGAATTGGTTTTTGTGTATGGAATAAGAAAAGACTCCAATTTCATTCTTTCACATGTGGATATTCAGTTTTCCCAATACCATTTATTTCATTTAATTTCAGATTCAGGGATTATATGTGAAGGTTTGTTACTTGGGTATATTATGTGATGCTGAGGTTTAGCTTTCTAATTATTCCATCATCCAATTAGTGAACACAGTACCCAACAGGTAGTTGTTTAACCTTTGCACCCTCCTCTCCCTTTCTCCTTTTGGAATCTCCAGTGTTTATTGTTTCCATCTTTGTGTCCATGTATACCTAAAGTTTAGCTCCCACTTACAAGTGTGAACATGCAGTATTTGGTTTTCTGTTTCTGTGTTAAATTACTTAGAATAATGACCTCCAGTTGTATCCTTGTTCTTGCAAATAACATTTCATATTTTTATGGCTGCATGGTATTCCATGGTATATACATACTGCATTTCCTTTATCTGATCCACCATTGATGGGCACCTGGGTTGATTCCATGTCTTTGCTATTGTGAAAAGTGCTACAGTGAACGTACAAGTGCAGATAGAATGATTTATTTTCCTTTGGGTATATACCCAGTAATGGGATTGCTTGGCTGAATGCCATTCTAACTGGTTTGAGATGGTAACTCATGTGGTTTTCATCTGATCGTTAGTGATGTTGAGAATTTTTTCATGTCCTTTGCCCACCTTTTAATGTTATTTTTTCTTGTTGATTTATTTAACTTCCTTATAGGTTCTGGATATTAATCCTTTGTTGGATGCATAGCTTGTGAATATTTTCTCCTATTATGTAGCTTGTTTGTTATGTTGTTGATAGTTTCTTTTCCTTTGCAGAAGCTCTTTAATTTAATTAAGTCCCATTTTATCAATTTTTATTGCATTTGCTTTTGAGCACTTAAGATATAAATTTTTTGCCTAAGGCAATGTCTAGAAGAGTATTTCCTAGGTTTTCTTTCAGGATTTTTATAGTTTGAGGTCTTACATTTAAGCTTTTAATCCATCTTGAGTTAATTTTTGTATATAGTGAGAAGTAGGTGTCCAGTTTCATCCTTCTGCATATGGTTGGCCAGTTTTTCCAGCATCATTTATGGAATAGGGAGTCCTTTCCCCATTGTTAATTTTTGCCAGTTTTGTTGACAATTAGGTGGTTGTAGGTGTCTGGATTAATTTCAGAGGTCTCCATTCTGTTCCATTGGTCTACGTGTCTATTTTTGTACCAGTACCATGCTGTTTTGGTTACTGCAGCTTTGTAGTATAGTTTGAAGTTGGGAGATGTAATGCCTCTGGCTTTATTCTTTTTGTTTAGGATTGCCTTGGCTATTCAGGCTCTTTTTGGGTTCCATATAAATTTTAGAATCGTTTTTCTCTAATTCTGCAAAAAAGTGATATTGCTAATTTGATAGATTGCTTTGGGTAGTAGACATTTTAGTGATATTGAATCTTCCTATCCATGATCACGGAATGCTTTTCCATTTGTGTAGTCTATGATTTCTTTCTCCTTGTGGAGATCTTTCACCTCCTTGGTTAGATGTATGCCCAGGTACTGTGAGTGTGTGTGGCTACTGTAAATGGAATTATGTTCTTGATTTGGTTCTCAGCTTGAACATTATTGGTGTATAGAAATGCTACTGACTTTTGTATATTGATTTTGTATCCTGAGACTTTGCTGAAGTCGTTTATTAGGTCTAGGAGTCTTTTGGCAGGATCTTTAGGGTTTCTTAGGTATAAATTATACTGTCAGCCAAGAGAGAGAATTTGACTTCCTCTTTTTCTATTTGGATGCCTTTTCTTTCTCTTGCCTGATTGCTTTGGCTAGCACTTCCAATACTATGTTGAATATGAGTGATACGAGTGGGCATCCTTGTCTTGTTCCAGTTCTCAAAGGGAATGTGTCCAGATTTTTGTCCATTCAGTATGATGTTGGCTGTGGGTTTCTCATAGATGGCTCTTATTATTTTGAGGTATGTTCCTTCAGTGCCTAGTTTGTTGAGAGTTTCTATCATGAAGGGATGTTGAATGTTATCAAATGCTTTTTCTGCATCTATTGAGATGATCATATGATTTTTGTTTTAAATTCTATTTATGTGGTGAATCACATTTATTGATTTGCATATGTTGGACCATCCTTGCATCCCAAGAATAAAACCCACTTGACTGTGGTGAATTAACTTTTTGATTTGCTGCTGGATTTGGTGTGCTAGTATTTTTTGAGGATTTTTTCATCTGTGTTCAGGGAAAATGTAGTTTTCTTTTTTGTGTTTTTGTCAGATTTTGGTATCAGAACCATACTAGTTTCATAGAATGAGTCAGAAAGGAGTCCCTCTTCCTCAATTTTCTGGAATACTTTCAGTAGGATTGGTACCAGCTGTTCTTTGTATGTCTGGTAGAATTCAGTTGTGAACACATTTGGTCCAGGGCTGTTTTATTTTATTTATTTATTTATTTATTTTTGGTTGGTAGGTTTCTTACTACTGATTCAATTTCCTTACTTGTTATTGATCTGTTCAGGATTTCTCTTTCTTCCTGATTCAATCTTGGGAATTTGTGTTTCCAGGAATTTATCCATTTCCTCTAGAATTTCTAGTTTGTGTGGTTCATAATATTCTCTGAGGATCTTTTGTATTTCTGTGGGATCAGTTGTGATGTCACTTTTGATTGTGCTTATTTGGATGCCTTTTTTTTGTTAATCTAGCTACTGGTCTATAATCTTGTTTATCTTTTCAAAAAGTGAACTTTTTGCTTCATTGATCCTTTGTACGGTTTTGGGGGTCTCAATTTCATTCAGTTCTGCTCTGATTTTAATTATTTCTTCTGCTAGCTTTTGGTTTAGTTTGTTCTTATTTTGCTAGTACTTTTGGTTGCTAGGTTAGGTTGTTAATTTGAGATATTTCTATCTTTTTGATGTAGGCATTTAGCACTATAAACTTTCCTCTTACCCTTGCTTTTGCCACATCCCAGTAGTTTTGGTATGTTGTGTCTCTATTTTTATTTATTTCAAATACTTTTTTTTTTTTGAGATGGAGTCTTGCACTGTTGCCCAGACTAGAGTGCAGTGGCACAATCTCGGCTCACTGCAACCTCTGCCTCCCGGGCTCAAGCGATTCTCCTGCCTCAGCCTCCCAAGTAGCTGGGATTACAGGCGCCCGCCACCATGCCCAACTACTTTTTTGTATTTTTAGTAGAGACAGCGTTTTACCATGTTGGCCAGGCTGGTCCCGAGCTCCTGATCTCGTGATTCACCCACCTCGGCCTCCCAGAGTGTTGGGATTACAGCATGAGCCACCATGCCTGGCCTCAAATACTTTTTAAATTTCTGCCTTAATTTCATTGTTTACCCAAAAGTCAGTCAGGAGCAAGTTGTTTAGTTTCCATGTATTTGTGTGGTTTTGAGATTTCCTCTTGGTACTGATTTCTATTTTTATTCTACTGTGGTCTGAGAAGATAAATTGTATTATTTCAATGTTTTTGAATTTATCAAGACTTGCTTTATGACTGAGAATGTGGTCAAACTTAGGGTATGTTCCATGTGAAGATGAGAAGAATGTATATTCTGGGGTTGTTAGGTGGAGTATTCTGTAGATCTCTATTGTCCAATTGGTCAAGTGTTGAATTTAAGTCCAGAATTTCTTAGTTTTCTGTTTTGATGATCTGTCTAATGCTGTCAGTGGGGTGTTGAAGTCTCCCACTGTTTTAGTGTGACTGTCAAAGTCTTTTCTTAGGTCTAGAAACATTTGTTTTATAAATCTGAGTGCATATATAATACATTTAGGATAGTTAGGTGTTCTCATTGAACTGCACTCTTTATTATTATGTAATTAACGCCCTTCTTTGCCCCTTTTTACTGTTGTTGGTTTAAAGTCAATTTTATCTGATACAAAAATAACAACTCCTGCTTTTTTTGTTTTCTATTTGTGTGGTAGATCTTTCTCCATCTTCTACTTTGAGCCTATGGGTGTTGCTGCATGTGAGATGGGTCTCTCAAAGACAGCAGAAGGAAGGGTGGTTTTTTTTTTTTTTTTTTTTTAATCCAATTTGCCACTCTGGGTCTTTTAAGAAGAGCATTTAGGCCATTTACATTCAAGGTTAATATTGATACGTGGGGGCCAGGCATGGTGGCTCACGCCTGTAATCCCAGCACTTTGGGAGGCCGAGGCGGGCAGATCACCTGAAGTCAGGAGTTCAAGACCAGCCTGACCAATATGGTCTCTACTAAAAATACAAAAATTAGCTGGGCATGGTGGTGGGTGCCTGTAGTCCCAGCTACTCAGGAGGCTGATACAGGAGAATTGCTTGAACCCGGGAGGCAGAGGTTGCAGTGAGCTGAGATTGTGCCACTGCACTCTAGCTTGGGTGACAGAGTGAGACTCTGTCTCAAAAAATATCTATATCTATATATAGATATAGATAGATAGATAGATATGTGGGGTTTTGTTCCGGTCATACATAGTTCCTTTGTAGTCTCGATTGTGTAGTTGCTTTATAGGGTCTGTGGCCTATGTGCATGCAAGCCAACACTATTGAAAAGACTATTCTTCCTCCATTGTGTATTCTTGGCACCCTTGTCAAAAATTAGCTGGCTGTAATATGCTTGGGTTTATTCTGGGTTTTCTATTCTGTTTCATTGATCTATATGTCTATTTTTATGCCAGTACTACCTATTATTTTGGTTACTATAGCTTTGTAATATAATATGAAATCACAAAGTGTGATGCCGGAAACTGCTTGGTACATGGTAAGATCAATATGGTAGCCACTACTATTACTACCACAAGACTTCATGGATTGCTTTTTTCTTCTGGACTCTATTGGCACATGACTCATTTTGTGATTAAACTATCTTGTGTTAATCAATATTTGCTGCGTATGTCTGTAAGTTTCCCAAAGAAACCCAAAACCCTCACTGAATTCTTCTATTCACAACATAACTTCTTAGACTAATTAACTGTTTTCTCACCTGCTCCAATCCATTTCAGTCTGGTTTCCAGCACTGCCACTTCCCTAATACAGCTCTAAGGTTCACAGTGTCTTCCATGTGATTAAATTCATCGAACATTTTTAGTCCTCATCTTACTTGACCTCTCCGACAGTAATTGACATTATTGTCCACACTGTCTGTTTCTAGGAAACTTTCTCTTCCCGACTTCCTGATTATTTCTTTCCAGTCTCCTATGCACCTTCATCTACCTCTACTCAGTCATTAAATACATGTTAGCGTTCCTCAAGACTTGGACCTACCTACACATTCTTCTTCTCATCCACTGTTCACTCCTGAGGATAACTCTTCTACTCCCACAGCTTAGATTACTACCTAGATCGAAATAACCCTCAAATTTACATCTCAGCTTAGACCTCTTCTCTGAGCTCCATACCAGTATCTCCGATGGTCTCTTGGATATTCAATGACAACTCAAAACTTAATATGTCCCAAATCAACTCGCTATTTCCCCTCAATAAATGTGGTCCTTTTTGCTTTTTCTCTATTTAAGTGAACGCTATCACCATCGTTTCAGACTCATAGTCAGAAATCTAGGACTCACCCTTTATACCTCAATTCTCTCCCCTATCTAGTCCATCATCAACTACTGTCAATTTTGCCTCATAAATATCTCTCAAATCTAACCACTTTTCTCCACATCGGCCACTACCATAATATGCAGTTTTTGCAAGAGCTTATTTGAATCTCTTTAATAAATTTGAAACTCATTTACCCACATCCACTCTAGTTCTCCCTCCAGTCTTTTCTCCACATGGCACCTGAAGTAATTCTTTCCCATGTAAATCTGATCAGGTCATTCTTGCCCTCCTCTCCCTAGCCGCTTCCTTACCTCCCTTCCTCCCCAACTCCACCCTCCACCAAAAAAAACAAGCCAGAAAAGAAACCTTCATGGCTTATTACTGTAAGGACATAGACAACATGGAACATGGTTTAAAGGCTCTGCCTGGCCTTCTTCACTAGCCTCAACTCTCACTGTGCTTCCTCTTGCTTTCTCTGCTCCAGCTGGCTTTCTTTGATAATTTTCTCCTTCCCATGCTCCTTCCTGCTACATGCTACTCTCTCTCTCTCTGCTTGGAATGCATTTCCTTCCCCCTCTTAATCCAGTTAATTTAACATCCTTCAGGTTTTGACTCATTTTTCTCATTCCCCTGATAAAGTCAAACTCTTGTTCTGGCTGTCAAGGTACCTGTGCCTGTCCTTCACAGATTTTATCACTGTTGCAATTTTAGAGTTATTTTGAGTAATGTTTTTGATTGCCATTTCTAATAGATTGTAATATCTGTCAATAGAGAGATCATGACTGCTTTTGGTCACCGCTGTATCCCAGGTGTCTATTATAGTGCTTGATGCTTAATAAATGCTTAATAACTTTTTATTTAATGGATGAAGAGTAGTAAAAGTCACATACCTCTGCTTCTCAAGACACGTGAGTTGTTCTTTGCTCTTTCCAAATACAAGCTAGAGGGGAATGGGCTAAAATGCAGTCAGGAAGTGAGAGAATCAGGAAGGGAAAAGCAAAGCAAAAGCTTAGAACTCTCAGTTTCTCTGGTTAGACAAGTGTTAGAAAGTATACCTCCAAACCCAAAGCCGCTTTCTATGGAGTAGTAATAGAGGGTGAATGCAGTCTTATTCATCTGATATATCCTGAAACATTTGATGTGTCTAGAATCCTACTCGTTCAGGGCAGGCTTCCTGCCAACTCTGGCAGTCATCTAAGTGAGCTACAATTGTACTGCTATAAAGGATCCAAAATCTTGTACAAGTTCAGACACCTCTTTACACAGTCACTTCCTGTACTATACAAAGGTACAGAAAGCTTCTTTGTTTGTAGGGATAAATCCATTTTCTACTGCTTAGTCAACACAGTCAACATGAGGGAGTCAAGCAAGAGTTTCAAGCTCCTAGATTATGACTTAGAGATACTGCTAGTTTCCCAGTGAAAATACAAAGAAAAGATCCAATGTCTTACTAAGTGAAGAGAAGAAAATTTAAGAAAAGAATATTTTAGTTTTATTGGCATTTTGGACCTTTGGGACATTGCTTTCTTTTTTTTTTTTTTTTTAACTATTAAAGCTTGCTTGAATAAGACAATAGGGGAAATCCAGAATTGAAAAGCAACTGCCTTTTAAAAGAAAGATATGGCAGGTTAAATTTTCTCAATTTCTACATTTAGAACTGGTTAAAAGCAAAATCTTTGTTCAATAAATACAAATATTGTAAAATTTATTTCAAATCTCTAATATGAACCATTAAGGCATCAGGAAAGAAATATTAATAAATTAAAGTGAAGACAAAAGAACCATTCCCATTTCATCAATCTCAACCAGTTATTCAATTTATTCATCTCATTTATCATAATCCATAATTATCTTAGTTATTTATCTGATATTTTTATTTCTGGACTTTCCCACAAGACTATAAACAACAGTAAAGCAAAGACCCTCTCTGTTTTATGTTCCATGTCATCCTCAGTGAGCAGTCCAGTTCCTGACCTGCTGCACTGAATCAGTGGCAACAGAATCACCACCAATGCTGGTTAAAAATGCAGTTTCCTGAGACCCACTCTATTTACTGGCTCTTTTAGATGGAGCTCTGGAGTCTGCAATTTTAACACTTCTAGATGGCACTACTGCATACCAAAATCTGAGGACTAAGTAAAATCTTCCATCTGTGGAAGAGCCATACCCCTATACTAGTAACTAGAGTCACCAAACTATTATTACTGCAAGGAATGCCTGAAATGTTAAAAATATAAATACTAGACTAAAAGTTTGAAAGTCTCCACCTTTGCTAAATAGGAATGAGCTACATCTGAAATGAAATGAAAATGGCTAACATCAAAATCTAAAGCTATTACAGAGCATTTTTAAAACTCCAAATTATAGAAATATGTCTGAGTTCCTTGAAAGCAGGAACTTCAACTTGTGAAAGGAAAATACATCTTGGGGCCCCAAAATCACTAAGCTAAGGGGAAAAGTCAAGCTGGGAAATGTTTAGGGCAAACCTGTCTCCCATTCTATTCAAAGTCACCCCTCTGCTCACTGAGATAAATGCATATCTGATTGCTTCCTTTGGAGAGGCTCATCAGAAACTCAAAAGAATGCAACCATTTGTCTCTTATCTACCTATGACCTGCAAGATCCCTCCCAGCTTCGAGTTGTCCCGCCTTTCCGGAAGAACCAATATTCATCTTACATATATGTTGACTGATGTGTGTTTCCCTAAAACGTATAAAACCAGACTGTGCTCTGAACACCTTGGGCACATATTATTGGTACCTCCTGAGGCTGTGTCACCGGCATGCGCCCTCAACCTTGGCAAAATAAACTTTCTAAATAAACCGAGACCTATCTCAGATATTTGGGGTTCACAAACTTACTGACATTTTTATACTTAACACCAAGATTGTACCTTGAATACAATACATACATTAACAGTTTAAATAAAATAATAAGTAAATATAATACTTAATCCACCTAACTGACAATATACAGAGAGATCAAAAAAGGTAAGTCCAAATGAAAAGTATAGACTTAAGAGGATTTTTGTTCATCACTCACTGAACAAAATATTGGGTACCTACTATGTGCTAGTAGGCATTGTATTCCTTTTCTAAAAATAGAATGCTGAGATAACAATAGACTTAGTTTCTGCTTTCATGAAACACTGAAACTAATCTAATGATAAATAACAGGAAGGTGCTTTGGGAGCTTACATAGAAGACTTTTACCTAATCTGAAAAGTGTCAGAGAAGGCTTTTTCAAGTGATAATTTAGTTGAGATCTGCAGATTGAATGAGCATTAGCTAGGAGAGGGAAGGAAAATTGCAGGTAGGGAAAATAGTATCTTGGAAGACCCTGAGACAAGGAAACCTGGCACTTTTCAAAGACATGAAAAATGGCCCATGGGATGGAGCATAAAAGAGTGAAAAGGACGCTACAGTGAAAATGAATTAGAGAAGTAAGTAGTGAGCAAACCATGCCTCTACATGGTTTTGGTAAGGATTCTGGTTTGTGTTAAACACAATGGGAAAGTTTAAGAGTATTTTAAGCAGAAAAGTGATAGGATTTGGTTTGCATTTGGGCAGGCTGAAGTATTGAAAACAGATCAAACTGCAAAAACTAGAGTAGATTCACATATGATACTTAGAAAGTGACTGCATTCCTCTAGGCCAAGCTTGTCCAACCTGCGGCATATGGGCTGCGTGTGGCCCAGGATGGCTTTGAATGAGGTCCAATACAAATTCGTAAACTTTCTTAAAACATTATGAGATTTTTTGTGTGTGATTTTTTTTTTTTTTTGCTCATCAGCTATGGTTGGTGTTATTGTATTTTACGTGTAGCCCAAGACAAGTCTTCTTCCAGTGTGGCCCAGGGAAGCCAAAAGATTGGACACCCTGCTCTAGGTGGTGGTGACAAACAGTGGAAAATAGATAAATATGAGATATTTTAGGAAGTTAAAAAAAATAGAACTTTTTATATCCCTTTTTTCTTCTCACACTTTGTCAACCTAATTCTCATTTTTCTGTTTTTTTCAAGTTGTGACTTAACTAGTCTCTTACTTATTAGATTGGTTCAACTTAAATCAATGAAACAGTAATTAAATAGCTAGAAAATTTTATTGACACCAGAATAGTTGCGAGAAAAATAAGTAAAGCAAATAGTTACTAAATGTTTACTTAAATGTAGTTATTCCTTCCATTTTACCACGGCATGCTCGAATTTCTTGCTTGGGTTTAAGACTCTGAGGTGGAAGAACATTGTTATACATAGGATATTTTTCCAAATATTCAGTTGTAGGGCAAAACACCCCAGAATTTTCATAAATCCTTGTGGTTCCACGTGGACAAGGATGTCGCCTGTGCAAAAAACAAACTGAAAGATGATTAACCTTAAAAAACATTTTGTGTTGTAATTGCATTTTAATCAGAGACCTCCAATAAACTCACAATTTCTAAATTCTAGAGCTTTACTGAAAAAAAAAACTGTTTCCTCTGTAATGGTGTTTATAAAAACAATCAATAAATAATGGTCTATCCCTATGTGGTAGAAACACAACTATTAAGTGTCTCAAACAATTTAGTGTCTTGTTACACTATAGAAGCTGAAAAGCTAATAGGGAATTTCCCATGCTCTTGCAGAAAGGTTCCACATACAATTTAGGTTTCACCTACTATATGTATTCACATGATACTTTGATTCAGAAGAGAGCTACATAAGGAGAGAGTCAAAGCACAACATTTATTTTGCTTGCATGGAATGTAATAGAGGCAACAAGAGATTGGAGCTAGAAGTTGTTAGGTGGCATCTTGATTTGCAAGCTGGTTTCCTAACTTGGCAGCTTCTTGACCTTGGAAGAGACGAGTGATTCTGGACTCTACAGCTCTGTTGCAAGTTTCTGATTATGGCAGAGGCAGTGGCTCCCTTGTCAGTCCTGGTCTGTGGTAAAATTTTTGTGGAAGCTTATTTTGAAAATGATTTCTTAAGTTCTTCCAGGTGAACTATATATATACTCCTTAATAAATTCCCTTTTGCCTAAACTAACAAGAGGAGATTATGTTATCCATAACTAAGAACCTTGACCAATATATCACATAAGCTAATAGTATACAGTAGAGTTATTTAAGAGAATGAGGGTGGCCTTTATGCATGGTCACTGGAAGATGGTGAGATTGTAAATAGTAAAAAACTGGATTGTAGAATAGTATGCTCAGGGTTTTCCGTTCCAAAATGGTCGAATAGGAACAGCTCCGGTCTGCAGCTCGCAGCGTGATCCACACAGAAGATGGTGATTTCTGCATTTCCAACTGAGCCTCCACTGGTGATACCCAGGCAAACAGGGTCTGGAGTGGACCTCCAGCAAACTCCAACAGACCTGCAGCTGAGGGACCTGACTCTTAGAAGGAAAACTAACAAACAGAAAGGAATAGCATCAACATCAACAAAAAGGACATCCACACCAAAATCCCACCTGTAGGTCACCAGCATCAAAGACCAAAGGTAGATAAAACCACAAAGATGGGGAGAAACCAGAGCAGAAAAGCTGAAAATTCTAAAAACCAGAGTGCCTCTTCTCCTCCAAAGGATCGCAGTTCCTCACTAGTAATGGAACAAAGCTGGATGGAGAATGACTTTGACGAGCTGACAGAAGGAGGCTTCAGAAGACCGGTAATAACAAACTTCTCCGAGCTAAAGGAGGATGTTCGAAGCCATTGCAAGGAAGCTAAAAACCTAGAAAAAAGATTAGACAAATGGCTAACTAGAATAAACTGTGTAGAGAAGACCTTAAATGACCTGATGGAGCTGAAAACCATGGCACGAGAACTACGTGATGCATGCACAAGCTTCAGTAGCCAATTCGATCAAGTGGAAGAAAGGGTATCAGTGATTGAAGATCAAATTAATGAAATAAAGTGAGAGGAGAAGTTTAGAGAAAAAAGAGTGAAAAGAAACAAAGCCTCCAAGAAATGTGGGACTATGTGAAAAGACCAAATCTACGTTTGATTGGTGTACCTGAAAGTGACTGGGAGAATGGAACCAAGTTGGAAAACACTCTTCAGGATGTTATCTAGGATATTATCCCCAACCTAGCAAGGCAGGCCAACATTCGAATTCAGGAAATACAGAAAACACCACAAAGATACTCCTGGAGAAGAGCAACCCCAAGGCACATAATTGTCAGATTCACCAAGGTTGAAATGAAGGAAAAAATGTTAAGGGCAGCCAGAGAGAAAGGTCAGGTTACCCACAAAGGAAAGTCCATCAGACTAATAGCAGATCTCTCGGTAGAAACTCTACAAGCCAGAAGAGAGCGGGGGCCAATATTCAACATACTTATAGGAAAGAATTTTGAACCCAGAATTTCATATCCAGCCAAACTAAGCTTCATAAGTGAATGAGAAATAAAATCCTTTACAGACAAGCAAATATTGAGAGATTTTTGTCACCACCAGGCCTGCCTTACAAGAGCTCCTGAAGGAAGCACTAAACATGGAAAGGAACAACTGGTACCAGCCACTGCAAAAACATGCCAAATTGTAAATACCATTGATGCTAGGAAGAAACTGCATCAACTAACAGGCAAAATAACCAGCTAACATCATAATGACAGGATCAAATTCACACATAACAATATTAACCTTAAATGTAAATGGGCTAAATGCCCCAATTAAAAGACACAGACTGGCAAATTGGATAGAGTCAAGACCCATCAGTGTGCTGTATTCAGGAGACCCATCTCGCGTGCAGAAACACACATAGGCTTAAAATAAAGGGATGGAGGAAGATCAAATAAGCAAATGGAAAGCAAAAAAAAAAAAAAGCAGGGGTTGCAGTCCTAGTCTCTGATAAAACAGACTTTAAACCAACAAAGATCAAAAGAGACAAAGACGGCCATTACATAATGGTAAAGGAATCAATTCAACAAGAAGAGGTAACTATCCTAAATATATATGCACCCAATGCAGGATCACCCAGATTCATAAAGCAAGTCCTTAGAGACCTACAAAGAGACTTAAAGACTCCCAGACAATAATAACTGGATACTTTAACACCCCACTGTCAATATTTTAGACAGATCAACAAGACAGAAGGTTAACAAGGATATACAGGACTTGAACTCAGCTCTGCACCAAGCAGACCTAATAGACATCTACAGAACTCTCCACCCCAGATCAGCAGAATATACATTCTTCTCAGCACCACATCACACTTATTCCAAAATTGACCCCATAGTTGGAAGTAAAGCACTCCTCAGCAAATGTAAAAGAACAGAAATCATAACAAACTCTCTCAGACCACAGGACAATCAAATTAGAACTCAGGATTAAGAAACTCACTCAAAACTACACAACTACATGGAAACTGAACAACCTGTTCCTGAATGACTACTAGGTAAATAATGAAATTAAAGCAGAAATAAAGATGTTATTTGAAACCAATGAGAACAAAGACACAACATACCAGAATCTCTGGGACACATTTAAAGCAGTATGTAGAGGGAAATTTATACCACTAAATGCCCACAAGAGAAAGCAGGAAAGACCTAAAATCGACACCCTAACATCACAATTAAAAGCACTAGACAAGCAAGAGGAAACACATTCAAAAGCTAGCAGAAGACCAGAAATAACTAAGATCAGAGCAAAACTGAAGGAGATAGAGACACAAAAAAACCCTTCAAAAAATCAATGAATCCAGGAGCTGGTTTTTTGAAAAGATAAACAAAATTGATAGACCGCTAGCAAGACTAATAAAGAAGAAAAGAGAGAAGAATCAAATAGACACAATAAAAAATGATAAAGGGGATATCACCACAGATCCCACAGAAATACAAACTACCATCAGAGAATACTATAAACAGCTCTATGCAAATAAACTAGAAAATCTAGAAGAAATGGATAAATTCCTGGACACATACACCCTCCCAAGACTAAACCAGGATGAAGTTGAATCTCTGAATAGACCAATAACAGGCTCTGAAATTGAGGCAATAATTAATAGCTTACCAACCAAGAAAAGTCCAGGACCAGATGGATTCACAGCCGAATTATACCTGAGGTACAATGAGGAGCTGGTCCAATTCCTTCTGAAACTATTCCAATCAATAGAAAAACAGGGAATCCTCCCTAACTCATTTTATGAAGCCAGCATCATCCTGATACCAAAGCCTGGCAGAGACACAACAAAAAAAGAGAATTTTAGACCAATACCTTGATGAACATTGATGCAAAAATCCTCAATAAAATACTGGCAAACCGAATCCAGCAGCACATTAGAAAACTTATCCACCATGATCAAGTTGGCTTCATTCCTGGGATGCAAGACTAGTTCAACATATGCAAATCAATAAACGTAATCCATCATATAAACAGAACCAACGACAAAAACAACATGATTATCTCAATAGATGCAGAAAAGGCCTCTGACAAAATTCAACAGCCTTTCATGCTAAAAACTCTCAATAAACTAGGTAATGATGGAATGTATCTCAAAACAATAGGAGCTACTTATGACAAACCCACAGCCAATATCATACTGAATGGGCAAAAACTGGAAGCATTCCCTGTGAAAACTGGCACAAGACAGGGATGCCCTCTCTCACCACTCCTATTCAACACAGTGTTGGAAGTTCTGGCCAGGGCAATCAGGCAAGAGAAAGAAATAAAGCATATTCAATTAGGAAAAGAGGAAGTCAAATTGTCCCTGTTTGCAGATGACATGATTGTATATTTAGAAAACCCCATCGTCTCAGCCCAAAATCTCCTTAAGCTGATAAGCAATTTCAGCAAAGTCTCAGGATACAAAATCAATGTGCAAAAATCACAAGCATTCCTATACACCAATAACAGACAAACAGAGAGCCAAATCATGAGTAAACTCCCATTCACAATTGCTACAAAGAGTATAAAATACCCAGGAATCCAACTTACAAGGGATGTGAAGGACTTCTTCAAGGAGAACTACAAACCACTGCTCAATGAAATAAAAGAGGACACAAACAAATGGAAGAACATTCTATGCTCATGGATAGGAAGAATCAATATCGTGAAAATGGCCATACTGCCCAAGGTAATTTATAGATTCAATGCCACCCCATCAAGCTACCAATGACTTTCTTCACAGAATTGGAAAAAACTACTTTAAAGTTCATATGGAACCAAAAAAGAGCCTGCATTGACAAGACAATCCTAAACAAAAAGAACAAAGCTGGAGGCATCACATTATCTGACTTCAAACTATACTACAAGGCTACATCAACCAAAACACCATGGTACTGGTACCAAAACAGAGAGATAGACCAACAGAAAAGAACAGAGCCAGCTGGGTGTGGTGGCTCACGCCTGTAATCCCAGCACTTTGGGAGGCCAAGGCGAGTGGATCACGAGGTCAGGAGATCGAGACCACGGTGAAACCCCATCTCTACTAAAAATACAAAAAATTAGCCGGGCGTGGTGGTGGGCTCCTGTAGTCTCAGCTACTCGGGAGGCTGAGGCAGGAGAATGGCGTGAACCCAGGAGGCGGAGTTGCAGTGAGCCGAGATTGCGCCACTGCACTCCAGCCTGGGTGACAGATCGAGACTCCGTCTCAAAAAACAAAACAAAACAAAACAAAAAGAACAGAGCCCTCAGAAATAATACCACACACCTACAACTATCTGATCTTTGACAACCCTGACAAAAACAAGAAATGGGGAAAGGATTCCCCATTTAAGAAATGGTGCTGGGAAAACTGGCTAGCCATATGTAGAAAGCTGAAACTGGATCCCTTCTTTACACCTTATACAAAAATTAATTCAAGTTGGATTAAAGACTTAAATGTTAGACCTAAAACCATAAAAACCCTGGAAGAAAACCTAGGCAATACCATTCAGGACATAGGCATGGGCAAGGACTTCATGACTAAAACACCAAAAGCAATAGCAACAAAAACCAAAATAGACAAATGAGATCTAATTAAACTAAAGAGCTTCTGCACAGCAAAACAAACTACCATCAGAGTGAACAGGTAACCTATAGAATGGGGAAAATTTTTGCAATCTACCCATCTGACAAAGGGCTATCCAGAATCTACAAAGAACTTACATTTACAAGAAAACAAACAATCCCATTAAAAATTGGGCAAATGATATGAACAGACACTTCTCAAAAGGAGACATTTATGCAGCCAACAGACACATGAAAAAATGCTCATCATCACTGGTCATCAAAGAAATGCAAATCAAAACCACAATGAGATACCATCTCACACCAATTAGAACGGCGATCATTAAAAAGTCGGGAAACAACAGGTGCTAGAGAGGATGTGGAGAAATAGGAATGCTTTTACACTGTTGGTGGGATTGTAAACTAGTTCAACCATTGTGGAAGACAGTGTGGCGATTCCTCAAGGATCTAGAACTAGAAATACCATTTTACCCAGCAATCCCATTACTGGGTATATATCCAAAGAATTATAAATCATGCTACTATAAAGACACATGCACACATATGTTTATTGTGGCACTATTCACGATAGCAAAAACTTGGAACCAACCTAAATGTCTATCAATGATAGACTGGATTAAGAAAATGTGGCACATATACACCATGGAATACTATGCAGCCATAAAAAAGGATGAGTTCATGTCCTTTGAAGGGACATGGATGAAGCTGGAAACCATCATCCTGAGAAAACTATCACAAAGGCAGAAAACCAAATACTGCATGCTGTCACTCATAGGTGGGAATTGAACAATGAGAACACTTGGACACAGGGCGGGGAACATCACACACAAGGGCCTGTCATGGGGTGGGGGCAGGGGAATGGATAGCATTAGGAGAAATACCTAATGTAAATGATGAGTTAATGGGTGCAGCAAACCAACATGGCACATGTATACCTATGTAACAAACCTGCACATTGTGCACATTTACCCTAGAACTTAAAGTATAATAATAATAAAAAAAAAAACCTTCAAAGGAATAAAAAAAAAGAATAGTATGCTCAGAATATTCTCCTTTTTTGTTAAAAAAAAAAATCTATGCAGGCTGGGTGCAGTGGTTCATGACTGTAATCCCAGTACTTTGGGAGGCCGAAGCAGGCAGATCATGAGGTCAGGAGATAGAGGCCAACATGGTGAAACCCCGTCTCTACTAAAAATACAAAAATTAGTTGGGTGCGGTGGCGCGTGCCTGTAATCCCAGCTACTCGAGAGGCTGAGGCAGGATAATTGCTTGAACCCAGGAGGCAGAGATTGCAGTGAGCCGAGATTGTGCCACTGCACTCCAGCCTGGCAACAGAGCAAGACTCTGTCTCAAAAAAAAAAAAAAGAAAATAAAAGAAAAAAATCAATGCATATGTAAAACAAGTCTTAAAGAACATTTGTTATCTGTGGAAGATAGAATTATGAAGGCGTTTTACAATATTATAGATATTTTTGCTCAAATTTTTATGACACCTCATGTGTATTTATTTATTGCATTATCAGAAAATAAAGACAAAACCCTTAAAAAACAAAAAAAAACACAACCAAAAACAAACAAACAAAAAGTAAAATCACACCATTCTAAGGGTAGCCCTCAACATAATGAAGACTGAATTTCCTAACAGTTAAAGGAACTTACGTTGAATATGAATTAGAAAAAAAGTAAAAATTTTCTCCTGCACCCCAGTCTGCAGATTCATACACCCAAAGTTAATTTGTTGATATTTTAATCTACGTCTAATTACAAACTGTGTTTATTATGAGACTATCAAAAAAACTGCTTTCCATCAACATGAAGGTGTTTTCTTTGAAGAGGATTACAAATACAAAGGGATTGACACGTTCATATTTATTTAGCAAATAATGATCTAATCCCTGGGTCAGCTGAAGCTAAGTAAGGAGAAGACTGTGTTCATAGGTGATGGAAGGTTGTTAGGCAGGACTCACAGTTGGATTCTAGGTTTCAGGGTGGGGACTACTGTACTGCCTTTCAGTCAGGCGGATCCCAAAGAACTGCTGCCTGGACGGGAATGGGAATATGGTCTGGCTGGGAGGATAGAAAGGTGCAGATGAAAGAAAATGTGATATGGGTTGCAGACTCAGGGCCTTGAGCACTGTTCTTTCTCATCTTTGTGGTGGGGGATTATGGGGTGGAAATGCACTCTCCCAGTCGGATCACATCCCACTACTCACCAGCGTTATATCCCGTCGCTGCTTCACATATATTATTTACCTGGCCCGGGTGGCATTTTACTTTGCATCCTTGATTGGGAGTCTCAGGGGCTACGAACAAACGTTTTATCCCCGGGTAGCCGGCGGGTGCGGAGCGAGTATTCGTGGGGCGGGATAAGTGCGGAAGTCGCTGCGCCCTCGTCCCTTCATCTCCGGGGGACGGCCACTCTCAGGGTTCCCGAGGAGCCCGCTCCGTGCACCTAGGCCCTAGGTCGGCTCCCAAGCCCTGGCCCGCCGCTACACCAGCGGTTTCTTACCCGCAAGTACAAATGTGACACAGACACCAGCTCCTCGTGCTCTTGGCTCCCAGGGTTTCTTTCACCGCGCCTCAGCACCTGCAGCTTCTCCACTCTTACAGCGCCCGCCGTCGTCAAGGCAACAGAGGGATGCCCGGTGACAGACTCGGCGCCGGCTTCCGGCGCCGTAAGAGAAGCGTCCGCGCGGGCGTTCTGGACCCGCAGAGTTCTCGGCGTTTCCGAAGCTCTTGGTGTGGCCGGGACCCGGGAGAAGGAGCAGGGCTGGTGGGGCTGCTGCAGCCGGTGAGTGTGTGCTGGCGCTGGGGGCTGGAACCTCCTAGGCCAGTCTCTGGGCGGTGCCGCAGGACCCTGCTCGCTGCGGCTCTGAGGCGGAAACAGGGGCTGGGGCCGAGCGCGGGCTGGAAGCTTTGGTCCCTGGAGTGTCGCTTCCAGTCTGGGGCCGAGGCGGTCGCCTGTGTAGACCCGGGATCCTCAAATAGAACGAATCCGGGACCCTGCAGAAATGAAGGGCATGTAGTGTAGAGGTTTTTCCTTTTTATTTAGAAAGGAATGAAAGACCGACAGTGCACCTGCTTGGATAGTAAGCACGTGACCCAAAACTTTGTTGGGGCTCTATGGGCAGGAATAAAGCTGGGTATTTGACCTCGCGCGAGGACGAGCGAGAATGTCAGAATGAGGGACTTGAGGGAAGACTGAAGAGAGAAAGGGAGCATCTTCTTCAGCATTTTCTCTCCCTCCTGGATGCAACCCTTCCTGTACGTGGTCATTGGCCTGGAGATGTTTACTGGAGTACTCCTCCACCGGCAGGGTTACTGGTGTCACTGTGCACCCAGCCCCCACGAGCTGAGTGATTCATCGCAGCCTTCGGATCCGGAAGGATGAGCAAACTCCTTAAGTATAATCGTGGTAGGATACTGACTTTAGTGCTCGAACTGGACTTAGGCCTTGGTGGTCTATCTCATCAATAAACATTCACTGGGTTCTTGGTTTAAGGGGTTTGAGAAGCCTTGCCACCTCCCAGCGTTTATTATTATTTTTTTCTTTTGCCCCAACCTTTAGCCTCTGGGCCATTTGTAATACATATTTAATTTTTTGACACAGGAAATAATCATGGTGCTCAACAGTTTGGATAAGATGATTCAACTCCAGAAAAACACTGCCAACATCAGGAATATTTGTGTTTTGGCTCATGTTGACCGTGGTAAGAATACTTTTTAAATGGCTTATTTTGATAAATAAGGGAGGTGTGTCTCTGTATGCCTCAGTGGAGTGAAGCTGTGGGCAGCTGAGAGTGGTGTTTGCTAAGAAGCAAGTCTTTCCTTTAAAAGTTTTCTGTGATGTTAGGGAAGCCTGCTTTGCTATAAGGCATTTGAAATGAACACGGTTACCTAGTGAGTAGCATTCTTCTATATATTATGTCATGTTGTTTTTTAAACCAGAACTTGAATTTTTTGTTTTCGAAATGGCTTTACGTATAAAATGTCTGTAGCCTTAACATAACGTCTTTAGAGTCTGTGGTATGCAATCCTGTTTAATTCATCAGATATTTATCAAACGTCTGTTAAGTTCAAGATATTTTGCCAAGTATGTCAGAACGTGGAGATTTATGAGTAGGGCACCAGCCCAGCTGTAGAGGAGGTTTTTTTTGTTGGGGGAGGACGGAATTTCCCTCTTGTTGCCCAGGCTGGAGCTGTAGAGGAGGATTTAAGGGGGAGCAGAGGAAAATGAGACAAACATGAGAAAAAAGTAGACTCTAATGTCGGGAGAACTAGAGGATTGAGAAATGAGGGATTAAGAAAAGGCCTCACAACATAATTAATATTAGAGATGACACTTGAAGGTGGCTCAAGATGACAAATGGAGATAAACATTACAAGTGGGAATGTGTCATCAAGGGGTGAAGGAAATGTAAGTGGTCAAAGCCCAGCATCTGGGAAAGGCAGAGATAGCCAACGCGTGGTGTGTGTGCTTCTGACCGATACTGCTGTAACCCCATAGCGCTCCCTCGTGCTAAGCCTCCTCTTCAAACCCCTTCGTAGTTTAGGTAGCCATAGCAAAGTGATTGGGATGGGCATGTGAAATAAAGTCTATTTACCATCCTAAAGGTGAAGGACTAGTCGGCGAGGTGAAGAAGCAGGCTGAGTCATATTTCATAGGAACTAGGCTAAGAGTTAAGTGCTCCAGCTCTGAAGTTAGACAACCTGAGTTCAGATCTCCATTTTCAAGTTACGTACTTTGCCTTCCTGAGCTTCATTATACAGCATCTGTAAAACAGGATGAAAACTATACCCACTTTATAGGCTATAGGATTAAATGTGATAATAATGAGAGGGAACATAAATGCTTCACCATGAAAACGATTATTAACGTCTACTATTAGGCAGTAGGGAACCTTTGAGGGGGAACAAATGCTTCACCATGAAAACGATTATTAACGTCTACTATTAGGCAGTAGGGAACCTTTGAGGGGAAACATGGAGCAGGACTGATGTAATCAAATAAAACATGAGAAAGATTAGACTGGTGGACATGCTTAGGATGGATCCAAAGTCAGAGGATAGGTGGCTGTTGTCATTGATAGAAGAGCTGAAGTGATGTGAGTATGGAAACTGAAAGACAGACAGATAGTGGATCACTTTACAAGTGAAGCCAGCTGAGAATGAGTTTTAGTACAAATCCAGTGAGTAACCCCTGCCTCCATGAGTTTTTATAATTTTACTGCTCACATTTTGAGAATGTGAAGGCTGATAAAAGGGTTTTTTTTCTTTATGAATTTAATCAAGTGGAAAGTCAGTGGGGTGTAACAAATTACTTTAAATGTATTGTTTAAAATTATGTTAAACTGGTACTATCCTAGAAAACCTGTGATTCATTCAACAAGTATTTTCTGAAGGTCTTCTATATGACAAAGCATTGTTCTGGTCCTAGGGATACCGCTGTGAGTAAAGCAAAGTTCCTGCTTGCTTGATAATTATTTCCTAGGGAAGTATATACTTGATGTACTTAGAATAAATTCGGCTTTATTGGGTTGCAGGAAAGTGATGCTCTAGGATTATATGCTAATACATATTTACATGGCAGACAGATAACACAGTGTTAAATATCTTCAGTTCTCCTACTCATTGGTCTCTGGTTTGAACTATACAGAGATTGCATAGCTTTGCTGAAGTTCCTAAAGTGCAATAAAGACTTATCTTGAAGGAAAAAACCCTCATTTGCTTACTCCAACCCAGTTGTAGTAATTATGCATACCCATAACATTCTTTAAACAGAATCACCTGTTTATACCACACAAAATTGCATAGAGTTTAGTTGTATGTAGTCTGTTTAATAAAGGTAACTATAAATATATACAAAGATTCTTTTGCTATAAAGTAGATTCCTATGTTTAGATTTGGATACTAGGTTTCATTGGTTGTTATAGTTTATGGCCTCCACGGGCTATATTACAAACAGTAAGAGATATGGGTAAAGTTCCTGAATTTCTTTGATAAATAAGTGTTTTCTTGAGACAGTTTAACTAGCAAATTCCAGCTGAGGCCATGCATGGGGAAGTATGGCAGAAGAGTATGTTCAATTGTTTATTGATGATGTTTTACCCAGTATGCGTTTCAGAGAAAAAAAAATTACTGCATTTTGTCATTCTGTGCTGTCAGGGGCTTAATTTGATAAACATGGTCATGGTTCTGGATATGGGATAATTGATGTAGTAATTGTGATAAACTTGATCAAATTCTTAGAGGACAAATTATAGTAACTGTGTAAAACTCATCAGGTATTCTATATTTTGATTGGTTTGGTGGTTTGCCCTATCACGGAAAAGTGTGTTTTTCTCTGTATAAAGTCTGCCTCAATTTAAGAAAAATTCTCTACTTTAAGAAAAGTTGCTTGACAACTTTCAGATGAGGTTGATTAGATCCACAGGGTTGGAGATAAGATTCCAGCATTAGAGAGTGCTAGCATCTGTGTCCTTCCAGATGATAGTCTGTTCAAGAGTCTAATCAAACTCTTTTGTCTTTTTCACCTAGCATAGGTAAATAGAAAATCTTTACTAAACCAATTGTTATGACCAGATTTTAAATCTATAGGTATGATCCATCCCATGACCCCTTTTTAAAAAGACATAGATTTGAATCGATGTTGCTGTTTTAACAGGAAAAACTACTCTGGCTGACTGTCTTATATCTAGCAATGGAATCATCTCCAGCCACCTAGCAGGCAAGGTATGTTATTATTTTATAAATACTCGTTGCATTTCAGTATTAGCTGTCAACAATGTGATGAACTATTTTCTGTGTTCTTTAGCGATCCAAAAGGGTATAAAATATAGTTCTTGCATATAAAAGCTGCCAATCCATTTTGCAAGATAAAATTGCTGGCAAGAAAAACAGTTACTTCTATATTGTTTGTATTGCTTTATATTAATATTTTGTAAGTGCAAAAGTGAGTTTTTGCAACAAGCAAATGATACCCAATTGTGGAAGATTTCACAGCAAAAGATTCTTTGTAGGTGAACGAATTGGGTGGTTTGAGGAGAAGACAGAAAAGCTATCAGGTGGTGGGAAATAACATGGATAAAGGCTAATTTGTGTGTTGTGCTTTGAGTGGAGCATTTGCCTAGAGACTAATGAGAGAGAAAACACACTGGCAGGGAGAATGTATAAGATGATAGAAGACCTTAAAAGTTAACCTAAGTATCAAAGGAAAGCTGCTTATGCCTGAAGATTGTGATGAAAATAATGAAAAGAATGGGTTTTTTGGTTTTTGTTTTTGAGACAGGATCTCACTCTGTTGCCCAGGCTAGAGTGCAGTGGTGTGATCATGCACGGCTCACTGCAACCTCGCCCTCTTGAGCTCAGGTGATCCTCCCACCTCAGCCTCTCGGGTACTAGGGACTACAGGTGCACGCCACCACACCTGGCTAATTTTTTTTGTAGAGACAGGGTTCTGCCATGTTCCCCCAGGCTTATCTTGAACTCCTGGGCTCAAGCAATCCTCCTGCCTTGACTTCCTAAAGCGCTGGAATTACAGGTGTCAGCCACCATACATAGCCTGAAAATAGTGTTTGAGGAGATAAAGAGATCTTTATTTGTAGCTATGAGTTGAAAGGGCTTGGAATAATTTACTTGGCAGTAGAAAAATAAAAATATATTCATTTCTATAATGAATTTAGGATATGAACAACAGGGTTTATCAGGTGACAGAGAATAGAGAGAAGAGGAGATGGAGAAGCAAAATTGAATCCACAGAGTAGATCCAGTAGACTTGAAGGTCGATTTGGGAATTGATGTGTGGGTTGGGAGGGAAGCTGGCCCAAGATACTATCTAGAGGAGGCTGAAAAAAACTAGGTTGAGTGAAATAATGAAATGCTTATATTTTCCCCACTTGAGAATTTAGAGAAAGTATAATAACTCTAAAGTAGATGAAAGGAAATAATAAAGCATGAATTACTGAAATAGTAAACAGACATTTTATAGAAAGGATCAGTGAAGCCACAGTTTGTTTTTGGATAAGATTAACATAACTAATGAAGAGTGAACCCTAATGTGAACTATGGACTTTAATTAATCATAATGCATCCATATTGGTTCATCAGTTGTAACAAATGTATCACATTATATACTAATACAATATAGATATAATGGGGAAACTATGTGTTGGTGGGAAGAGAGAGTATGTGGGAAACTTCAGTCGATTCTTCCGTGAACTTAAAGTTGCTCTAAAAATATAAAGTTTATTAATGTAAACAATTACTAGCAATATAGACAATTTTTGATTGTCTTGACTAGAAAACTTTTTTGTTTTGCTTTTCATTGACATTGTTGAGGAACATTTGACACTTTTGACCTGCTAATGTTCCCAATGTGGCTCACTGTACTTTGGACATATACAAAGCATAGTATATATAAATAAATACTTTTGAATGAATGACTTTAAAGAAGGGTAACACAACTGGCAAAACACCAGCAAGATGATCAAGAAGAAAAGAGAGGAGGCAGAAATAAGTGATACCCAGAAAGAAAAATGCTACAGAAGTGAATACGGTAATAATAGGATATAATGAACAACTTTATGCCAGTAAACTTAAAAGTGCTAAAATGGAAAAATGTCTGGAAAACATAACTTGCTAAAGTGGAGTCAAGAAGAAATAGGAAACTTGAATTATTCTATAGTCATTTAAGAAATTGAATTGGCTGTTAAAAATCTTTCCATAAAGAAAAGACCCAGATGGTTTAACTCTCTAGTTCTGCCAAACATTCAAAGAACAAATAATTTCAGTCCTACTTAAACCGTTGCAAAATATAGCAGAGAAAAACCCAACAATCGGCAGTATTCTCCAAATCATATGAAGATAGCATAACTTTGATACCAAAAGTCTGTTAAGGATAATACAAGACAGGAGAATTGCATACCAACCTTGTGATTATGGATGCAAAAATTATCATCCTCGTTAACAAACAGAATTCAGCATAGTATAAAAAGATGATTATTCATATCCAAATCGAGTTTATCCCAAGGAATTCAAGATTGGTTTAACATGTAATTTCACTATATTAACGGATTAAAGGAAGAAAATCATGATCATGTCAACAGATATAGAAGACATAGTAAAATTCAATATCTATTGTGATAAAACCTCTTTGCAATGTAGTTACAGAAGAGAACCTCTGTAATCTGATGTGGGATATTTGTAAAAAACCTACAATGAAGATTGAGCTTAATGATGAAGTGTTAAAACTTTTCTATTCATAGCCAGGAATAAGGCAAGTATGGCCGTCACACCCTTCTGCTCATTGTGTTATAACTTCTACTTTACATTGTACTGGAGGTTCTAGTTGCAGTGATAAAGCTGGAAAGAAAAATTAAAAGTGTGAATTTTGGACAGGAAGAAGAAATGTAGATAAATTGCTAGGATATTAGTAACAATTTGGCAGGTTTCAGGATATGAAAACCATTGAAAAGAATACATGAGCAATAAATAGATAATATACAGAAATTTAAATACATTAAACCATTTAAATAGCATAAAAAATGTACCTGTGCTGGGCATGGTGGCTCAGGCCTATAATCCCAGCTACTTAGGAAGCTGAGGCAGGACAATTGCATGAACCCAGGAGTTTGAGGCTGCAGTGAGCTGTGACAGCAACTGCACTCCAGCCTGGTGGATAGCACAAGACCCCATCTCTTCAAAAACAACAAAAACAACAACAATAACAACAAAACCTATAAGATATTGGAGAAAACTAAGACGTATTATGAATGTATTGATGTATTGTAACCTGTGGCCTGGAATCGGCTGAGGCATGAAATTGACTGATGGCTCAGAATAGTAGGCCTAGAATAGTAGGCTGGCATTTCAGATCTGTGGGAAAAAGATGAACCTTTCAAATGGTTCTTGGGCAATTGGTTATCCATGTGGAAAAAAAAATTGGACCTCTACTTAACACCACACACAAATCAATTGCACAGTTAAGATACTTATATTTAAAAGCAAAACTGTAAAGCTTTTAGAAAATAATATGGGCTAATATTTTTATGACCTTAAAGGAAGATTTCTTAAGACAAAAATGTGCAAACAATTTTATGAAAGGTTAATAAACTACTTAAAATTAAGAACATATTTATCAAAGATGCCAGAAAGAAATGGAAAAAACAAGCCTGGTAACTGTGAAAAATATTAATAACACACATATAATTGACAAAGGACTAATATTCAGAGATTATAAATAACTCCTATCCAAAACAAAATAAATCTTTATTACAACCAGTAGAAAGGTGGACAAAAGCCTTATATAGGCAGTTCACAGAAAAGGAATGTTAAATGGCCAATACAAGAAACTTATAAAGGGATACTTAATCCCATTAATAATAGGGGAAATGTAAATTAAAACCATGAGATGCTATTTATCACCCATCTTAAAAAATAAAGTCCAGCAATATCAGCTGTTGAAGTTATGTATCAAAAAAAGCACTATTCCACCGTGGATCAGTCCAACTATTTGGAAAATAATTTGGAAATATCAAGTTAGGTTGAGGATGTGCAGATTTAATAACTCAGAAATTCTACTGGTAGGGAGTGTACAAGAGACCAACAACTGTTCATATCAGCACAGTAATAGTTACAAAAAACTGGAATTGGTCTCCATGTCCATCAGTAATGCAATGGACGAATGGGTCTGGTAGATTTGTGAGGTGAAGTCCTACGGTAATAAAAATGAATGAATTACATCAATATGGCTGAATCTCAGGAAAACAATATTGAACAAATAAAACATGACAGTATAATATATTAAGTATGATTCTTATAGAAGGCTTAAAACTTGCCACTCTACATGATATATTGCTTAGTGACACACTCATTTTTAAAAATTATAAAGAAAATAAGGAAATGAACAAGATAAAATTCAAGATAGTGGTTACCTATAAGCCAGGAGCACAGGGTACTTCAAAAGTAACAAACTTTTTTTTCCTTTTGAAATGGGATGGTGCATACACAGGGGTTCATTGTGTTGTTATTTATGTATTACACATGTTTCATACCAACTCAGTGCTTAAAAACGTACATTATAGAAGACTGACAAGGGACTGAGACTTTTTGAAGGAAGGACTGATGGAGAGGTTGGAGAGGTGAAGGGAAACCAGCAGTGGGATCTGAGGAGAGATGGAGGTAAATTAAGAGGTTTCAGACTCTTGGAAGAATTTCACATATGCATGTAACACACATGCACACAAAGGGTAACTGTCATGTTGCACTGGAATCAAGAAAAATGAGGATTGAGAATGATTATTGCGTTTGGCCAGAGGTCATTGATAGCTTTTAGGACTTTGATTTTGCCAGAGCTGTGGAAATGGAAGCCTTTCTGAAAATTTCAGAATTAATGTGGATGAATAAATGTGGCAGTTCATATCAACCGATAATTCTTGGTGCTTTTGAATGAAAGAAAGGAGAAAATAGACAGGTTAAGAATTTTTCAAAAGTTTGACAGTGGAGAGAATGGAGGAAGGGTAAGGGAAAATCATTCTGGAGAAAGGAGGAGGAGGTTAGTCTGGTGCTTAGGGCTAAGGAGTTGGAAAGGGATGGGATCTTCATTTAAACGACACCACTGTCAGTACTGATGCACTGCAAGGCCTAGAAAATGAGATGTAGACACTCATTGGTGGGTATCACTGGGAAAATTATCAATTAAATGGTCATATTACAAATATTTTCTACTGTATTCTTTTTTAAAAAAAGATATATTCAAAATCTGTTAATTTGGGAAAGGGGTAAAGACACTTCTCTTGCCTCTAGAGACCTCTGTTTCAGTCTCTGCTCAGAATTTGTCAAACAGCTTATAAATAGGAAAAGAATGGCTGTGTTATTGATGTTTAGAAAGAATTCCCCCAAATGCTACTGTCTGTAAGTTGTTCTTGACCTGCCCCATCATTCATGGCTGATAGTTGGATGAGCAACACTCTGGGGAGGGTATGCAGTAGTTGAATACATTTATGAGTTCCTAGTGGTAATGTTTTTCATTTGTCATGTTCCCTTCCCGCCAACTAACTTCACTTCTCCATCCCCTCATCATCTTTAAAAAAAGAGAGAGGGCCAGGCGAGGTGGCTAATGCCTGTAATGCCAGTACTTTGGGAGACTGAGGTGGGTGGATCACCTGAGGTCAGGAGTTCAAGACCAGCCTGACCAACACGGTGAAACCCTGTCTCTACTAAAAATACAAAAATTAGCCAGGTGTAGTGGCACATGCCTGTAATCTCTGCTACTTGGGAGGCTGAGGCAGGAGAATCACTTGAACCTGGGAAGCAGAGGTTGCAGTGAGCCGAGATTGCGCTACTGCACTCCAGTCTGGACAGCAGCATAAGACTCTGTCTCAAAAAAAAAAAAAAAAAAAAAAAAAAAAGAGGCGCTGTATAGTTTAAAATTTAAGTATTGCCTGGGCATGGTGGTTCACATCTGTTATCTCAGCTCTTTGGGAGGCCAAGGTGGGAGGATCACTTGAGGCTAGGAGTTCGAGACTAGTGCAGGCCACATAGCGAGACCCCGTCGCTACAAAAATAAATAAAAATAAAAAATTTAAGTATTTAAAACAAAAATCTAAATTAGCAAATTTTAATGTTACATTTTAATTCTTTGGGAAGTGAAGATGCATATGTTGCATTTTTCCAGTTAAGGTACATGGACAGCAGAGAAGATGAACAGATCCGAGGGATCACTATGAAATCCAGTGCCATTTCCCTACATTATGCAACAGGTAAGTCAGTCTGTTTTAAAGAAACACAGCTTTGCATCTTTCATGTCCTCCTCTGTCTTTCTGAATTAATTGCATGCCTCAGTTTCTTTGCTTATATTCCACATATTTTATTCTGGCGTCTCCACATGACCTGTTGTCAGAGTTAGGCTGTCCAGGCTTGGATGCAGATGGAAACCTCTGACTGGTTTGAGGGCAGAAGAACTGGCAATTCACACCTGCCCCCTCCACCAGGTGATTATATGGATTCCTTCACAAGGAAAGTCAGGAGCCCTAGGACTTTAGCTGGTTCAGCCTTTCTATTCTGCCTCATGGCCTGGCCTGCATGTTAGATTTGGAGTCTTATTTACTTAAAAGTAGACTGCCATGATCAGTACCAGCTTGCTATCCTCAAATGAGGATGCTACTTTGATAGTAACACTTCTAGGAATTTATCTGACAGAAATATTCATGTAAGTGTGTGAGATACATGTCACTGATATTCACTAAAAAGTTTGTATTCGTGAAAAAAATACCAACAACCTGAATGTCAATAGGAGAATGGTTCAATAAACTGATACATCCAAGCGGTGAAATACTGTGCAGCTGTTAAAACAAATGTTTAATATATATGTTATTGTACAGGGGAAAATGGTATGTTCAGAGACAGAAAACAAATTGCAGAGTATTTTTGTAAGATATGAATGTGTTTGGATAATAAAAATATATTATATATGCAGATAAAGGTGTCTGGAAGGATACATACCAAACCCTTAACAGTAGCTCTCTGCAGGGGCTATGATTATGGAAAACTTGCACTTTTCAAAATATTTATTTTTGTGGTATTTGAAAATTTTACACAAAATGTATATTTTTGTAATTAGAAGAAAATAATAAAGATAAATTTTATTTCCCTAATGGACTTACCTGTGGTTCATCCTTCACAAGTGTCATATCTTTGGCACTGCCACCAAAAGATGTACTCTGTGGGGCATGGCTTTTGTACCAAACCAGTTTTGAAGCTCTTAGGCACATGAATTCTCAATGTTTAATGTTTAAAGTAACACTTCATTTTTTAAAAAAAACAATTCTCACATTTTAAAGGGTATGTTCTCATCCTGTGATCCAGAGAATGGGGTTGAGGGTCTATTCATTTCTTATCTCATTTTATAGACTTCAAGAGATTTGAAGGCTGCTTTCTTCTTTACTCAGATTATTAGTGTGCTTTTATTTGAAGATTCCTCTGGGGTCAGTTTTAGTTTTTCTGCTCTATACTTTGTCTATAGTCCCCCTCTCCTGACCCCTTTAACCACTTTATTAAGGTTTAATTTATATACCATAAAATTCACCTGTTCCAATTCACATTTGTCTTTCTGGTGTAGTATTGTAGGAGAATTTGCTATAGGACCCTGGGAATTGAGTGGTCTGAACTCTGTTTGGTTGAGCTCTGTGACCCTGGCTGCTCACAGATTATTTTAGGTACCCTTTTTTTTTTTTTTTTTGAGACAGAGTCTTGCTCTGTTGCCCAGGCTGGAGTGCAGTGGTGCAGTCTTGGCTCACTGCAACCTCCATCTCCCAGATTCACACCATTCTCCTGCCTCAGCCTCCCAAACAGCTGGGACTACAGGCACCCGCCACCATGCCTGGCTAATTTTTTTTTTTTTTTGTATTTTTAGTAGTGTCGGGGTTTCACCATGTTAGCCAGGATGGTCTCGATCTCCTGACCTCATGATCCACCCGCCTCGGCCTCCCAAAGTGCTGGGATTACAGGCGTGAGCCACCGCACCCGGCTCACTTTTTTTTTTTTTTTTTTTTGCTCTGTCACCTAGGCTGGAATGCAGTGGCGCAGTCTCTGCACGCTAAAGCCTCTGCCTCCTGGGTTCCAGTGATTCTCCTGCCTCAGCCTCCTGGGTAGCTGGGATTACAGGTGCATGCCACCACGCCTAGCTAATTTTTGTATTTTTAGTAGAGATGGGGTTTCACCATGTTGTCCACGCTGGTCTCGAACTCCTGACCTCAGGTGATCTGCCCGACTTGGCCTCCCAAAGTGCTGGGATTACAGTCGGGAGCCACTGCACCTGGCCAGGTATGCTTTCTTGATTGCACAGACCAGAGACAAGCTAGCTTGGGTTGGGGTGAGATAGCTTATTGAAAGCATATGTGTGAAATGAGATTGGAAATAATATTCATGAAAATGGAAAAACAGGAGTCTTATTGGAGTGACGTCTCATAAAAATTGGAGCCAGATTTTCATTCTGGATCCAAGATAGCTCTAGAGACCACATCAGTAAAAGTTTATGGATCCTGCCTCTGGAACTCCACTGTTGTCCTTGGATTTGGGTGTCTGTTTGTATCTCCACTATTATCCTGTATGTCTTTTCTCTGTCTCATAGCTTTTGCCTACTCTCATGTCTTCATCTTTGTACATTCACCTTGCCCTGACTTCTTACCCTATTATCCTGTCTGTTTTCACCTTATTTCTGTTGCCTACTGCTTCAATCTCTTGTGTTTCTGAGCACACAGGCTCAAGAGCAGGATGCGGCTCTGCTTATCTTTTCATGCCAGCCCATCACAGAGGTTGCACCTATGGATTGGCTGCGCTTGGGTTGGTTAGTCACCTCCTAATCCAATCAGTGGTGATCGGAGTGGAGTCACAAAGTGTCAAACATGTTTCTTGTGAGCATGGGATTACTGCCTAGAAGGGAATTTGGGCCGAGCAGTTATCACACTTGACAGTGCAGAGCCTTATGGGGATAGAAGTTAGGAATGTTGACTGGGACATATCCTCTCAGAGCACTTGAGAGATGAGATATGTTTTTATCTGTATCTTAGTACTGATTCTCCAGAATGGGGTATTTCCTGTTCTGAAGGTGGGACGTCTGAAGGGGAACCTAGATGGGAGAAAAAGAGGGAAACCTGATGATTGAAGAAACTCCACAGGTGACTTTTATTTATACCATGCCTTCCCCTCCTTCTCACCCACTTTGAATCCCCTCTTATTTGAGAATCTGTGTACTAAATGCAAGTTAAACTCTTTCTCTGGTTCTCTTAATTTAACGAGCTTTCAAAAGTATTTTCAAATATTTATTTGGGTTGAAATATAGGGTCTTATTCTAGTTTAAGGTAAACAGATAAATCCTGCACATTATAGAAGTGATGCTGAAAACCATCAAGGTCATACACTATCTCAGCATTTTCCAGGAACCTAATTATTCTTTGAGAAAATGGAGCCTCTATTATCTTGACGTTTGTGACCAAAATTTGCTACAAATGTTGGGATCATATTATTAAATCTTGTTATTTGCCTGTTTCTTACCTCTCTTTGTGTCCTACCCACAAGAATACCACACATTTATCTTGTTAGGAAGTATTCCTAACAATATACGTTCTGTAAAATATCCTAAGGGGATGTAATGTCTTTGAATCCTTTAGCCTAGAATTGAGATATAGAAGACAGAAATAGATTCACATGGGTTAATAATTTGAAATTCATCAAAAGGAATACTGCTGTCATTTCTACTGTATAGCCATTTTTTATACCTGAGCAAATACTGCTGTTGCTGAACTTTTGAAGTTTTTATCTAATTCATCTTTTAAAATATTTTAAATAAATTTACAAGTTTATATACATACATACACACGTGTATATATATATTGCATATATAGTATATATTGTGTATATGTATATCTATTTCAATTTATATATATATACACATATATTTCAATTTTTTTGTAGAGATGAGATCTTGCTATGTTGCCCAGACTGGTCTCAACCTCCTGGATGCAAGCCTTGTACCCATTTCCTAAAGTTTTGGGATTACAAGTGTGAGCCACCATACCTGGCCCAAGTTCATATTTACTATAGAAAATTTAGTATGTGTTATAGAATATACAGTAAAACACAAAAATGGAAGAGAAATCACTGTCAGTTTACCGCCAGTTATTTTATATTTTCAATTTTTATATTTAATGCAAGTTGTATGTGTATGCACACACTGTGAGGTAAATATCTGACTTTATTTCCCCCGCAAATAGCTTACTTATTCTAACACCTGTCAGATGTGATTATTAAGTACAATATTATTGCTGACATGGTGTTGACACCTCTGCATAAGTGAGGCAGTTTGGGTGGGGCTGTTAAGGACTAGAGAGTGAATTATGCCCACTCATGGAATACCTCCCCCAATTCCTGGATAAAGGCCAGTATCATTCAGCTCCACTTGATTGATTGATACCCTATGGGAATTTTTTTTTTTTTCAAGAAAAGTTGGCATCAAGATTTTTGGTAAAATCTTCCAAGTTTCAAAATGACGGCAACTTATTTAAAAATTGTAAAACACCATGTAGAACACACTGCAGTGGGCTTTAGCTTATGAGCTTTTAGTTAGTAACCTCAGGCATATAGTCTAGCTAATAGACTAGTGGTACACTTGGGATTCACCCAAGAGTCAGCCATATGCAGTGAGGTTGTCCTCTAAACGTGGAGACCAAGGATATAGCAGCCTTCTGCAAAGAGGTCCATATGCAAGTTGATCACTTTGTAAATACCTCTGTTAGGGTTAGTGGTTGTGGGCAGAAGGAGGATTTACGCATGTGTTGATTTCAGCTCTGTGGCTCTCTGGTTTTATACTCCAAAGACTAGGCCATGGAGACACTGACTCATGCCATCTAATTACAGACAAGGCCAGCATGTAGCAGAAAGTCATCTCTTATTCAGAGGCAGTAGCTTCCCTTTCCTTCTGGCTGTGTGAATGTTTACCCATGGTCCTAACTTGCCTTATTCTTTCCAGAATGAGGCTGGGAGGGAAGAGTTCCATTACCCCTCATTTGACTGAAGGGTAGATTTTGTTCTCGTCAGACAATGAATGCTTTACTTTGTGAAGTATTCAGTTGATGCCAGGCGTAAGAAACTAGGTACACGATAGTTCACTTCTGAGCTAGGTGTCCCGTATGCCTGATTTTGTTTTATCTTCACAGCAACTCTGTGATGGGTATTACTCTGATTTTACACATGTGCAAAAATGGAGTTCAGAGAGGTGAAGACACTTTCCCAAGGACAGAGTAATTTCTAGCATGTGGTAGTAGTCCTAGAACCCACATTTCCAGCGTATTCACTTGGACCATTAGTCTCTTGGAAGTCAGGCCACAACTAAAGGAAATTCCTCCTGAGGCTTGAGTATCTCCTTTCCACTAGGGATTGCTATGGACGTCTTGTGGCCAACACTACCTACATCCCTGTGGTCTTCAGTCACTGCCCACGATGCAAGCCACATGATCTGGCCCTCTTATAGTCTCTTCCCCATGTTTCTCTGTGATTCTGTCAGCCTCTTTCAATCTCCCATTATTCCCCTCCTTACCAAAACTTACTGTGAAAACATTCCAAGGGAAACAAACATCGCTACATCCTCAATGTCTTTTTATTGACGTTTCCCCCTTCTGCCTGGCTGTCTTCTGATGACATTGCCTGCCTTGTACCTTTTCCAAGTGAATGCTACTCCTTCGTTCATGTTCCACGTATCTCTGGGTTAGCATATGGGATTGCCATTCTTTTTGTTCCCAGATCTGATTACAAAAGTTAATTCTTCTACCCTTGTTTTCAAACTTCTCCTTTCAAGACTCAGACCATCCAATTATTCACCTTTCCAGTCATTGTCAGCTCCTGGTGATGTTTCCTGTTCATTAGTGACTTTGGCACCCAGCCTCATAATTGTTCTTTTCACCTGAATCTTCTAAGGTGGCTTTTACCATCCCTGAGAATGACTTCTTCAACAGCTTATCCTCTCAACAACATTGGTTCTCCACTTCACCTACCCATTGTCATGACTACTTTCTGGATTTTAGCATCACCTTGAGCTATTCATCTTTGACATTTCAAATTTAAATACTTCCTTCTCTACAATCTTTGATTCTCCCAGCTTTCTTTCTTTCACCTGACTAATGAGTTACCCATTCTTTGACTTCATAATGTTCTCTAGTTTTTTGACTCCCATCAGCCTCTTTCTTCATTCACTTCCTGCCTCATACAGCCCAGATTTGTCATTTCACTGACAGTCTTCCCAGCATCTTCAGTCTCTTTGGTTCTTGACTTTCTGTCATATTTTTCCCAATAAAACTTTAACCCTTGATAAAGTTAATTCTCTACACGTCTTCATCCTTGTATTTGGGCTAGGTTCTCAAGTGGTCCTCCAGACTGCTGGCAGATTTCCCATCTCTCTCTCTATTAGGTCTTGCTTACTCTTCCCAGCAGCTATTTTAAACCTTCTGGTCTCCTTCAGCCTACCTGTCATCCCCTCCTCCACAATCTCAGCAGACATTCTTACTTTCTATTTCACAGAAAAGAGAAGAACTCTCACCTGCTTGCCACTGTACCTCAAAACGTAATGGTATGGGCATTTTTGTTTGCCTCCTGTCACTGGCAAAAACCTGTGCTCTGGACTTACCTTCTGTTTATGATCTTTTCTTCAGTATCTTCCACCTGTCCCTCTGTACTGGCTTGTAACCATCAGCTTTTAATCATGCTCAAGTCTGTCTTGTCTTAAAAAATACATAAATCCTTCTTTCAGCCCCACATTCCTCTGCATGTTTCCTCTTCCCGCTTCTTAGTCAAAGTTATACTACAATTACTCTCTCAATTACTCTGATGATATGACCCGCACCTTATACTAATGACGTGCATTAGCAGTGTGAAATTGATCCTTGATCTATGACTCTCCAGGGTAATGCTAGGCATAGAGATATTATAAGTAAGTGTCAACCTTTTTTTTACTCCAGGGTTTCTTATTCTGGTTCTTATTCTTATACCCTTCCAAGCAAAACTGCCAATGATCAAAGGAATCAAGACAATGTGGATGTGTAATTATTAGATTTACTATCTACACAGCAGGCCTTCAAAGGTGGAGAAGTTCTCAGTGATGTCAGAGTTCAGGGTGTGGCCACAGTACTGGGTGGCAGGTGTGGACTGGCATCATACTGAGAAAAACCAAAAGCGGGTGAGGCCAAATGTAATCAGAAGTGCTCTGTACGTGGTCTAGTTTCATGTTGGAGGAAGGTCTGGAGAGGTCTTCGGGTTGGGTTTGTGCAGCAAAAGAAAACTTAATCAGTTTGCTATTCATAGTTGTTTCTAGATCATTTTTCCTCTCATTTTCCTAACCCCTGTCACTTTTTTTTTTTTTTTTTAAGACAAGAGTCTCATTCTATCACCCAGGCTGGAGTGCAGTGGTGATCATAGCTCACTGCAGCCCAGAACTTCTAGACTCAAGCAGTCCTCCTGCCTCAGCCTCCCAAGTAGCTAAGACTACAGGCATGTGCCACCATGCCTGGCTAATTTTTTAAATTTCTTATAGAGATGACGGTCTTGTTATGTTGTCCAGGCTGGTCTTGGCTCAAGTGATCCTCCTGTTTTGGCCTTCCAAAGCACTTGGATTATTGGTGTGAGCCACTGTGCCTGACCCCATCTCAGTTTTGACACATACCATCAGAGTCAACCACCCTTCACCTCTCCTTGTGGCAGTCTTCTCATAAAGATAGTTATCCTGTTACCTGTATCAGCTTTATAGTTGTGCTTTACAATTCTGTCAAATAAGCCATATTAGTTGATTTATAACTTACAAAGTTATACATTGATTTAAAATGTAAAAACATAGTATTAAGATATAAAAGGTAACCAGGTTCAGTGGCTCACATCTGTAATCCCGGCACTTTGGGAGACCGAGGCAGAAGGATCACTTAAGGACAGGAGTTTGAGACCTGCCGGGGCAACACAGTGAAACCCCATCTCTACAAAAAATAAAATAAAAATTACCCTTGTGTGCCTGCAGTCCCTGCTACTCTGGAGGCTGAGGCAGGAGGATCGCTTGAGCCCAGGAGTTTGAGGCTGCAGTGAGCTATGATTGTGCCACTGCATCCAGCCTGAATGTTACAGTGAAACCCCGTATCTTAAAAAAAATTAAAAAATAAAAGTGGTATTTCCTGTGGAGGGAGACTTTTGGTTACAGTTGGTGTACAACTTATGTATATAATAGTTATAAGTTCATACATAAGGAATTTAGGAACATGTCTTCAGATAACTCAGGTTCTGCCTGTATTTCTGTTATTTTCGTTGTCAGGCAAAATACTCTACCATACACTGAAACATAAAGGACACTTTCAGGAGGTTCAGATCTTCTTCCATAACTTCAGTGTTTCTTTTTTATTTTATGGAAAGTTTTCTCTCGTCAGGTTTCTATGTATGCGTTAGTGAACATTTCCAGTGTTTTGGAAGTTGAACACTAAACTCCTTACATGAAGTTTTACTGAATACAGAGATGTTTTGGCAGGTCCTAGTGACAAATGTGCACCTTCTGTGAGACAATTATCCATGGCACTTTAAAACCATGGGCAAGGGAGCAATTCTTTTCCCATAACTCCCTATTAGCAGCAGAAATTGTCTGGAAGATATCTCCCATAATTAACTTCAGGTCTTCCAATTTTTTTTTCAGTTCCCTGGAATATAAAAAGATTGAATTGTTGCTTGACTGATTAGATCTGTGCCTTGAAATGAAGCAGTTTAGTTTGGAATGCCTGGGAAGTAAAGCAGCAGCATTCTGTCCCTGAATGCTGTTGCAGGGATTAGTTCAATATGTAGCTTCAGGACTTTGTTACAAATCAGAAAGATCATTTAGCATGCTTAAAAAATTTTGTCTCCTGAAAAGTGTTATGCATTTTCTACTTTTTAAATAATTTCCACTAGCAATAATAATAATATCTAGCATGATAAGCCCTGTAATTGTTTTTATGTATTTTTTAATTTGATCACACATACACAAAAGTGGTAAATGGCATTTTTTAAAGAGACATAATGTGGCTGAAGTCACAGCAGAAGAGCTGTGCTTGTGGACTTTTTTTCTCTAATGGATATGGGACTTCTTTCCCCAACCTTTGAAATTTAGGTTAAAGTTGTTTGGAAAGGGTTAAGATGAAAAAGGCGTTGAAAGAGGAATTGGGAGGCCTGGCTCAGAGCCAAGCCTTTGTCAGCTGTGTAACTGACCATGGCATTTCCTCTTTCTCACCATTGAATACATTTGAGAAACTCCAGGTTAAACAGAGTTGGACAGACTTCTCACAGGGCTTCTCTGAACCTTTAGTATGTATGTGTGATGTGAGCTCCAAGGCTGGCTGTATTTGTCAGCTGTATTATTTGATCAGACACTTAGTTTTGAGGATGTAGATTTTCAGGTGGAAACACTTGGTGTATCATTAGCTTTCAGTTCCTCTCTAGATCTGAACCTGCCCTTCCTGAATGAATTTCAAAGAATCTGGAAATGGACGCGTACTTAGGGGAGCATAGATAAGTAGATAGGTATTCGTTTTTCTGACTATTCCCTAAAAGGTCTGTAACTCCAATAAAAGGTAAGAGCACTGTTGTATAGGAAGCCTGAAATGTCTGTACGAGTGCATTTTTAGACTCTGTAAAGAACTTGACTGGAGACCCAGTCTCTGAAACTTCAGTATCAGGTCCCGGTCGTATCACAAAGGATGGAAAAGTGCTTGAAGTTCTCCCACTCTAAAGTCTGGAGTTTAGCCAGATGAATAGGCAAGTGTTGTTTCCCCAGTTGCAAAGTATGAAGGAATCTAAGACCCGAGAAGTGACTAAGATGGTTCGATAGCCCTGGGTGTATTTCTGGCTTGCTTCTTTTGGGACCTTGGGTCAGTCTCTTACCTTTTGAGGGCGTTAGCATGTTTTTCTATGGAATAAAGGCTTAGGCTGAGAAAATGCTGAGTGATTCTAAGAATCTCACAGCTTTAATTTTGTATGATAGGACCCTAGACCACTACTAGACATGCTCCTTTTTCTCTGGTGTACTTGGTTGAGATCACGATACTTATCGAAAATGTTGACTAGGAGAACTGGTGTGAGATCTGACAGTGAAAGGCTCGATTGAGGTCCAGTGGGCCATTGCTCCAGGGCTCTGGTTATTTGACTTCTTGGATTTTCACTGGATATCTCCATGGTCTTCTCTGGTTGGAGCCTTCTCTGGTGGTTTCAGCAGAGCAATGGTTCCTCATAAAGCAGTTTGCATGAAAAGACCAGGAGGCAGCGGGGAGGAGTGGTACTGAAGAAGGCAGTCTGTTGCTAACTGATGGCAGTCTTTCCCACTGAGCCTCAGTACACTTGGGAATGCTTCACCCAGTGTTTTAGGAATTCATTAGCAGTGGAATCTTGGCATGTGAGGTGAAAGTTACTGCCTTCTGAGTGTAGTGGTTAGAGGTATGGTCTTTGGAGTTAAGTGGATTTGAACTTATGCTCTATCATTTTGAATTGTGTGATCTTAGTCAACCTCAGAATTGGATTCTAGCTGGATGTCCTTGAGAAAAATACTTAACTTTTCTGTGCCTTAGTTACCTGCTATATAAAATTGGGCTAATAGTTGTAACTACTACAGGGGATTGTTGTAAGTAAACATCAGATAATTTCTGTATTATGCTTAGAACAATGCCAGCCATGAATAGGCAGTCCACAGATGTTAAGCGCTGGTTGTGGTTATTGTTGTGGTGGTGTTTATCATCAGTATCACCTAGGGCACAAGCGAAGTCATTAAAATTATATTGGGGGAAAATCCTTTAAATGGCCCATAAATTGCAGGTTGAGCATCCCAAATCTGAAAATCCAAAATCTGAAATGCTCCAAAATTCAAAACTCTTCAAATACCAACATGGCACAAAAAGGAAATGCTCATTGGAGCATTTTGGATTTCAGATAAAGGATACTCAACCCTGTAGTCATTCTTGAGTGCATTCAAGTTGATAAACACTGAGTTAAGGGGAGGAGCAAAAGTAAAGTATATGTTTGAGCATTCTAATAGTTATTCTGCCTTTAAAAGAGAATTATATCAAATTTATCAATAATGGGGAATGAGTACAGAATTCTAAAGTATTAACTAATTTTCTGCATGGTATACTAAGTTATGTTTAATGATAACTCTCTATAACCTAAGATGATCTTTTTTTTTCTTGTTTGCCTGGGACTAAGGGCTTTGATTGGATGTAGGAATTTCAGTGCTAAAACCAGACAACTCAGGATGTGCCATCACCCTACTATAAGTTTAATACATTTGTCTGTTGAGACTATTGAAGGAGATATTAATGGGAGAGCACATAGTGCACTGCTTGGCACATAGTAACTGCTCCTTAAGTTGTGGTAGAATTGAGTCTAAATCTTTTGTAGCATTAAGTCTAAATCTACATATTTTGTAGAATTGAGTCTAAATCTAAATCTTGATTGAGCCGATTCATACACTGCTCTTTGATAAATTGTAGGGAAGAACTTGGCCAACTGCTTTGTTGTTCCTTTGAACAGCTTTTACTGTCAGGTTCTTGGGCATTGATTTCTTTCAGTTTCAATTTCCTAAACTGTAAAAGGAGAATAGTAATATGTATCTCACAGGGATATTGTAAGGATTCAATAATATGTGATTAGCACATTAAAAGTGAGTATCACAGTGGCTGGCTCCTACTAAGCTCTTAAGTGGTAACTATTAGAATATTAAAGTCCTTTAACATTTTATATAGATGCTATTTGGAATCAGTAGTCCCATCAGTGGGAAAAGTTGGAATGATAGCTCTTGACTGAGTGTTTGACTCCTTTAGCTCTGCTCAGTTTTTTCTTAGAAGCTTTCAGCTTTCTTATTCTAGAATGCCTGAGGAAGAACATTGTATACCTGCACAACTGAAAATGTGTGTTTACAAATTGTATTTTAGGTAATGAGGAGTACCTGATTAATCTGATAGACTCTCCAGGACACATGGACTTTTCCTCAGACGTATCAACCGCTGTTCGCATTTGTGATGGATGCATCATTGTGGTAGATGCTGTGGAAGGAGTCTGTCCACAGGTAATGGATTGTGGTGAGAAAATACTTAAATGGTTAAGGGTGAGGAAAGAGGGGGAACTGACTGACTTTAGGCATTTCACTGACAATCACAACATTGGTTTTATATTTCACATTTGGTAACGTTCCAGTCTGTGAAGGAGTTAAATCACCAGAGTTCTGAAGGGATCTTAGAGATGATGACTTTAATTTAACATACTTTGTTTTTGTTTTTGTTTTGAGACAGAGTCTTGCTCTGTCACCCAGGCTTTAGTGCGGTGGTGCGATCTCAGTTTACTGCAACCTCCACCTCCTGGGTTCAAGTGATTTTTATGCCTCAACCTCCACATAAACTGTCATTACAGGCATGTGTCATCATGCCTGGCTAATTTCTGTATTTTTAGTAGAGACGGGATTTCGCCATGTTGGTCAGGCTAGTCTTGATCTCCTGGCCTCAAGCGATCCACCTGCCTCAGCCTCCCAGAGTGCTGAGATACAGGTGTGAGCCACCATGCCCAGCCTTATTTATCCTTCTTAACTGTCAGTTGCATAAAGGCAATGATGATTTCTTGTCTATAGTCCTTTGCTACTGTGCTGTATACATACTTTGTGAATGCCTATTGAATACCTTTGTGTGGCTGGCATAGTCTAGAGTGGTTATTAATCAATATTTTCTAATGTGCTCTAATTATTTCAAATCATGAGTTTTACATTTTTCTTTCTGTTTTTATTAGACACAGGCAGTTCTGTGACAAGCTTGGCTTGAAAGCATCCATCCAGTTTTAGTGATTAATAAGATAGATCACTTGATAGTGGAACTGAAATTTACCCCACAAGAGGCCTATTCTCACCTTAAGAGTATTTTAGAACAGGTATTTTAATTGTTAGTATCTAAAAAATTTAGCCTCGAAGAAGAGTTGTAAGGAAGTTACTGAGCTGGGTATGAACCATTGCTACAGAAAAGTGAACTTTTCCACTTCAGATTCATACATGTTGGTGTTATTCTACAACAGAGGCAACAGAATAAGCATGTTCTCAGTAGTCCCTTCCATCTCTTGGAAGCACCCATCATATAAAGCTTGGACAACAGGCTGTCTTGTTTAAAACATTGTATCTTGGTTCCAAAATGAAGCAATATTAAGATCTTATTACCTGTCTATAGTATTTTATTACCTGTCGTTAGAGGAAATTTTACCCAAGCATTCATTCATTTATTTATTCAGCAAATATTTCATAGATATACGTTGAATAAATGAATTATCGAATGTCCATTGTGCACTAGGGATTGTGAATGTAAAATGGACAGGTCAGAATCCCTATTTTCAAGGAGCTCACAGTATAGTAGGGGAGACAAACAAAGAGCTATTTGGAGAACAATGAGATAAGCCCCGGGTGTGATATGACAGCATAGATAAGGGCCATCTAACCCAATCTGGGTCAAGAGGGAAGAATGAGTTAGAAATCGTAGAATGGAAACCTTGAGATGGAAGTAAAGTAGGTGTTTGCCAGGTAGGCAGTTAGGAAAAGGACATTCAAAAGAGGAAGAATATGACAGGCAAAGTCATAAAGGCAAGAAAAAGCACAGTACAATGTTTCATTTAAGGAGCTGCAAATTGTTTTATAGCCGATTAATTAGATCATGTTAAACAGTGACAAGAGATGGGAAAAAGGATATGGATTTAGATGTTGATGAACCTTGTATGCCATGCATAGGAGTTTGAAATTTCTTCCTCAAGACAGTGGAAAGCATTGATGAGAGCAACTTGAGTATATTTATTTGCTAAAGGCAGGAAACAATAAAAGTAGAACAGTGAAAAAGAATGATGGATGGATATCATTCCCTGTAGAAATAGGAACAGGTAAAATAACTCCTGCCCTGCATTGGCAGGAGAAAGGTCGGTGGTATTTGCAGACATAAGTGAGCTTGTAGATTGGGATGTGGGGCACTTGAAGGAAATCCGAGTAATAGGTTCCATTTTCTTTCTGAGGTAGGACATAAGATTACTGCCTATTTGGGAGTGAAAGTAGTTGAGGATTAGGATTTGGGAAGAGGGCCTGAAGAGAGTAGTGCACATTTCAGACAACCAATGTGAAAGATGGGCAAGGCAGTGGACTAAGGTTACAAACTAGGATTGTGGGGTTGGAAATCATGAGTACTTTGTGATACTAGGCCTCAGCACTGAAAAACAAATTAAGGATATGACACACTAACATTTACATTAAACTAATAATAATAATCACAAAATAACCTTCCAAAAACCTTATAATTTAGTTACGCTGAGTTTAGGAAGGATGGATACATCTAAGTTATTCACTGATTGTGAATGTCACCTCCATTCGTGTATGCTTAATGAGCCCAAACTGACTGATGATTCTAGCCCTAACACAGGTTAAACAGTGTTTCTCCTGCCGTGAGCATGCTGAGCATCTGAATGACGCTCTGCCATTTCACCATCTCTCCTAGATTAATGCGCTCACAGGGACTCTTTTTACTTCTAAAGTCCTAGAAGAAAGAGCAGAGAGGGAGACTGAATCCCAAGCGAATCCAAATTCTGAACAAGGAGAGCAAGTATATGACTGGAGCACTGGCTTGGAGGACACAGATGATTCTCACCTTTACTCCTCTCCAGAACAGGGAAATGTGGTGTTTACCAGTGCAATAGATGGGTGGGGCTTTGGGTAAGTCTGTTGGAATCTGATTAAATCTCTTTGCAGATTTTATATGCAATTGGTTTTTTTTAGTGAAACTTTTTATTTTGAGATCACTATAGATTCACCTACAGTTGTAAGAGATAATACAGAGAGTTCTCTGGTGCCCTTTACCCAGTAACTGCCTCCTATCCATGATAACATTTTGTAGAACTGTAGTACAATAACCAAGCAGGACTTTGCCATTTGCCATCAATATACAAAACATTTCTATCACCACAAGGCTCCCTCACGTTGCCCTTATATTGCCACAGCTACTTCCTTTCCACCCTCAAACCCTTTTTAACCCCTGACAACCGTTTATCTTATCTCCAAATTTCTCATTTCAAGGGTATTACAGAAATGGAATCAAAACAGTATATTATAGACATGGAACCAAAAAAATACGTAATATTTTTTGGATTGACTTTTTTCACTTAGCATGATTCTCTAGAGACTTATCCAAGTTATTGCATGCATTAATACTGTAGTTGGTTCCTTTCTGTTGCTCAGTAGTATTCCATGGTGTGGATGTACCCCAGTTTAACTACTCACCCATTAAAGGACATCTGGTGTTGTTTTTTTTTTCCTTTTTGGGCCATTATGAGTAAAGCTGCTGTAAACATTCGTATGTAGGTGTTTGTGTGAACATAAGTTTCATTTCTCTTGAATAAATGCCCAGGAGTGCAGTTGCTGGGTCATATGGTAGTTGTATGTTTAGTTTTTAAAGAAACTACCAAACTGTTTCCAGACGGACTGTACCATTTTATATTCTCACCAGCAATGCATGCGTGAGTGATCCAGTTTCTCCAAATGTTCACGTTTGGTGTTGTCACTGTTTTCATTTTAGCAGTTCTTTTGGGTGTGTACTAATATGATATTGTGGTTTTAATTTGCGTTTTCCTAACAGCTGGTTTACCTTGAACATCTTTTCATGTGTTGATTTGTCATCTGTAGGTCCTCTTGGGTGAAAAGTCTTTTCACATCCTTTCCCATTTTCTTATTGTGTTTTTTTGGTACTCCTGGGTTTTGAGAGATTTTTTCTATTCTAAACGCTAGTCCTTTGTGCTTTGCAAATATTTTCTCCCAGTCTATAGTTTGACTTCATATACTCTAACAGGGTCTTTCAAAGTGAGCAAAGTTTTTTTGTTTGTTTGTTTGTTTTGGTTTTTGTTTTTTGAGACAGAGTCTTGCCCTGTTGCCCAGGCTGGAGTGCAGTGACGCAATCTTGGCTCACTGCAACCTCCGCCTCCCAGGTTCAAGCGATTCTCCTGCCTCAGCCTCCTGAGTAGCTGGGACTACAGGTGTGCACCACCATTCCCCACTAATTTTTGTGTTTCTTTTAGTAGAGACGAGGTTTCAGCATGTTGGCCAGACTTGTCTCGAACTCCTGACCTCAGGTGATCTTCCTGCCTCAGCCTCCCAAAGTGCTGGGATTACAGGCATGAGCCACCGTGCCCAGCCATCAAAGTGAGCAAAGTTTTTAATTTGGCTGAAGTTTCCTTTATCATCTTTTCTTTTTATGGATCTTGATTTTAGAGTCAAGTTGAAGAACTCTTTGCCTAGCTCTAGATCCTAAAAACTGTCTCTCATTTTTTTCTAAAAGTTTTAGTTTTACCTTTTACATTTAAGTCCATGACCCATTTTGAGTTAACTTTTGTATAAAGTGTGAGGCTTGTGTTGAGGTTTTCTTTTGTGGGGGGAGAGGGCCTATGGATTTCCATTTACTCTAGAACCCTTTGTTGAAAAGGTTATCTCTTCTCCATAGAATTGCTTTTGTGCCTTTGTCAAAATGCACAATTTTTTGCTGGGCATACTTGTGTGGGTCTGCTTCTGAGTGTTTTGTTCTGTTCCATTAATCTGTGTGTCTGTCTTTCCAACAGTACCACATAATTTTGGTTAGTGTAGCTACATAATAAGTCTTGAAATCAGGTAGATTATTTCTGTCCACAATATTTTTATTTTTCAAAATTACTCTTGCTGCTCAAGGCCTTTGCCTTTCCATGTAAATTTTATAGTAATCTTACCTATATCTGAAAAAACATTTTGCTAGGATTTTGACGGAAATTGCTTGGTAAACCTGTTAATTTGGAGAGAATTTTGATATATTTGCTAAGTTGAATCTTTTCTATTCCATGAACACTATGCCTCTCCATTTATTTAAAATTTTTAAAAATTCTTTTATGAGCATTTTATAGTTTTCAGCATATAAGTGCTATGCATGTTGAGTTAGATTTACACTTAATTTTTCATTTTTCTGAAATGATTATAAATGATATTTTTAATTTTGGTGTTGACACATTCATCTAGTATATAGAAATACAATTAATTTTTGTATGTTGATCTTGTATACTGTCACCTTGCTGAACTCACTTGAAGTCCTTTGTAGATATTTTGGAATTTGCTATGAGACAATCATGTCTGCAAACAGGAATTGTTGTATTTTTTTTCCTTTTCTATCTGCACGCTGTTTTCTCTTTTGCTGATTGCACTGGCTAGAATTTCCAGCACTATATGACTGACATTGATGAGAGTGGACATCTTTGCCTTGTTTTCGGTCTTAGGAGGAAAGCATTAAGCCTTTCACCATTAGAAATAATGTTAGGGCTGCAGGCTGTTTTTAGATGTCCTTTATCAAGTTGAGGAAGTCCCTTAATATTCTTATTTTTTTGAAAGTCATTATTATGAATGTGTCAAGTTTTGTCACATACCTTTTCTGTATTAATACATTTGTATGATTTTTCTTCTTTAGCTTGTTAATATGGTATATTACATTGATTGATGTTTTTTAATATTGAGCCAGTCTTGCATTTCTTTATAGATTTTATATACAATTGATTTTTAACTTTAACTTTATTCTTGAATAAATTCAAATGTATACCACAAAAGGATCCCACTGTATTCCTTAGATCAGTTTATTTTCTGTTAGTTTTTGTTTATCTTCTTAAAGTTATTTATACATAGATGAACAACTATATTTATATCAACTTTGATACCAACAGTAGCAAAAGTTAGTCTAGCTTTATTGAGGATGTATGTATGCTAAATATTGAGTTAGTCACTTTATTTAAATTATTTCACCAAAAACTCTGACAACACTCTTTTGAAATAGATATTAGTATTTATTATCTAAGTCTCAAGAACATTAAGTAACTTTTGTTCAACATCACTCAGCTGCTAAGAGGCAGAGTTGATATTAAGATTAAAGTCTGCCTGAGTCTGAAGCCTGTGTTTTCTTGACATGGTTCTTCTCTGGGGTCTTCCCTATGGGGTATAAGGATCCTTATTTCTTCTTATTGCCTCTCCCGAATTTGTACATGCTGAGGCCGTGTTAACAGTGACCTTGGATTTCAGAATGGAGTAGATAATTGATCACATTTTTCAACTACAACAATTTCTGACTTGTGGAATCAAAAAATCCAAATGTAGTTAAAAGATTATTACTTTGAGATAAATGTCTGTGGTTTGGATAAATAATAGTGGGACCATAATGACCTTTACTTTAGTTGGGGCTTGATATTGCATGTAATTTGCAGGGATCATAGAACTAGAAATGATGCACTAGGAGAAAACAGAGTCTCTTCATGAAATTTATATCAGTATGACTTAGAATTGGAAAGAAAGAAAGGATCAGGAGCTGACTAGAATGCAAGGCTTGGGAGTAGCCTAACAAATCTCTGGCTCCGTTTTTTAAAATGTATTTTCCTTTTTACAGGAACTTGTTCTCCAATTTCCCTTTGACCAGATTTTGTCTTGGGCAGGGCAGTGTAATATAATATCATAATTTTCTGTTTGTAATAAATTATAGATATCTTAGTCCATTTGATGCCCGAAAGATGATACTAGAGCTAAATAAATTGAAGTAATGCATATATGATGAAAATAGAAATTGTGAACCTGCTGAGAATTTGCACTTTCATATATTGTTGATGGATTGTCATTATCACCTTTCTAGGCCTCAGTTTACTTATCGGAAAAAACAAGAATATTGGGCTAAGATGATTTCAAGACTTTCTTCAGATTCATTCACAGTGATTCATTCAGTCGTATAATAGGGTCATACTTGTTGATTTCCTGATTTGTGAGCATTCTGCTAGTAAGCCACAAGGTGGGAGGCTTGTCCCTTTCTTACAGTGATTTTCATAAGTAATTCAATGTTTTATGCTAATTTTAGTCTAAATCACACAAACTGGGGGAGGTTTATTGTGGAAGGAAAAGGAATGGGGAGGAAGTTGAATGGATAGAATAAGGGTAATTTACATAGCCCTTACTTTTGACATTTTTAGATACTATCAGCCAATAAATGAATGTTCCCCTGTATTAGACAAGGTCAGATTTAGAGATTGGCTAGTGTCTGTTCTCAACAAGTTGATATGTGAATCTATGGGAAAGTAGTGGTGGAAATGAAAGCACCAGAGACTTTTTTTGCTTCCCATTTTCCTCTAAAATGTCAGTGAATAGGCCAAGTTGACAGCTGCATGTGTCACAAAAGGTGGATAATGAGCACATTCCAGAATTCGCAAGAAGATTCTATAAACTCTGCAGTGGGAAAGGATTAAGAAGTGTGACTAGAGGCTGAACCTAGGTCTTCTCCCGAAATCTATCCTGTTAATTGATGTTAATCTGGGAGAGTCTGTGCTGAAAAGCAGAAGCACATTGACTTGGATGGGTAGCATCAAGAATCCAAGTTCTTGTTTTAGATACATAGAACTGAGTCCTCAACCTTATAGAAGAGGGACAGGAGAGAAGAGACAATGAAAAGCCCTTTGTATTAAATATACTTGTCTTTGTATAACTGTGTCTTAGAATTCAGTAGTTAACATTAATCCACTGGGTAGCTTGGAGGGCAAAAGGGTGTGTGGCTCAGTAATTTCATACTTGACTGAGTTGTCATTCAGCAAGATAGGCAACAAATAGATCAGTAGTCTTGGAATATAAATCTTTCTGCACGTCTCTTAGAATCTTGTTTGCAGTTACTCTGTAGAGGAAATGAATTAAAATAGAATTCAAGAATGGAGAAGTGCTAGAAATTGTCAGTGTTTAAAAATTGTAACTAATTAATGGCAAAAATAAATAAAAGCATTAGCAGTAATGTGGAATGGGTTGACGTTAAGCAAATTTTGTAGTAACTACGGGATAAAAAAGAATGAAAAGGACAAGAAACAAGATTTTGAAAGATTTGTGTACCCGTATGTGTACACATGTGTGAATATTTTATATGATGGACCAGAAAAGCCTAGCTTAAGCAAATGGGCAAGTGTCTTACTATAATTTATGATTTTGATAGAGGTTTTGGGAGTGTTTATTTATAAAAATCTTTAAGTTTACCACTTCCAGAATTAAGAGCGGGATATTTATCTGACATGTCATTGTAAAATATAAAAGAATGTGTAGTACAGTCTGGTAACACAAATCAATATTTTAAAAAAATCCCGGAAGAAAAGAAACCACACTAGAAATCTAACTGATCAAAACAGTTGTACCAATAAATGATTGTACCAATAAATGTATGAAATCCCCTACTAAGGAGATATTTTTTAGAAAGGAAATTTTATTAAAAAAATAAATCCAGAAGTTTGCTAAATAAAAGAGATAAACATAAAGCATAATGGACAGAAGCTACATACAAAGCTTTGGCTCAGATATGTCAACCAAATATGAATGAAAAGAGAGGTTTGGCAATATTAACAATAAAATAACATTTATTGTAAATGAATTATGGCATAAGGATCATTTTCATACAGATAATTGACACATTTACTAGTGAAGAGATTAACTATCAATTATCTGTCACCATAAAGAGATGTCTCTTTTAGACATCCCTGTATGGTTCACACTGTCCTTCTAGTCTCAGCTGAGGCCTTATCTCACTGCATGCTGGTCATCGTGCAGTGTAGATCGGGAGAGGTGGGTGCTCCCTGAAACCCCTTCTATAGATAGAGGTGGTGTAGGAATGCTGTCATATACCCTCAAAGGATACTTTTCTTGGAGCTTTATTTTTTAACGTAAAAACCAGGATTTCATAAATTTATTCTCATTGAAAATCATAATATACATTGCTTTTGAGAAAGTACTCACAAGTATAAAGCCACAGCAAACAAAAAAATCGAAGCCAGCACTGCTAGTAGATGTTTGTAATTTCTTTCATCCTTTTTACATAGATATATACATCCCTCAGTTGAGATATGCTGTTTATACAACGTAGCTGCCCTTTTGCTTTTGTCATATCATGAACATCTTCCCTTGCCATTAAAAGCTTTTTTATAAACAATATATTTCAAAGGGAGTGAATATAGCTAAGTGGGAAAGAGCATGCCTTGAGAGTTGACTCTGTTTGAATTTTGGCTCCACCACTTATTGGCTCTATGACTTTTATCTCAGTTATTTCATCTGTAAAATTGAGATAATAGCACTTATCTCACAGGATAGTTATGATTCTATGAAATAATTCAGTAAGCACCCTGTTATTTTATTTTGTGAGAGCACTATCATTTATGTAATCATTCTGAAGATTGGAAATAGTTTTTTTCAAATGCTTTGATATTGTAAGTAGGGTTACAATAGACGTCTTTGTGCAAAAGTTTTATGTCTTCATGATGCTTTTTTTTTAAACTGAGCATTCTAAGCCAATGACTTTTAATTTCTTAATACTGTTGCCAGTAGTTCTTCAGAAAGGAGGTATCAATTTATTAATATATCCCACCTCATGTATATGGGAGCGTATACCCCTCAAGGTGCTCTTGCTATTAACTTTTTGCATAGTTTGGTAAGAGAAATGATGGGTTTTTTTGGGTTTTCAAAATTTTCCTATCCTTGCGAACTTTTAGAAATATACTTAAGAATGCTTTATGTTTCTTCTAACATAATTTTAGACTGAAGTCCATGGAAAGAGGCTACATGTGCAGAGTGAAGTTTTAGCTCTTGGCTTGTGTGCTGTGTGTATTTGTTTGATGGCAACCATGGTAATATGACCCACGAATGGTCATATCACTTGTAAAGTCTATGGTTCCCAGAGTAAAGAACAGTGGATTATTATTAATTGTGGATTATTGGCAGTTTAGTGCATTCTTATAACTACTTTCATCTACTTTATTTTTGAATAAATATTTTCAAGTAGAAATGAAACATATTGATAATAAAAGCATGTCAAGAAGGAATATACAAATGCCTATTAAATGTCAGGAACTTAAGCCCGTATATTCTTTTGTACAGGCCAAAGGAAAGAAACTTTTATTTGTACAGTTGATCCTGGAAAATCTATGGAGTTTGTATGATGCTGTCTTGAAAAAGTAAGACTCTTTTAACATTGTTTACCTTTAGGCATCTTTAGGCAGTATAATTTGTCTCACTTTCCAGTTTGATGAGTCATACTTCAGAAAGCTGAGATGGACTGAGAAAGTGAACAGAGCTTCTACAGATGAGCTGATTACAGGGCTTGGAAGCAATTTAAAGAAGTCTATGTAATCCAGCTAAAGGGCAATACTGGAGGGACAGGATAGCAATATTTTATAGAGTGCTGAGGAGAAGAGATAAAAGGATGGAAAGAAACATTGGGCTTTTGTTTATCCAAACCCAGGTTTAAAAAATAGTTATTAAAGTAGAAAAGGTGCTTGATAGCTAGGATCATTAATGGGGAACTTGGGAAATAACTTGTCTGATACAAGTTTGCTTTAGTGCATTTATTTTCTAAGTTGTTCCTGAGGTGGAATAATAACTTGTTGGCACTTATTTGTAAGGCTGCTTTACCACTTGATATAGCTTGCTTGAGGAGATTGTGGAGAAGTACTTCCTGGGAAATCTTAAAGAAGGATTCACTTGAAAGTGTAAGAGTAGAGCTTGAGGAGGCTTTTTCTGTGGCAGGATTCCCTTCAATCATTTTTAGCTTTTTTTGAAAAAGTAACACATTAGGGTAAAAATATGCCGAATAATGTTGGGTTCCTTTCTCCCACTGCCTGTTTATATATGCGTATGACTTTTTCCCCCTCCAATCTTGTATTTACTATAGGGACAAAGACAAAATTGATAATATAGTGACTTCTTTAGGATTAAAAATTGGAGCCTGGGAGGCACGACATTCAGACCCTAAAGTTCAGATCAACGCCATTTGCAGTCAGTGGCTACCCATACCCCATGCTGCTCTTGGTATCCTTTATTCTAATGGTTTTTAATGAAATAGTTTTGATAAAGCTAGAAAAAACAATGCATTATGGCAACCAAGAAATTCTCTGGAAATAACATTCAATCCAAAATAAGTCTTCTCTGCTTATTTAGTGTTCTACCATGAAACTGTATTAAATACTTTAATAATTAATACACTAATACTAATTTGTTTTAACATTACTAATGAACTTCTTTAGAAAGACAGTTCTTTTGTGTTTGTTTAGTAATCTGTAAAAATAGAAATGTTTACACTGAGATTTAAATATAAGTAGATGATTTAGATGTTTGTGTTAGATAACTGTTTCATTTCAAGGTCACCTGTAGCCAACCTGCTAAGCTCTGTTCTCATTTGTTCCATGGGCCTCAGTGTTAAAGTACCTGTTCAATGAGGATCCTTTCTGAACTTTAAGGAGTTTGTGAACTCCCTGAAATTGTATGCATGTTTTGAGATGTGATGCATAAAGCAGTGTTGCCATATAACACATGCATTTTGTGTATGGACAGACTTTGTTACCTCCATATTTAGAGCATACAGTGAATCTTCGCCTTGGGGAGGCACTGGCTCAAGGTTTTGAGTCCTAAACAACAGACTTCAGCTATGGTATGTCAGAAACTTCCTTGTCCCCTTGATATTACAGCCCAGAGAATGGAGAGACTGATGTGCACAGGATCACAAACTTTTGACTCTCTTCCACCAGAAACTCAAGCACTGAAAGCAGGTGAGGAAAGATGGACCTGTTGGAATATACCATGTCATTGACTGTCCTCCATCCTGGCTGCTCTAGGCCAATTTGCTGAATGCTAGTTTGCTAAATGGCCAATTTGCCAAATGTCCACTTCCACAGATGAACAGTTTCACAAATGACCATTTCACCAGTTTTGCCTCCCACCCTCACCCCAAAGATTTTCTTGTCACAGCCATTTTGCTCAGCCAGTAGGGTGAGACCAGCGACTTCTTGTACACATGCTTCTCATGAGAAAAGAAGCTCCCATTCTGGGCTTTGTACGTTCCATGAAATTTGCCTCTATGTATTTTCTTATCTCTAATTCTTTTCCTCCAGTTCTATTGCTTTTGTAACCCTACCCTCAAACCACTACGCTGTTGTTCTTGGCATCACTATTGACTTTTGGTTCATTAAATCTAATGGCCAGTTTTCAGTCTTCATAGGACTAGATCTGTCACTAGCATTTGACACAGTTGATCACTCCTCCTCCTTGAAACACTTTCTTCCCTTGACTTCTAGGCTTCCATTGCTTCCGTTACCTTGCTTCTGCTTTTCTTCGTGTCTCCCTGGCTGCTTATCCTTAATAATCTCTTTTTGTGATTCCTCCTCATCTCCCTGGCTTTTTAACTTTGGGGTGCCCCAAGCAAGGTTCAAGTCTTTGATCCTCATCTATTTTACCTTCAGTCCCTCTTTTGATAATCTCGTCCAATCTCAAGACTTTAAATGACAACTACATACTCATAATTCCTACAGTTATGTATCTTGAGAGCATGTCTGTTTTCTGGACTCTGGACTGATATCTAGAACTCCCTCTACACTGTGTTGTCTAAGAAGCATCTCAACTGAACATATCCCAAACTGGACTTTTTATCTTATCCCCAAGCCTGCTCACCTAGTCATTTCCATCTCAGTTAGGGGGACCTCAATCTTTTCATTTACTCAGTCCAAAAACCTTGGAGTCATCTATGGCCCTTATATTTATCTCACACTCCAACATCCAGTTCATCACCAAATCCTGTTTATTCTTCCTCTTAAATACAGAATTCAACTATTTCCCAATGTTTTCACTTCTGCCTCCCTGGGCCAAGAAACCACCATCTCTCACCTGGTTATTTTAATTGTTTAACAACTAGTATCCCGGCCGGGCTGGGCACAGTGGCCCACGCCTGTAATACCAGTACTTTGGGAGGCTGAGGCTGGTGGATCATGAGGTCAAGAGCTTGAGACCATCCTGGCCAACATGGTGAAACCCCGACTCTACTAAAAATACAAAAATTAGCTGGGTGTGGTGGTATGCGCTTGTAGTCCCAGCTACTCGGGAGGCTGAGGCGGAAGAATCACTTGAACCTGGGAGGCAGAGGTTGCAGTGAGCCGAGATCACACCATTGCACTCCAGCCTGGGTGACAGAGTGAGACTCTGTGTCAAAAAACAAACAAACAGCGACAACAACAACAAAAAATAACTAGTATCCGTGCTTGTTGATTCCAGTTAGTGTTTTCTCAATATTGCAGACAAAACAGAGCGATCCTCTTAAGGTATAAGTCAGGGCATGTCATTCTGTTCCTCATTCAAAGCTTCCACTGGCAAGACTTCTGATACATGTTTGATTCTTACTTCCTGTGGTTTTCTTTTTTCTTGTTTATATTTTACTGTTGAATTCTTTGTATACAAATTATTTTAATGTGAGGTGATGGAGTTGTTTTTAAAAATTTCATTAATCAATGGTTTTTTTACCTCCAATATAGGTTAAGGAAAATGTTCATATGTTAATATGAAATTGTGTTAAAATTTATGTATTTAGGGATAATTGGCATTTTAATAGTATTGAATCTTAATTTATTTCTAAGAATTTGTTAATATCATAATACAGTATTTTTGTCCATTTTATTTTCTAATTTGTTATTGTGGGGGATTGGAAAAGCTATTGATTTTTATATATCGTGATGACAAGCTACCTTGTTGATTGTTGGCCTTTGGTAACATTCCTCAATTCTGTCTTTTCTGTACTTGACAGTGAAAAATGTATTAGTGCTTATGGTAGGTGGTTAACCTCATTGCATAGCTTTAGCTTTCATATGAGATCCCTCACCCTGTCAAATTTGCTTGCTTTTCTTTTCTTATTTCTGCCAAGTCTGTTTGCTCTTGCTCTGCTATTCTTTCCTAGCAATCTTACCCTTTTCTAATTAAAATTTTTATCTTAGTTGGAAAAAGTTATGGACTTCTGGTGTATATCGATGATGCCATGTTCTAAACATTTAATTGTTTTCCAGAAAAATCTGTTTTTTTAATAATGGGAAAAATAGTGACATTTTTACTTCCTATTTGTTTAGCTTTTATGAAATGTGGAAGTGAGGACACTGCTCCAGTTATCATGTTTGTTTCCAAAATGTTTGCAGTTGATGCTAAGGCCTTGCCTCAGAATAAGCCAAGGTAAGGGAAAGGGGAAAGTTGGACTGGGCTAGGAATATGGTGTATGTTTGGTGGGATGCAGTTGGGCTGTGGGTAGTGGGGGCACGGATAATGCTTTTCCTCCTCAACCCAGAATTCATATCAAGCCAACCCCCAGGGTAACATACAATTTATACAGTAGTATATCCTTTTGCAATACCTCTGTAGGAGAAAGTTGTTGAAATCAGCTCTGGAATATTGAATTGAAGTGATGTAAGTTTGAAGAGTATGTTAGCAGTAGTAGCAACAATTAACTTTTATTGAACATGTCAGGCGAGTTCTAATCTAAGCCTGCCTTGTCTCATCTAATTCTGCCTACCTCAGTAATTATGAATGTATGAGGATCTCTGCTTCCTTGTGTGTATTATGTGTGCACAGGTGTGATGAGTGTAGGAGAGGGATATTCCTCAAGTTCCAGAGTCTTGGGGAATCTGTCTCTTCTACATTTCCTGTTTTTTATGTGTGTTCCCCTCCTTCTGTCTCTACTGCTTCCCCCGCTAGTTTAGATTCTGATCATCTCTTGTGGATGTTGTTGCAGCAACCTCCTAGCTGGTTCTCCTGCCCCATCTTTAGTTCCACTGATCCACTTGCCATTCTTTCTTTAGAGTGATCTTTATAAGACTCAGCTATGAAGATATGTCTCTTGCTCAAAAACCCTTAATGATTCTCACTGTCTTGAGCAGTTTTGATTCAAGTGTAAAGTGTTGGCGATGATTTCAGTGGTACTTAGGGAAATAAGTTTTAATTTAATTAGTTGTCATATTTATTTTAATGTGTATTTGTGTGTATTGCCTGTGTATGTCAAGTGATAAAGCTTTTACAGTGATGAGATTTTGAAGTTTTATTGAGTTAAAAATGTTTGTGCATTTAAATAAGTATTAAATAAATAATATGCAGATATAGCAGAAATCATGAAAATGATATGTGAGTGACTGAAGGTCAGATCATCAGCCCGTGAAATAAACTTGACCTGTCTTATGGCATTTCCGACCCACCGTGACCTGACCCCAAACCATGTTTCCACTAGATTTTTATTTCTGTTTCTCTAATATACTAGTGTCTGAACAAATGTCCTATCTGTACTTGTGCTGTTCCTCCATCTGAGAAGGCTTCTTTTCCTCTGATAAAATTCTGTTTGTCCTTCAGGGGAAAGGTTATGTGTTGTTTTTTAGTACTTCCCTAGTGATTTGGACATTAAGTGTATTCAATAATTTTTGCCCTGGGGATAAGTAAAGGAATAGATGGGTGAGTAGATGAAGAATGAATGAGTGAATATCCGAATGGGGGAGTAACAGGTCAGTGAATGGGTGAATGAGTGGCTGAGTAAGTAAATGAGTGAATAATGGAATGAATGAATGTCTAATTGTGTATCTAGGCTACTCCCAGATAATATTTCAGTGCTACATGTAGTAACAATTTCTTGTAGTAACAAGTTTAGGATATTGGATTTTTTTGGCCATTGGGAGTATCTGAGAGATTCTGGTAGAATCATAGGGAATATCAGAGAATTGGAAAACTTGCTGTTAATATTTGAAATACATGTATTTATAGCATTTAAAATTCCTAGCTCTACCCATCCTCCATTTCTTGCTGATGAATAATAGTATTATTATGCCTCTACTATTAATTACATTTTCTGTGAATGTTTTTCTTAATAATTCATCATATGCTTTTCTGATTTTAGTATATTTCTGATAGTGCAATCCATTCTATTCCATGAAGTTTTTTTACTGATTTTATTTTTGTCATTGGTTTTTAACCAGTATATCAGGTTCAACAATTGTTACATCATAATATAGTGTTTTCAGGTATACCTGGGTAAGGTCATCATCATTAGTTTGTTCTTTTCTATCTTCTAGCTGACTTGTTTTCATTTAAGTTTTATTTGTAAAATGTGGGGAAATGTATCATTGAAATTTGGTTTGATAGCATTTTCATCTCCATTGTATTAGATATACAAGCCAGGAATAGCAGAGTATTATTTTCCTTTAGTATAGAGTACAATGTATTAGTGATATGTGCCAGGGAGAAAAGTAAGGCAGGAAACAGGATTCGGCACCCACAAACCCTAAAAAATTTTTCCCTAACTTGATGAAAACACTGACCTTTACTCACTGCTCAACAGTGCCGCTGTGGTTGTAAATGAAGTGTGGGACTGTTACAGGACTTTCTCCTCTGTTCTTGTGTTCTTGCCTCTTTTCTTTGCTTCTTCAAATTCACCTTCCAACCTGACATTTGAATCTTCAGTCAACATTCTCACCTCTGGTCTCCTTCATCTCAGTATTAGTGACTATTGTCCCTTCAGGAAGTAACATCCATGGTTAGTTTAACTATAGCCTAAATAACTTAACACTCACAACTGTTTCCTCACTAGTAGGGCCCCATTTTCTTGTAATTAAATTTCTTTATTCTCAACAAATACTGGATACACAGTGGGTACTTTTTACACATGCTTGCTGATTACTATCTGCTTTGTTCCCCTCTACCATCATTCCCAGTGCCCATAGCAATGCGTGGCACACAGTAGTTGTTCAATGGGTGGATGAGTAGATACATAGATAGACAGCAGGCATCTATACAGTTGATGCTTACTTAATGACTGTACATGCTGATTATTCCAGATCACTTCATGAACTTAGGCAGGTGAGGATTTAATCTGCAAGGTGAACAAATACACTTCTTTTTTCACTAAAACTAAAGTGAAATCACATTTACTTAAGATGATGATGTTATCATCTTTAATTCCTCTTGAAGGAAAGACATAACCTGGTGATAATGAGCATAGACTTTAGAGCCATACAGATCTGGATTTGAATTATGGCTCCTCCATTTAATATCTATGTGACTTTGGGTCGAGTTACTTAAGTTTTCAGTCTCCCTTTTCTTATATGTAGAATAGGAATATGATATCTACTTCATTTAATTGTTGTGATAAATTATGTGCTATAATATATGTAAAGTGATTAACAGTCTCTGGATAATCATGATAAACCTGTTGGAAGAGACCATTTCTCTTTAGATGCTAGCAGGTACCTCTGGTATTTTTTCCTTCCTACTCTAATAATAAAAATGTGTTCTGCATTTATATTTTAATTCACACTTTTCAGATATTCATGTGAGTTTTTAGCAAAAGTCTAGAAACAAGGAAAGTTGTCAAAGGATTGGTTGAAGGAACGGCTAGAGTGCTCAGCCTGGGGAAGAGAAGGAAGGTGGGGAAGGCATGAATGCTGGTGATTCAAAGGAAAGGAGAGGGAAGTAGGTTTGTTAGATGTTGCTCCAGAGGAGAGAACTGCAGCCATGGCTAGAGATTGTGAGGAAGCAGAGTTCATTCTATATTTGAAAGTTCTGACATTTAGAGCTTCCTATAATGAGGAGCTTGTCTCTTGCAGTGGTAGTGTGGCCACCTAGTGCCAGCAATTTTGATTGCCTGACGAGACACCTGACCAAGCTAGACTCAAGGATTGTTTCTCATATTTTTGTATTCTATTGCACAGCCCAGTGACCTGCAGCAGAGTGGGTGTGAGTGGAAGGGCCTACTCTTGGAACTAAACTCATTGATTTTGAGGGACAGGTGCTAAGGAAGGCAGAAGTAGTGTCTAGTCCTGGACACTAGGACTAGAGAAGTCTTGTCCAGCAGGCAGATATCTGAAGAGTATAGCAGTGGACAGTCAATGATTTAAGCAGTCACCTTGCAGGTTAGCTTACATGAAATAGAAAGGTAGAAGGAGTTAGGCCGCTTTGCATCAGGAGCCCTAAGGGTCTGTGGCCATTTGGAAGACAAGTAGGCAGAATAGCTACCTGCATGGCTTCCAGTGCTTACGGAGAGAGGAGGGGAATATGGCATGGCAAAGTGGGGATGAAGGTTATCAGTTAGGTGTGAAGTCTGAGATTGGGAAATAAAGCAGGAATCATAATATTAAAGGTGATGGAAAACACAGGAGAGAGGCACAAAGTGTTGGGACCATGAAGAGTTGTCCAGCTTCCAGAGCTGGAGCATAAAGTTAGGACCAGAAGATTAGCCTGAGTGCTTTGATGCTCAGTCCCAGAGTATAGGGCAAAAGATGCTGTTAATCTATCAGCCTTAGGACAGGGTTTGGTCTTGTTCATGTGTTGGGGTTGAGCATGCAGGTAGGTTCATAAGGACCCCTACATGGGAAGGGAGCCAAGTCCTAGGAAACAGTCTACCTGCCTGGTTTCTACCTTCCAAACCCAAACTCCCAAACAGAATTTGTATTCGACTTAGTGTTCCCCTTTTGTCAACACCTTTTTAGTATTAAAACTCTAAATACCTTTTCTGTGTCCTGACAGACATGAGGGTAGTTCTTTAGGAAAAAGAGCTTAATTACCTCCCCCACCCCTTCTCATTCTCACCCCCATGGAAAACCACACATACACACCCACACACTGCCTTTTCTGTGATGGTACTTCTTAGGTCTAACACAGTGGCTGATATTTCAGTTTGACCTTCTAGTCCTGATGAATTGCCAGTACTCATCCTGACCTTGAACCCTTCCTCTTGAACCCCAGTTATTGAGGCCTTATGCTTGTTTCCCTGCCAGAGTCGTTCCAAACCCTAGTATCTGTCACTGTTTCCCTTCCTTCTTCCTGTTCTTTGCCTTTTCCAGAAGGAATATAGGTATCTGAGAAAGGTTCCATACTATTGTACATTGCTCCCGATGGGGACTTGGGCTCTTGCATGTCGGTTCATAAGCTCAGAATAGTTGGGACACAGCATTATTAGAGAGAGGCTGATAGGCCCTCTCTTATTGCTACAGACAGGGAGAGGACTCAGAGAAAACTGCCTGGAATGGAGCTGGGACCAATCTTCATCTTACCCAGCCACGTCAGTACTTGCTGTTTCCCTACTTGGATAAACTGAGAGATGCTTGATGCTGCCAGATGATAACATATTTGTGATATCCTGTAGGCCTCTCACTCAAGAAGAAATTGCTCAGAGACGTGAGCGTGCAAGACAAAGGCATGCAGAGAAGCTTGCAGCAGCGCAGGGACAGGCACCCTTGGAGCCCACCCAAGATGGGAGTGCCATTGAAACATGTCCAAAAGGAGAGGAGCCAAGAGGTATAGCTTTCCTAAGTAGGCTCTGTTGCAAAGTGTTTGCATTTTTGCTTAACTTGGGACACTCATCCTTTAGTTCTTGAGCTTTTTAAGCTTTAATCATAGTTTTTATTAATATTCTTTTCATTCTTGGTATTTTGTTTTCTTTTTTTTTTTTCTGAAACTAGACCAAACATATCATATTCGCTCTTCCTTCTGTGTTTCCAGACAGTTCTTGAATTAAGAGGGCATTCTTGGCACTAATTATCTTTTTGTTTCTGTCAGGTGACGAGCAACAGGTGGAAAGTATGACCCCCAAACCTGTGCTCCAGGAAGAAAACAACCAAGAGTCTTCTATTGCATTTGCTCGGGTGTTCAGTGGTGTGGCTCGAAGAGGAAAGAAAATTTTTGTCTTGGGGCCCAAATACAGTCCTCTTGAGTTTTTACGAAGGGTAAGAATTGAAAGTAAAATATTTATATATTGTTTCTCAAGGGTCTGATATCTTTTCACATTTTGTTGGGACTGGTGATCATCTTGTTGGTAGATTTAGTTTGTCTCTGGAAAGGCACACTTGAGTGACTGTGTATCTCCTTTTGTGTTGCTTTGATAACATTTGTCATATATGTCTCAATTAGTAGCATTTAGGAAACCAAATCAATATGTGGACCAAATTTTCAGGCCTTGTTTAATTATAAGGCTTTTCTCTTCTAGGCAAGAATCACCTTGTGGTTAGAGAAAATAACTGATAAGAGCAGATGTCATGCTGGAGCCAGGGCAATGGCCAATCTCTGAGAAATAGGAAGATCCAAAAACTAGCTGGCTCAGGCCAAAGGTGTGGGCAGTGAGCAGGGAATAGGCAGGAGTTGCATGGCACACAGACCCTGAGTCTGGACAGGAGGGTCTGTAAGTAGATGAGCAGGCAGCATCTAAAAATGCCTGAACCAAGGGGCAAAACAGAGATCACAGGCTAGAGATGTCTCAGAACATTTTTGGAAGTAAGCAAGATATATACAATGTAATTATATCATAATTAAATAATAGAGGTCATAGGATGAAGACAGTGCCAGAGGTCCAAGTAGCCAGTCTGGATCAGCACAAAGCAGTAAGCTAGGAAATTGTCAGCTGGCACCGTGGAGCATCATGAGCACAAAAACACATGCTCCTCTCTGTGCAGGAAGCAGCCTGTCTGTAGATAAACCAGGGAAGCTGTGGTACTTGGCTACAAGTGAGAGAGAAGGAGGTAGCAGTTGAAGTAAGTCTCTGCCATCAGTTTTTCTTTGCCTTGAATGCTTATTCCATGAGTTTTAGCAGTTTAATCCTTGGAGAGTGCATTGCTGCGTGGCAGTGAAGCAGTCCTTGTTGAGCTATGGCATGTTCTAATTTAGCAAGAAAGATCGCAGCACTTGGTGTGTATAGGGTTATGTTTTATGGGAGTCTGAAAGTGATATGTATAAAAACTCATCTATGATTATCTTGGCTTGGACATAATTGATAGTTTGCTGTTTATCAGTAAGGGGCAAGTATCAGTTAATTTTTTTCTTTTTTTGTGAAGGTAAATGAGCAAGAAATTGTTATTTAGTGAAACATTGATTTATTTAGCATTACAAATTCCATGAACAATCCAATTTATCTCTGCATAATGTGTCTTTGCTACAGGTTGAAATCAGTTGCTTATGTGTCTCACATCTTAAGCAGGAATGATACAATACATTGACAGCTCAAATGGCTTCTTATTTCAGTAATCAGAGCACCATAAAACCTAATTCCAACTGATTAAAAAAAAACTGAAATATTTCAGACCTACCCTCAAAGTAACCTCTACCTAGAATTTGTGTTCATCTTTTGTGTTAGTTTTCTGTTACTGCATATTACAGATTACAACAAATGTAGCAGCTTGAAACATTACACATTTTGTCATCTCACAGTTTCTATGGGTTAGAAAACCAGACATGGCTTAGCCGCATCTTCTCCTTAGTGTCTCACAAAGCCACAATCAGAATGTTGGCCAGGGTGCATTCTCATCTGGAGGACTGACTGATGAAGAATCTGCTTCCAAGCTCACTAAAGGTTGTTGTCAGAATTCATATATTTGCACCTGTAGTACTGAGAGTCACAGATTTTTTCTGGCCATTGGCTGCCCTCACCTCCTAGAGGCCACCTACAGTTTCTTGTCATGTGGACCTTCCCAACTTGGAGGCTTACTTCATCAAGCCATATAGGAGAGTGGAAGGAGTCTCCTAGCAAGACAGAGTCCTGTATGATGGTATAGAATCACAGTGTGACATCTCATCACCTTTGCTGTATTCTGTTTGTTAGAAGAAGCAAGTCACAGGTCCCACTTACACTCGGGAAGGAGGTTTCTAAACAAAGGTGTGAACACCGGGAAGCAGGCATCATGGGAGGGGCACCTTTAGTCTGTCTGCCACATCTCTTGTTTTTCTTTATAGTTTTACAACCTGTGTATGTATTTCTAAAGAATATTGTCACATTTGCATGCTTTTGAAACTTTGTATAAATGGAATTTTACTGTAGTTATTCTACAACTTGCCTTTTTTTAACTTAACATTGTGAGATTAATCTGTGTTAATGCCTCCTCCCGTAGCTCGTTTATTGTTCAGTGTGGCATAGGATTCCTTTACTTAAATGTATGTTTTATTTATACAATTTTTTGGTCACTATATATTTGCTGTTTTCGTTGTTTTTTTTTTTCAAATCTAAGCAATGCTACCTTGATTATTTTTGTATATATCTCCTTATGCACATTTACAAGAAATTCTAGGGAATATACCTATAGCAGAGTTGCCTTGGTAATCTGCTTAACAAGATAATTCCAATTTATTTTCTGAAGTAGCTGTGATTTACACTCCCAATAGGAGTGTTTAACAGTTCCAGTTGTTCCACATGCTCACCAAAATTTGGTTTTGTTAGGCTTTTGATTTGTGCCGGTCTGATGGGTATGATATGGTGTTTTGGAGTTTTAGTTTACATTTTTCTTATTACTCTTTTAATGCATTTATTGATCAATCTTGTGTTCTCATGTGAAGATATTAATAGTTCTTGGAGTCATTTCCCTGTTTTTCTGTTATGCTTCTTTATTGTTTTAAATACTGCTTTTCAGATGTCTTTTGTATATTCTGGATACTAATTCCTTGTCAGTTTTGAATTTTGCAGATTTCTTCTCCAGTGTAAAACTTGTTTTTACTTTCCATTTGGTACCCTTTAATAGGCAGAAGTTCTTAATTTAAATATAGTCAAATTATCATTATTTTATGGGTTTTGCTTTTTAAATCTTAAAATTGATATTAAGTCTATATTGAAGTCACAAAACTTTCTCTTATGTTTCCTTCTGAAGTTTAATATTTTACCTTTCACGTATAAATATTTGATTCAATGTTTGTGAAGAAGGGATCCAAGTTCATTTTTTCCTCATATAAATGTCCAGCTGTTCCAACATTATTGAGTAGTCTATCTTTATCCACTAATTTGCTTTGTCCACTCTTTCAGAAATCAGATTATTACCTATGTACATAGATCTGTTTCTGGACTAATTTTATTTTTTCTGTTTGTCTCTAACTGTCTCTGTTCGATGCTTTCTTCATTTTTCAATGTTTGACATCAAAAAGACCAAATCCCTTTACCATGTTTTTGTTTGTTAGTGTCTTGTTTGTTCCTATTTGCTCCTATATATCAAGTTTATGGTCAGCTTGTCAGCTTCTATGAAAAGCCCTGTTGAGGCTTCGATTGGAATTACTTTATGTCCATACACCTATTTGGCATGAATCAACATTTTATAATACAGCATCTTTCCATCCATTAAAGTATTAGGTTTATTTATTCATTTAGGTCATTTTAAATGTCTTTCATGAAGTTTTATAGTTTTATTTATAAAGAGTTTTGATCATTGTTATTAGATTTATTACCCACTATCTTATATTTTGTTGCTATTCTAAAAATCGTTTTAAATTTACATATTTTCTATTTATTGCTATTTATTTATGCATTTTCTATTCCTAATTATAGAAGTGTAATTAACTTTTTTATATTGATCTTGCATTTTTGCCACCTTGCTAAGCTGTCTCACTAATTATAATTTATCTGTAGCTTGTTTTAAGTGGATGGTCATATTGTGTAGATAATTCCATTTCTTTCTATTCAGTTCTTATAATTTTTCTATCCCTCCAGCCCATCTTTAGAGCTACTTTGAGAGTTGTCATTTTAGCAGAACACATACATTTAGATGTAACATGTGCCTGAAAGGTCATCATTTTCATGAAGTTTCTAGAGTCTACCCTAGCACAGGGGCCTCTCCTTACTCTGAACCTTTATGAATTTACTTGCCTATACTACCTTTTTGTTGGTCACCCTATGCTTGTGATGTTAATCATCTTTGTTTATGTTGTATGTCAGCCATTTTTTCTCTTCATAGCATTAGGGCAGCACCCCAGGCCTATGAGCACCAAAGATAGGTTGATTGGTTAATTGAAATGCTTTCTGGATACTTGCATTTATATGGTGGATATATTTCTGAAAACGTCACACAATACAAAATTTGAATCATTTGAGACAATAGTTCCATAAGAATAAATATGATGTACGGGGAGCTAATAAATCTAATGTACTTGTACTTGTATATTTTTGCTGTAAATGTACTCTGTCCTCTCATTAGTGTTCCTAATATATCACAGCATGCTCTTCCATATGAACAATATAGCATATAATAGCAGTTAGGCCTTTTTTTTTTTTGGCATTTTTATCACATCTAACTACCCTTCCAAAGTTATTTTTATATGTTACTTGGCACTAGCACCAGCCCTTGTTGAATACTTGAAGAACATTATAAATAAAACAACTTGAAAGGATAATAGTAATAATGAGTTTTCAAATGATAGCACAGTAGTCACCAGAACTGGTGTATGACATGGTTCACATAAATAACCAGGGACTGTGAGGATCAGCTAAAGTGACAATACCAGGTCACAACAGAATTTATGTTACTTAGCCATAAAGCTTATGATTAAATGGGAATCTAGACAATTTTTTAGTATTTGAGAAGTTTCAGTATTTCAAATTTTATTCATAAAGTGAGGCATATTTTATCACACCATTTCAAATGTTCATATTTCAGGTTTACATGAAATGTTGCTATACCATATCTTACTGATGAATAAAAATAACTTTACAAATACCAGTTAATGCTTCCAAATGCCTCCTAACTTGTCTTCAATCATTTTTCTTTGCCCAGGTACCATTAGGCTTCTCAGCTCCACCAGATGGCCTCCCCCAAGTCCCCCACATGGCATACTGTGCTCTGGAAAACCTGTATCTTCTGATGGGAAGGGAACTGGAATATCTAGAGGAGGTACCTCCAGGAAATGTGCTAGGTAGGGTGATGCTGTTTATTTTATCCTTACTCCATTCTAGGAGATTATCTAACATGTCACTGAAAATTTAGTGAAATTTTTGAAGGGAATAACTTTATTCTTTAGATTGATAGTTTTTTTTTCTGGTATCTTTAACTTAGTACATTTGAGTAACTAACATGGAGATCAGTTACTTGCTGTGAATTATAGTAGTTCTGTTTTTAAAATGTATTGCTTAAGTAATTTGTAAATGCTCTAGCCTAAGCTGGAGTTCCATCTATTTCAGAGTGAGAGGAGAAATTCCTGTTCACATAAAGTCAATCTAGATGACTAAGGCATTTCTGGTTCTACAGATTAGATTCTAAATTGTTGGAAACTATTCTGATGTAAAGGTCTATTTAAACTCATTGCTTTTATCCTTTGAGTATTGCTTTGCTAAGATTAGTTGATTGTCAGTTTATATCTGTAAATATTATTCTTCATCTCCTTAGTGTTGTCACTTGTTTGACTTCTGCCCCTCATTTGCAGAATTCACTTTTTCAGTTTCTTAGTGCAACCTTAAAGACTCAGATTAAGAAATTTCTCTTGCATCCAGAGTGTATTATAGAATACTGTATCCCATTGTACTGTTAGATTCTGAACCTTAAGGTCATTGTCAGCTATAGAGCTATTTATTGAGTGATTGCTTGGTTTGGGAATTCTCCGCTTTTTAGAAAAAGGTTTAACTTTTTTAAAAAGGTCTAGTCTGTTGGTCCAGAATAGCTAATGGTTTGTCTGGATTTTATAGACTTGAATCCAAGAAATTTGCCAAAGCATGTTGCCGTTCACCTACAGAGATATATTCTTTTCTTTATTTAATTTTTTGGCATGAAATTTGTAGAATGCTTAGCTTCTCATCGGTGTTACCTATTTTCTTCCATCCCTTTGGAAAATGCCGTTTAACCTTAACAATTGATATACCTTATTAAGCTGCCACAGTCAACTTTATTAGAAAGGACATTGGAAGAATGGAAAACACCCTACTTTTGTTCATAAGCCTTCCTTGAGATTACTGTATTGCTCAAATTAAATGGAACATGAAGTATAAGATCTCCAGCATGATGCTCAAGGGAAAGAAAAGGTATTCTGCTGAGTGAATGGTTTTTATACGATCTTCTCTAATTAAGGCGTGGTGTTTGTGTTGTTTCCCTAGTACGGGATGAGAATGAGGGATACATTAGTTTCTGGTTTTCTTTTTTCTTTCTGTTGCTGAATTTCTAGATGCTGTCCAGGACTGAGGTTAAGTGGTGTATAAGGAGAGAAACCACTTCTCTCTTCTGCTTCCCAAGGCAGCCTCAGCTCTGCCATATGGTACAGGGAGACAAACTTACTATAAGCTAAAATTTTTCATTTATTCTTGGAGAAGAGATATACCTTGACTTCTTTTATTGACCTTTTAAAAAAGTGAGATGGTAGCATAACATGGGGTAAGGATGAAGGTGACTAAATCTTTGTTTACCAAATTTACTTATATAAGACTAAGCCAGATGGACAACCACTTTGTTTGGATAGAAAAGGAAAAGCCAGATTTATTTCCTATAAGAGTTAGGATTGTATTTAGCTGCAAGTAACCAGAAAACCAACTGCATAGTCTTAAACTTCACTCAGTAGAAAGCCCAAGGGTGGACAGTCCAGGCTTGGTGTCATGACTCTTCTGTGTCATCAGGGAGCCAGTGGCTCAGCATGTGGCTTTTGTCCCCGTAGAAGCAAGATGGCCTTATATCTCTGAAAATCATACCCACATTCCTCGCAGGAAGAGAGCACAAGGGTCAAGACCTTCTAACAGGATTAATGTTTTTATTTGGAAAGAAATGCCTCTCTAGTGACTTCTGTATATATGCTCATTTTTGTAATTTTGTCATATGTCCACTCCTACCTGCCGGGGAGGCCTGGGATTGAGTGTTTTACTCTTCCAGCCTCTGTAGTTAAGGCAAAAGATATTGGGGTTGTGAATGGCTTTTGAATAGCCAGTCCACACTCTTAGCTGCATTCGCCTTCCATTCACCTGGTGATGCCTGAGGTGCCTCCATTAAGGTTCTGTTTTCTTTACATTAAAGAGAAAGATAGTCCACCAGAAGGATTTTGAGTGTAACATTGAAGGAATTGGAATGCAGCGGCCACTTTGATGGGGCTTTTTGAATTGAAACATATAGTAATTGTTTTTCTTTTATTAATTGAAATCTGATTGAGTCCCCTGCATGACTAGAAAGCATGAGTATACCAAAATTCTGGCCATAGTTTTGCCACTAACTAGTTTTATGGCCTCAGGCCAGTTATGTAACCTTACTGGGCTTGTTTCCCAAATGATTTGGACTAGGGCAATGATTACTAATACTTCTTATGATAGAAATAGAACAGCCACTTTTAATTTTTTATGAGAAGACTGTGGATTCCCAGGGATACTTTTGTTTATCTTAACCGGGATTTGTCATAATCCTAAACTTTAAAGATAAAACATTAAATAACATTGCATGGAGTACATTTTATTGCTGTAGCTATAAAATACTAACAAAATTGTATTTGTAATTTTTTTGGTAAAATACAAACAGAATTGAAGTTTCAAATTGTCATTATATGATGGCAGGTTGACATCCTAGGTGGAGATGGAGTGAGGTAGACATTTTTTACTTAAGTCATGAAGATCTTCCTTGGATTTTGCTTGAAAAAAGTTCTAAACTAGATTATCTTCAAGATTGCTTCTAGCTTTTAACATTTAGGCTGTGTTTCTTAAAGAAAAACCTTATTTGAGTAATTAGGATATTTCCCTCCCTAGTGTTTATTAGGAGGAAGAGTAAATGTTTTGATATGATTATCTGGGTTGATTGATAACCCATTTTAATGGCGTCATTAAAACATCTTGAACTGGTTACCTGCCTCAAAGTCATAGAATTACTTTTTTAGGCAAATTTTACTTGTTCCTTGATTAAAAGTATGTAGCATATGTTAGCAGTAGCAGCAGTCTCAAGCCAGGGTGTTTATTAAAAGCAACTTTTCAAAGCTAGGAGTAAGTTTAAGACAGGACAGAAGAGGCCAGAGAGTCTGGTATATTAAGGGGTAAGAAGAAAACTGCCCAAGAGAAGGCTAGCTGCCAGCTACAGGTAATAAATGCTGGGGTTCCAGCTTTTGGCTTTCTAGGGTGAGTTGATGGTGACCAGGTATGTCAGCACGTTTTTATTTTTCTTTGAAACAGATTTGTCTTCTCAGGTAGTTTTGAAATGGAAAGAATAAGATGGCTGCATTGGGCTGAAATAATCTATATGCTCCAATTACCTGTTGTTGCATAATAAAACACTCAAAGTCTAGTGACTTAAAATAAAGATGGTCCTTATTTTTTCAAGCATCTGCCATTCAGGCGTGGTTTGGTGGGAATAGCTTATCTCTTCTATGTGGTGTCTATTTTTTTTTTTTTTTTGAGACAGAGTTTCCCTCTTGTCACCCAGGCTGGAGTGCAGTGGAGCAATCTCGGCTCACTGCAACGTCTGCCTCTTGGGTTCAAGTGATTCTCCAGCTTCAGCCTCCCGAGTAGCTGGGATTACAGGCACCCACCACCATGCCCACCACCTGTATTTTTAGCAGAGACAGGGTTTCACCATGTTGGTCAGGCTGGTCTCAAACTCTTGACCTCAGGTGATTCACCCTCCTTGGCCTCTCAGAATGCTGGGATTACAGGTGTGAGCCACCACGCCTGGCCCCACGTGCTGTCTATTGAGACGGCCCAAAGCCTGGAGTCTAAAGTCATATGGAGGGTATTTCAAGCACATGTCTGGGGGCTGATGCCAGTTGTTGTCTGGAACCTTGTTTGGGAGTAGAACTAAGGCCTTTCCATATGGCTGCTTGGCTTCCTTGCAGCATGGTGGCTAAGTTTTACAGGTGAGCGACCCAACAGGGAGAGCCAGGAGGAAGGTATATCACCTTTTATGACCTAGCCTTCAAAGCCTTCAGCCCCACTTCTGCCACATTCTGTTTATTAGAAGTGAGTCACTGCAGCTGGCCCATGTTCAAAGGGAGGGAACTGACTCTGCCTTTTGATGGGAGGCATGTCAAAGTATTTGTGGATATGTTTTAAAACGACCACATTGCTAATCGTAGGTAATTTCTTGTTTCCTTTTGCATTTTAACAGACTCATGACAGGACACATATAAAGAGATGTTCATAGTGATCAGGGCACGCCTGTAAACTTCGTCATTTTTACTTTTGTTAAAAAGTTGTAATTCCTATGTAATAGGAAAATAGTGGAGACCAATATGATTGGTACCCATATGCTTTTCATCATAAATGATACGGAGTCAGTAAATTTATCAAGTGCAGATGAAAATTTTTGTTGGAAAAGGAAATGAAAACATTACATGGCATTCTTGGACAATTCAGCATTATTCAGTCAAAGTCCAAAGGAAAGTTCTTTTATTGGCACTTGAAAAATGCAGATTTCACATTTGAACTCAGCTATAAGTCACTTAGAGAACTTATATGTGCTGATAAGTGTAGAATAGATTTTGTGGTCTGGAAATAGTTGATTTAAAGTTTAAAGTTATTTAATTCTAACCTGATGTTTATAAAGTTGGTATAGATGGGACCAGAGAGACCTCACCATGTTTAGCACACAATAGCCTTTTGTTCTTTTCCCTACTAAGAATATCTCTAAAAATAAATGTTTGCTGCAGGCTCCTATTAAAATGTGAGGGGAAATTGAATTAGGATTCCAAATCTTTAGGCTTTTCATATACTCCTTTAGATCTCTTCCATATGGTTAAATCTTTAAAAGTTCAAGGACATATTCTGAGAGGAAACATGATATTCTTCTTTTCACAGCATGAGGAAAATAATAAATTTTAATTAGCCTTTTTCTGAACTGGTTTTAGGTCTGCCATGGTTGGTTGCTGGGTTGATAGGAAGTCAGTGTTGATAATCTGTGTGTGTGTGTGTGTGTGTGTGTGTGTGTGTGTGTGTGAGAATCCTTAGTCACGTGGGGTAATCTAGGAGTCAGAAACCTTTGAAGGGTTTTTACTAGCAAATTTGATGTAATTTATTTCAAGGGAAAGCTTAGTGTAGTATTCAGTTCTTAAGACTTTATGATACTTTTATAATGTTTTTAATTCACTTACTAGTGAATTTCTTTTAAATGTACTTTATTATCAACATTTCCATTTAGAGATAATCTATTTTAATGAGTGAAAACCTAATAGTCATTTCTTAGTTTTAAGAGTTTCAACTGATTTTAATGGCTTTTCTTTTACAGATAATAATGATTTTATTCTCTTTTTTCCTAATAGTTGTGTGTCATATTTCTTTTTATTTTCATATTGCTTATAAGAATATGGTACATAATAATAATTACAGTTGCTATTTTGTCTAGTTCCTTCCAGACTTTAATGGGAATACTTCTGGTGTTTTAGTTTCAGGTTTGCTGATGCCTGTCGATTCATGGTGTCTCTTATTTATTGTGCTGGGAAAGTTATTTTTTTTTTAATAATCAGGAATGGATACTGAATTTTATTGATGCATTCTTAGCATCTGAAGACAAAGTTATAGAGTTTTTCTTCTTGCTGTAATTGATATCATGAATTATATTTAATTTCCTGATTATTAAGGCATCCTTGAATTCCTACGTAAAAAAAACAGCACTCGATCATTGCATATTCTTTTCAACCTCTGTTAGGTTCAATACACTAGCATTTTATCCAGACTTTTCTTGCATTATAAGTTAAAATGGCCATTATTTTCTTGGTATCATAATACCAAAATGGGAAGCTTTCATTTTTTTACCCTCTACAGCTGCACTCTCCATTTGGTAGCCACTAGGTACATTCACTTACTTAAATTTAAATAGATTGAAATCAAATAACATTAAAAGTTTACCCATCAGTTGCACTAGCCATATTTCAAGTGCTTAATAACTATGTGTGGCTAGTGGTTACCGTATTGTATAGTGTTGCTCTTGAGAAATGTGTATATGATGTAAGAATTACCTTTTCTTCAAAAGTTTTGAAATAGTTCACTTGTAAAACTAACTGGGCTTGGTGCATAAAATACTTGATTCTTTCCATCTGGTAAACTTTATCTTTTTCATTTTCAGTTTTGTATATTTGTGTTTTCTTGTTTTATTTCTTTATTATAAATTTTTGTTATTTTATGTAGTTTTGTATAGAGTTAACATTTTAAAGTTCTTTTTAAAAGATAACTTTCAGTATAGTGCAAGCCATAATATTGGTGCATTTGAAAATGCAGATAAGGCCGGGTGCTGTGGCTCATGCCTGTAATCCCAGCACTTTGGGAGGCGGAGGCGGGTGGATCACCTGAGGCCAGGAGTTCAAGACCAGCCTGGCCAACATGGTGAAACCTCGTCTCTACTGGAAATAGAAAATTAGCTGGCCGTGGTGGTGGGTGCCTGTAATCCCAGCTACTCAGGAGGCTGAGGCAGGAGAATTGCTTGAACCCAGGGGAGGCAGAGGTTGCAATGAGCCGAGACCGTGCCATTGCACTCCAGCCTGGATGACAAGAGTGAAACTCCTTCTCAAAAAAAAAGAAAAAAAAAAAAAAGTCAGTTATTCTCAACTTTGAAAATGCAGATACGCCAAATAAGAGTTATTGCTACCTATAGGGGTAACCATCAGTCTTTTTCTGTCCATATATGTGCATATTTTTAAAAATTGTGGTAAGAAAACAACATAAAGTTTACCGTCTTAACTATTTTTAAAAGTATGCACTTCAGTAGCATTTTTTTTATTTAAAAAATCATACTTTGTATACTGTTTTTTAACCTGTATATTTTTCTCTTGGAGACAATCCCTTCTCTGAATATAGCTTTCCCTGCCTTCGTTTAAATGCATTTGCTGCAACTTTCAGAACAGTGTTAAATAGCGCTGCAATAAGAATCTTTGTTTCATTTGTTAAGTTAGAGGAATTTATATATACATGTTATCTATATATGGTGTGTGTGTGTGTGTGTGTGTGTGTGTGTATGTGTGTATGTTAACCTGAGATTATGTCTACTTTTTATAATGAAAAGGAAGTATCCTCCTTTTTCTATTTACTAGGTTAATTTTTAAAATGTGGGTAGATAGTGAATGGTCTGTTCTACATCTTTCAGGTGACACATATGAGGTGTTTTTTTTTTGATCCACTTATGCCATGAATCATATTAACACATTTCCTAATATTAAGCCAGTTTTTATTTCTGGAATACAGTATTAGGTGAGTGTATTTCAAGTATGTTATTGAGCAGTGAACTCAGTTTGTCAGTAGTTTAGTGAAATGTTTATATTTGTAAGTTTGGTCTGTAGTTTTTTGTGTATATTTGTATTTGTGGAGTTTTGATATCAGCATTATATTAGTTGCATGAAACAAATCACAAATTAGGGGATGGTTTTATTGTTATCTATTCTGTTTAAATGGCATAGGAATTTTCTGGTCCCTAAAATTTTGGATATTAGCATCTATGAAATCAGCTATATTTGGTTAGTTGTTCATTGTTATTGTCCCTTTCAGGTTCTTTTTACTGTTTCTTATGTCAGTTTTGGTACTTCATGCTCACAGATAATCAGATTGACTATCCAGTTTATTTGTAATGGAGACCAGTATTAATACTGACAATACTCATGACAATAATTAATATCAGGGCTTACTATGTGCTAGAAATTATACTAAATTTTTGGACGTGATTATCTTCTTTATTCCCTGCCAGGTGAGGTACATACATTTCACAGATGGGAAAATTGACACAAAGATTAAGTAACTTTTCATGGTCCCAAAATAATATTTATTCAGATGAGATATTTATCTACTTCTGTATCTTTAGTTTATTTAAACTCTTTGTTTCCATATTGCTTGAGTTTTTTCCTTTTCTCTTGATGTCTTACTGATGATTTGTTACATTGTATCTTTCCTTCTACCCTTAAAGACCCCATTCTTTATATATTACAGTCTTCTAGTATATTATGTATTATCTTTAAGTCTTGGTTCCTGCTTATCATAGATGATTTTATATTTTAATTTTTAATTTAGATTTGATTTGTTTTCTTCTCAAAGGAAATCATTTATGGTCTGAATCTTAGTAAAATTTGGACTGAATTTCTTTGATTTGATACGCTATATTCTGTTTATCATATTTTTATGTGTACTCTTATTCAACGCTTTGCAACCAGTGGATTACAGTTGCCTTTTACAGATATGACAAGCCACTGATTTCTTTAGCTCTTGAAGCTGCTGAGCAGGTTATGGGAAGGTGGGAGTTCCCTTGTCTATCACCCAGATCAGATTGTTAGCATACAGGTTGATAAAATGCTTATTTTACAACTTAAGATGTGTCCATTAATTCTCATTTTCACTGTCTGAAGTAATTGGCAATGACTAAGTTCTTTTGAATACATAGATTAATACAGTTTCATAATCTAATGACTGTTTATCTACTAATAAGCCCATTGCTGCTGTAGATATTATATAAGAACAAAGGATTCTTTGATGGGAATTACCTTCCCCTCCATCTTCAAAGAGTACATTCCTCTTTTACTCTTAAATGACATTTAACAATGTAGAGACCAGATAATTAGGGAAGATGAAATAAGAGATAATTGGAACAGTTTTTTTGAAATTTGTCAGTTAAAGAAGGAGCAAAATGGATTAACAGTTTGAAGGAATAGTTGAGTCAAAGGAGTGTGTGTGTGTGTGTGTGTGTGTGTCTTTGTATTTACTGGAGTTTGATTATACTTGTTGTATCAGTGGAAAAGAGGTAGGAAAAGAGGAAAAATAAAAGATGCAGTGAAAAACTTAAATGATTAATAATACAAGGTTTATAGTCTCTCCCAACTCAACAATGTAGAAAACATAACAATCTGTTAAGAAGAAGGAAGGTTTGGGACAGAATAAGATTCCGAAAACTGGTAGATGCATGGAAAAGCCACAACGAGCATTTGCTAGCAAATCATTAGATTATACCTTGACTAAATTGGACGGTAATGAGGTTCTGGGAAGAAGTAGAGATAGGGAGTCCAGTGAGCATTACATAGACATTGAAATATAAGACTGTTTTGAGTAAAGTGCCAGAGGGACTATAGGCTATTCATGATTGGAGGCTTCCCTAGTTACAAGCTTGGAGAAAATGCTTGTGAGACCATCTTCTCTCAAGCATTAGGTCCTCTTGCTTCTTGTTGGGAAAGAGGGGACAGTCTGCCCTGCCATAGAGCCACCTCCTGCAAACTCAGCTGATACGCTTGTTGCAATTTCTTCATTTCCATCTGTGGTTTTGGCCCTACTAATCCTATTTCAGGTACAGTAGTTGAAAAAGTGAACAATTGTATTTAGAACTTGCACATAATAATGAATAGACTGCAGATCATATTCTCTTCCAAAGATATGCTGGAAACATACTTCGTGAGTTGAGTATTTATCAGCATAGTTGTCATGCGAACACTGGGCAGGCCAGAGAGGCCAGAGCCTGGAATTTAGCTAAACTAATAAGACACTAGCAGGTCAAATGTCAGATATAGGAAGGAGGAAAGAGTAGGTGGGCGGTAATGAGCCAAGCAAAGGTCATGCTCAAGGAACAGATAGTGAGACATTTGACCTCTATTCTTAGTATTTTTTAGCACATGACAGAATGGGAAAATAATTTGACATTTATATGGTTTCATGCAGGTTGGGAAGATATCCTTGATGGTTCACACAATGGTCTTCTTGTTGATAAGTTCAGATTTGATTTTTTCCAACAGAAAAGCAAGTGATTGTCAAAAGGGTTTTGAAGAAGGTGGAAATATACTCTCTTATGCCCGTAAATTGATACAGTCTGATTGGAGTGCAAGTTGTAAGGCAGGGGTAAATTGGTTAAGTAGATTTTTTTTTAATTTCCAAAAAGAAAGGTATTTTTTTAAAGACTATGAAGATAGCTTGGGGGAAAGGTGATTTTCAGTTATAACAGTAAGTATGAATTTTGAGTAGTGGCAGTTATTATAAAGACTTGGCAGGTCTTTCGGTCTTTCCAGAAAATGTAAAGTATATGATTAGGAGAAAGGTGATATTGGATAGAGAAACATGTTTCTAGTATGACCTGAAACATGACATGTGGCAGACATTAGATGTGAAGTAATCAAGGAAATGCATTTTAAAATCTCGGTGAGATGTCCTTTCATAACCATTAAAATGACAGAAATGTTAAAATCTGACAATGTTCTGTGTTACAGATATGGAGCAGTGAAAACATTTGTAAACTGTTGTTGTAAATTGATATAACCACTTTAAAAAATACTTGACAACAGGGTGTAGCAATCCCACTTCTAGGTGTGTATCTTAGAGGAGCTTTAAGTACACTCTTGAACAAAGAGACATGTACAAAGATATTTATAGTAGCACTGTTTATGAAAGCAGAAAAAGGGAAGCACCCTAAATATCCATTGGCAGAAGAATGGATAAGTAGATTATGGTGCACAATGGAATATTATACATTCGTGAAAATGAATGAAGTACATTATATGTATCAACTTCAGTCAGTCTCACAAATATAATTAATTTTAAAAACAAGCAAGTTGCAGACAATTTATATAAAGGTTAAAAATATATGGCTGGGCGTGGTGGCTCACGCCTGTAATCCCAGTGCTTTGGGAGGCCGAGGGGGGCAGACTGTGAGGTCAGGAGTTCAAGAATAGCCTGGCCAACATGGTGAAACCCCGTCTCTACTAAAAATACAAAAATTAGCCGGGCGTGGTGGCGGATGCCTGTAGTCCCAGCTACTCGGGAGGCTGAGGCAGAGAATTGTTTGAAACCTGGAGGTGGAGATTGCAGTGAGCCAAGATCGCGCCACTGAACTCCAGCCTGGGCGACAGAGTGAGACTCCTTCTCAAAAAAAAAAAAAAAAATCCAAAAATGAAACCATGTAAGTGCTGTATATTGTTTAAGAACAGATATATATGTAATAAAAATAAATGCACAGAGAGATAAACAGCAAGTACAAGATAATGGGTATCTTGAGAGAGGACATGATTGCAGAGAAGTACACAAATATTGGTTAAGGTCTGTTCCTTAAGATGAGTAGTGGGCCTATATTGTCTGTTTTAGTTTTCTTTTACCTTTTTTTTTTTTTTTTTTGAGACGCAGTCTTGCTCTCTCGCCAGGCTGGAGTGCAGTGGCGCAATCTTGGCTCACTGTAACTTCCGCCTCCCGGGTTCAAGCGATTCTCCTGCTTCAGCCTCCCTGGTAGCTGGGACTACAGGCGCCCGCCACCACGCCCAGCTAATTTTTGTATTTTTAGTAAAGACGGCGTTTCACCATGTTGGCCAGGATGGTCTCAATCTCTTAACCTCGTGATCCACCCGCCTCGGCCTCCCAAAGTGCTGGGATTACAGGCATAAGCCACCACACCTGGCCTTACCTTTTTTTATATCTTAAATATTATCTAATTTTTTCTTTAAAAATTTAAGGAATAATATTAGTATATTTCCTTGACATTGTTGATGCTGTCTTGTAGAATTTATCCCATATAATTGAGTGGAGAGGTAAAAAGTGTTTAATTTGGAAATAGAATATTTTGGGTTAAATTTCTAGTTCAGCTAACTTTTTAGCCTTGTAGCCCGGGGCAACAGGCCTCTCTGATCTTCTCTTCAACCTCTCTGATCCTCTCTGATCCTCTCTGATCCTCTCTTCAACCTCTCTGATCCTCTCTTCTGCCTCACCGATCCTTGGTTTCTTATTTGTGAGCTGAGGATCATGGAAGGCAGCTCTGAAGATCCAGTGGGATGATGCACATTATTTTGTTTAAAAAAAAATCAAAAGGCAAAATGTTAATTAAGCAACGTCATTGTTATCATTGATTTCCTTGGGAAGTATTATCATTAATAAATAGACCTCCAAAGTCACACATAAAGAAAGAAAATGGTAAGTGAAGCACTTAATTATGAAGATTAAAGAATGCTTTCCACTTTTAAAAAATATGTCATTTATTTAAATGCAGTTCTTTTTTTATCCAGAGAATTTAAGTAGGCTACTAGAAAAGTAGGAAAAGAGTACTTTTCTGGGGGAAAAGTACTAAAGTACTCTTTTGTTCTAGTGAAGTTGATCTGAAAGACGTCCTCCAGCAATATATGTAGAAAAGAAATCAGATTCACTGTCTGTTGCTGAAACTCTGACTTTCCCTCTCCATTCCTATTCAGTGTTGCAAAGATTCAAAACTTTTTGATAGCTTTTAAGAGGAAGTTTGAAATTGCACAGGTGATAGAGGGAATTAGTTTTTCTGAGAACCAAGGCAAAAGGAGTGAATCCTTAAAACTCCTGAATTGTCAACATTGATGTTGGAGCCCCACTCCAGATTCGGGTTGGAGTGTGACTCCGCAAGTAGACATTTTGGAGAAGGAGGAGTGGCTGATGCAGAACCTGTGGCTTAAAGTAGGAGGAGGGAGAGAGTTTTCTACTGGGAGGCATATGTATTAATACAAGCTTACAGACAAAGTGGAGAAGGAAACAGTAGTAACCATATTGTCCCAGATTCTTCTCTGACAAGCCATATGCCTGTTCAACAAAGCCATTAGCTGTGTGGGGTAGATTCAGAGTGAAAGTTTGAGTTCTTTTTTTTTTTTTTTGCAAGAAGTTATTAACTATAAAAATGGGCATATGTTCTTCTAAAATGATATTCTGACAAAATAATGGTTCACAAATACAAAGCAGCCCACACAATTGCAGTATAATTTGTTTTATTAAAATAAAAGGATATATATATATATATTTTTAAGATATCATTTACAAGGAAAATCCTCAACTGAACCTCCAGAATTATATTAAGAGCAGTAGGGGGTTGAAAGCACGTAGATTCTTCCTGGAATAAAATACATTATGGTCTTTTAAAAAAATACTTGGCCTTTTTCTGGTTTTATACATGGAGTGAGGAGAGTTAGTTATCTTTGCTTAGGGAAGAAAGTCCCCCTCTCCTTTGTAGATGAGCACAGAGCTTTTACCTTCCTAACACCCAGACCTGCTGATTTAGAGAGGACTAACTGCAAATTCCCTAAGGACTGGGCCTCCCAAATCTTCACACTTAATTATTCCTGGTGAAGATCTCTTGAGTGTTCAGTGTATATTGGTTGAATGCATGAATCAATTAATCACTTAATAAGCTTAGGCGAGGGAATACATGAGCAGCCAGAAGCTATTTAGTGTTCATCATTTATTTCTTCAAAGTTTAAAATATTCTCAGGCAGCCTGGGCAACATAGTGAGACCCCGTTTCTACAAACAATAGAAAAATAAAAAAACAGGCATGGTGGCACTTGCATGTAGTCTCAGCTACCCAGGTGGAAGATTGCTTGAGCCCAAGAGGTTGGAGCTACAGTGAGCTGTGATCGTGCCACTGTACCCTGGCCTGGGTGACAGAGTGGAACACTGTCTTAAAAAAAAAAAATCTCAAGTACATAAGGGAGATAGAAAGTACAGAAATATTTCTTTAGAAGTGAACACATTGGCAGCCGGGCGCTGTGGCTCACGCCTGTAATCCCAGCACTTTGGGAGGCCGAGATGGGTGGATCACGAGGTGAGGAGATGTAGACCATCCTGGCTAACACAGTGAAACCCTGTCTCTATTAAAAATACAAAAAATTAGCCAGGCATGGTGGCGGGTGCCTGTAGTCACAGCTACTTGGGAGGCCGAGGCAGGAGAATGGCGTGAGCCTGGGAGGCGGAGCTTGCAGTGAGCCAAGATCATGCCACCACACTCCAGTCTGGGCAACAGAGCAAGACTCCGTCTCAGAAAAAAAAAAGAAGTGAACACATTGGCTTTTCGGTATAAATCTACTGGAATTTTAGATGAAAGCAAAATACTTTCTTGGTCTGAACATTTCTTATTAAAGAATATCAGGGTAGTGATGTTTTAATGTGTTCGGATTATTCAACTCCCAGAGCCAAGATGATGTTATCACTGGGGATTTTTTGTTTAGCTCAGATAGTACACTGAAACTAACTGGTTCTTCCTGCCCTCACTGTGTTCTGGGAGGCTCCCAGGTATGTCCTGGACTGAAAAAGGCGAGGCCGTTTGATGTTAGAGAAGCAGAAATATTCTGAGTATCTTTCTGTCCTTTTCTCTGTGCCATGGTCCAGTCAACAGGAGGGGAGAACATTGTCCTAGGCTTTTGTAAAGCCAAGATTACCCCCCAGAAGCTGCTTGGAGCCGGTTTCCAGTCTCCTGAGCTAAGGTTGCTCCCAAGGGAAGGCAAGACTCAATTGCCTCTGCCTAAAGTTGTTATTTTGTATAGTATTCTCATAGGTGTGCTGTATAGACTTAAGCTCCACTACTGCTTTCTCTCTTTTTTAAAAAAATTCTCTTATTTTCTACCATTTATTTTGGCATTTGTACTCTTCCTTGCGTTTTTCTTTGAATGTTTTACGTTCTATAACTCTCATGTGCCTGGCTAAGCCTTTCTAGGGCATGACCCAGGTAACGCATAAGCTGGGTATTCAGGTTTGTTTTTTTCCCGATGCATAGGTGTTGTGCCAGCACAGTATATCAGATAAACTTGCCCCTGCCCCTGCTTCCTTCCCCGCTGTTTCACTACCACGTTTCCCACACATACTGTAGTTTGTTTCTGGATGCTGTTTTCTATTCTGATGTATTTGCCAGCCTGTATTGTTTGATTTTGAGGGTATCAATAATTCATTTTTGAATCTGGTTCTGTCACTTTTAGCTTTAATAATTGGGGGCTATTTTTAAACATTTATTCTATAGGAACTTGAAATGATTTTATCTCCTGCGATACATTAAATGTCTATGTTAAGACGTCTTATTTACAGAAGTAAATTATGACCACTCTTTTACTGTAAAGGTAATTATATAGAAAAAGCTAAGCAAGTTGCCTTCCTAGGGCTGACTCCTACAGGTGTTATCGGTGTATTCTTCCAGACTTCTATCTATGCATAATACATGCATACATAGTAAGAAATAAATTCATGTGTGTGAATTTAAATAAGTTCACTAGGGAGCTAAAGCTGGGACTGCAGCTTAAACCCAGCATTATGTTGTTCTGGTTTCTTTATTATTACCAAATAAATGATTTGAAACAGTTAAAATCATCCCAGCACTAGTCTCTTTTGAGGGAGCGGCCTTTTCCATTTTCATACAAGGTCTTATTTTGCCGGCCGCAGTCCTAGCTGTCTCCAATTGAGCCAGAAGGCAGCAGCCAGAACTACTTTTGCCTGAGGGTCTTCCCTGAGACAAAGACTTCTGCCCTTGGCCTTCTTACTCTCGGATATTTGTGAAGCCCAGGATCTCTCTCTCTTTCTCCCTCTCTCTCTCTCAACTTCTGGAGCAACCAACTGCTATCTTAGTGTCATAAATTAATTCTAATATACCTGGGTGGCCTTTAATCTAGTTCCATTTTTCAAAGTTTTTGGCTTTTGGATAAGACCTTTTCCTGCATTGACATAGCCTCTCCCTAATTGTACCTGTTTTTGGAGTTGGGATTTGGAGGTGGAGGGATGTGAGAGAGGGAGGAAGGAATATAAGGTGTCTTTTATAAGCCTTCCTTTCTCAGGATCCAAAGTTTTTTAAAAAGAAAAGAAAACAGGTTTTTTTTAAAATATGCAGTGAACTATTTTTTTCCTCTGAAAAATGAAACCTTTATTGGCTTAATTTTGTACCCTAATCATTTACTCCCATTTATTTTGTGCTTACTGTTTGGTTCTATATTGATCACTAGGTTAGGTTTCTCATACTGGGTGCTTAGTCTTCCAAATTATTTATAGGTGCTTCACAGTTGATCGCAAACTAGTAAATAAGGCATCCTCTGGTAGGAGAAGCAGCACTGGATTTTACCAGTGGGAGCTCTGGCAAGTTGGCCACTTTGTGGGAATTTCCAGACCTGAATCTGCATCTGTGTAGAAGGAAGTTGAGGTAGATGAATCTCTATGGCCTTCCTTTCTCTCCTAGTTGGTTTTCCAAGATCCTTCCTCACCTTTTCCACTGCCCATGTCTTGGGTTTTCCTGTATTTCTTAGTTACGTTGCTGTTTTCAGTACCCTCTGTGCCCTCTTCTCTATCTGTGGATTGCTTTAAGTGACATTCAGACAGCCAGAGGTCCAGAGGCCATTTGACATAGAGGAATTCCATCCTTCCAAAGATCTCTTCTCATAAGCAGGAGTTTTTTGTTTTTTACACAAAACAAAACAAAACAGTTATCCTGATTGGATCCATGAGGACTAGCTCACTTGGCTGTGCCTCAGGAGAGGTCCAGAATGACTTTCTTGGACTTGAACGAGCTCAGAAGCATTGGCACTTTCTCGTTTACACTGGCCTTGATTTTGGGTAGAGGTTGAGCAGGCTGAAGTCCCCTCTCTGAAGCCATCATTGGATGGTAAAATGCATCTGCAGCCAGATGTTCCAGCTCTAGCAGGGTCACAACTGCACTGAGATGAACACAAGGGGGCAGTCTTTCCCACAGAATTTCGTCAGATCAGAGCGGAATTGAGTGCAGTTTCAATGTGAGCGCATGCGTGAGCCTGTGCTCTGTCCACACTAGTGCTCGTGTGTAAAACGTGTAGCCTGTAACTCTGTTTATAAAGAGCCTCAGGGTGAAGGGCATATGAATGCTGAGTAGATTTTGTGCTTCACTGTGCTACAGTTTCGTTAACACAACCCAGGCCTCCTCAGTGTAGGTTATAGACTATATCCCCCTGCCTAGCCCAGAGTCTTACACATGGCAGGCAGGCAGGTTGGTAGGTAGGGCAGGCAGCAGGTAGGCAGGCAGGCAGGCAGGCAGGCACTTTTTATTATTGGAGGCTTAGAGATGACTGAATCATTAATATACAGGAGTTGAAATTGATTTAGCCTGCTGTTTCAACCTGAAGAATGACTTCAAAGCAGTCATTTAAATTTATTTTTGCCTTTTTTTTTTCATTCTCCTGCCCCTCCTACCTCTCTTCCAACTACTAAAGGCATTGTTTCAATTGTATATCTTTTCTTTTATTTTTGTTTTCTCTTCATCTTGGAAATTGAGTTATGGCTCCTTTGGTTGTTTGTAGTTGGAAAAAGCATTATTATGAAAATATATGCTGTTTAGTGAACAATGAAGCAGAATATAAAATATCACTAATATCCTGAACCCCCATGCAATTAGAAGCACATTGTCACTAGTTTTGTTTTATGTTTCCCAGATGACTGTTAATTTAGCAGTTCAGCACATAATTGCATTGATGATCATATTTCAAAGGATTTGAGTCTATTGATTCAAGTGTAGAATTGAGGTAAAAGTTGTTATTCCTTCACTGTTGTATCTGAATTTGTCTTATTATTTGACTCTGTAATGGCTGGAAAAAATCTGAAAATCTGATATGCTTTGGAAATCAAAGGTAAATTTTATGTCCCCTGGGGGTAGGGGTAGGAGGGAAAGAGGAACTTTTTTTTTTTTTAGCTCTAAACAAAAGAAGCAATTAGTAGATTTATTGTATAATGGTTGTTTTTCTTCAAAACCACAAGTCTTCAATTTTTCTAAAACAATAGTAAATTTTCACTTTCTAAACAGTTTACGTAATCGGTTTCACCATATTTGCATATATTTTGTTAACTGATACTAACAGTGATGCCACAATTTGTGTGTGTGTGTGTGTGACTGAGTTTCGCTCTCTGTCACCCAGGCTGGAGTGCAGTGGTGCGACTTCAGCTCACTGCAGTCTCTGGCTCCTGGGTTCAAGCAATTTTCCTGCTTCAGCCTCCCAAGTAGCTGGGATTACAGGCACCCACCACCACGCCCAGCTAATTTTTGTATTTTTAGTAGAGACAGGGTTTCACTATGTTGGCCAGGCTGGGCTCCCAAAGTGTTGGGATTACAGGCGCGAACCACCGCTCCTGGCCGATGCCACAATTATTAATGCACTTGGAAGATATATCAAATTAGATTTAACCAACGTTTATTTAGTACCAACTGCATGTCAGATGTTCCCTGAGTCAGTTTTGTTTGTTTTCTTAAGCCTTGAAACAAACTTTGGTGGTAAATTTCTCTTCATTTTGCATATTAAAAAACTGAAAGGGTTTTGACTTGCTCAACAAATTACACTATCCCAGCCATTGCTATATTTTGCTATATTAGCTATAAGTTTATTTTCTGTGTAGTTGTAGAGCTGAGATTATTTGAAATACTGTTACTGATTCTCCTCACTTACTATGATTATTAAAAATGAAAATATGCTCTAATGATTTTTGACACTGTGCATATAGAACCCTTGAGTTTCATAGGTTCTGTAGGCCCTTTCTCCTATAAATAAAGAATGTGAGACTCACAGAGAGGCTGGGTCTCCTCCAAGCTTGGGCAGCTGATAGTTTGAGAGTTGATAGAACCCAGGTCTTTCCCTTTGTAAGGGGCAAAACCACTGGAAAGGACAGGCAGAGAAATAGCTGGGCTCCTCAAAAGGAAGAGAGAAGCTGACAGTGAGGATTTGTCAGTTCTGCTCAGTTTGGAAAGAGACGCTTCACTGTCTGCTTCTTCTGATCTTCCTGTGCTTCAGTTCTCAGCACTCGTGAATATACCACGATTTTCATGCCTCTGTGTCTCGGTACACGCTGTCTCTTCTCCTCAAGTGTTCTTTCTCCCTTCGTTGCCAGCTCAAATGTCACCTCTTGGAAGCCTTCCCCAACTGCGTCAGACAGATACATCTGGCTCTTTCCTTCCTTTGAGTTCCTATACTTCTTTTAATAGATCTCTCTTAGAACATTGATTCCTTTACATTGTTTGTGTTTTCAGTTAGTGTCTCGGAGCTCCTGGGGCAAGGGTCCTCATTCTTCAGGCATATCTCTGACATTGAGCCTGGGTGCACTTTACTAGGATGCATGTTCAAGTGTGGGTGGGAATGAATAAATGAATGACTGTGTGCTCCCCTCCCAGGTGCTGCTTCTGAGCACAGAAATGGAATAGAAGTTTGAGCAGGAGGAAAATGGAGTCTGTGGAAGTTCTAGGAGATATTCTTACAGTTACTCATTAGTTTTTTGGCATTTAGCTTCTCGGTTACATATGGGAAAATTGAGGGACAGCAAATCACAAAGAGAGACTGGAGGTCCAGCTTATTAGGAAACTTGAGTTTCTAGGATGTGGCCACCAGCTTGTGTACATCTTCGTTGATTCTAATGTTCACTGTGTTCCCCAAGAATTAATTTCTTCCAAGGGCCTACATCAGTTTAGAGGTGTAGAACTTGGAGTAGGCAACGAGGTTGGGTGTGTGTTTTTCATTAGTAGATATATTAATCTGCCCAGACATGAGATACACTAGCACTGTTCACAGCCTGAAAACACAGCTCTAAGAGTTTGTGGGTAACAGAACATTAGTCTTACTTAGGTCTTTCTAAATATCTTCACTCCTTAGAGTAACTTTGAGTGTTTTCTGGATTTGAGTTTGGCTCATTAAAGTCTGATTTCTACATAATTCAGATACATCCAGAGTTTTTTGTATAATACATTTGAAAATTTTCCCCTTATGAGATTAGACAAATTTATAACTGAAACAAAGTTCGTTAAACCTGTGCTAAAATATAAAATTGTCTTTAAGAAAAGCCCAAACAGGTAGAAAGTGACAGTTTACTGTATAATTATAATGATAATTTGAATGTATTGATATTCAACAATACATGATATAAAAATACAGTATTTCCCAAGGTCACGAATCATTACCAAGTTTAAATTTATTTTAAAATACAGCAGATCCATAGTTTTGTTCTTTGTATTCATCATAGAAATTTTTTGTGTATTCTATTTTGTTTTCTTTGCCTCATTGATTACTAGATTCCGAAAACAGGACTGTGGGAAAGTAGAGAAGCTGAGCATTTGAACCCATTAACTTCATCTCTCTTTTTGAGGAAAGCAAGCTATTTATTTTCGTAACTAGGGAGGCCTCATAACCTGGGTTGCTGAGGACATCCTGGTTTATGCCTGTCATCTTGGAGAAGTTATTAATAGTGTCGCCTTTCACTGTTCAAAATCCTAGCTTGGATGATGAGTTCTATGTGGTCACCCTTATTATCACTGATATATTCTGTCCTTGATTATTTTATGCTTTGATTTTAATAATTCTGTAAGTGCATTTTTGACTATACTTTTCTGCATTTTTAAATTCTCTGATGTTTTGGAAGGTATATCCTATTTTATTTCTATTAATAGCTGCTTTTTGTGTTTTTCAGATCATTCTTTAAATGTAAGTCAGTACTGAAATGTTCTCCTTTGTGTCCTACCAATTTAAGACTTAGACATTATAAGTTATTTGAGAATGGCGCCGGATTCATTTTTGTGTCTCTGGCAGTATTTAGTAATCTGCTTTGGACAAAGTACTCAAGAAATATTTATGGAATGAATCTTAGGAAGCAGTTTGGTTTTATCAAAATGAAGAGCGAAATTTGGTCCAGTCTAGAATGGTATAGATACCTCCCGATAAAGGAACTGGGATTGTGCTTGGGCTGAAGATCCAATCCGCCCATTGGCACTACTGACCAAACCCAACTGTGGAAAAGATTTCAATGATCTGTTTTAAACTCACCTAGGGACTCCCAAGTGAGTTTTCAGTAAAGTCTTCTTCAATTAAAGTTCTTTCTCTAAGATTACACTACTGCTAAGTATAAAGACAAAGGAATTTTCCAGTGCCAAGCAAAGACAGACAGAGAGTAGCCTGGTTCAGCCACTGTGGCTGCCCACCATGTTAGTGACAGCACTGTTTTCCAGAATGAGGAGAGTGAAGGCGGCGAGTTGGGTGGGAGAGCCCAAATGCAACAATAGTTTGCACGGCATGTAAAGAGTTCTTGAAAGAGGTTGAAGATTTTTGTAAGCACATTCAATTGATTGAGCCATGTGTATTTCCAAATAATAGATTTGTCCTCTTAATTTAAAGGAGACATATAATAGAAAGCTAGGTGTAGTCCCTAACAGTCAATCACTTACGAGCCAGAGGAGGGAAGAATGACCTTTTTCAGAATTTAAGTTGCAAAATACACCTTGTCCTCTGATAGGCAGTTTACAGTGCCTGACAAAATGAGTCATCTTTTTGTTTTGCCAAATTTTACTCTAGCTAAGTGCCTCCAAGCTTAGGCAAAATAAAGACAAGTTAACTGTTCTTAAATGTAATAATGCCATGGACTCTCATGAATAGAAGCCTTTGATAACTAGAAAATAGTTATCTTTGACTTTGTGTTCAAAGTATAGGGGTTGCTTATCTATAAAGCTGGAAGGGGATATAATTGGTTATAGATAAGGAAGGATGTGCATGAATTGAGTTCAGGTACTTTCTAAGTCCTAAGTTACTGCATAGCTGCTTAATACAGTGTCTAATACCTGATGGTGGTGCTCAGTATGTATTAATGGAATCCAAATTTCTTTCTCCACCAAGATCTCTGTCAAGTATATTTGATCATTAACTGTTCCATTTTCAGGATCCAGTAGTCACAAACTGTAGCATAATCCTAGGGTGTTTTATCTTACATTTTAAAAAAGTACGTAATTTGATTTTTTGTGTTTTAAAAGCAATACCCATTCTTTGTTAACAAATTTAGCTGGTAGATTTTTATTTTGGTTTCACTCATTTGAATTTCAAAAGTTATACATGCTTATTGTGAAAATCCAGACAATAAAGAAGTATCCAAATAACAGTCTCCTCATCTTTGCCACCACTTCTCTGATACAACCATTGATCACAAATCACCTTATAGCCTTCCATAGTTTTTCCTATAGTGCTCCCCTCACACATGTGCTTTTGTACTTTTTTTTCCTACCTCTCTTTCTTCTTTTTTTTTTTTTTTAATAAAAGTGGTATTGAATGTATTATCAGTTTGGTGCAGTTCAACAGATATGTATTGAGCTCTTGCGTACGTGGTGTCAAGAGCCACTGTACTATGAGTGTGTATAATCTCTGTCCCTGGGCAATTTCTCACATTCTCTTTTGTTGTATTTCAAATTCATTACTGTTGCTATTCTCTTTATAAGTTCACAAGGGCTTTCCACCTCATGGTGTTGTGAAACCCAAATAATGTAATGTTTATTAAAGCACTTAGTTAAGCATAAAGCAGTGAGCTATGACTGCATGATTACTAAGAATTGGTTATCCATGAATAATTCTAATTTTTGTCACTGCTAAAGGAAAATATGCTTCCTCTGCTTATATTTTAATTATTTCAGTAGGTTCCATATGTTTTCAAAACACCTGATTTTACTTACTGTATTTTTACTTTTTTTTTTTTTTTGAGATGAAATTTCACTCTTGTCGCCCAGGCTGGAGTGCAGTGGCACGATCTCGGCTCACTGCAACCTCCACCTCCTGGGTTCAAGCGATTCTCTTGCCTCAGCCTCCCAAGTAGCTGGGATTACAGTCACCCTCCACCACGCCGGGCTAATTTTTGTATTTTTAGTAGAGACGGGGTTTTGCAATGTTTGCCAGGCTTGTCTCGAACTCCTGACCTCAAATGATCTGCCCACCTCAGCTTCCCAAAGTGCTGGGACTACAGGCATGAGCCACCACGCCTGGCCTGTAATTTTACTTTTACATACAGTATGCCCAGCTTCTTTGTCTCAGCAGATGTTTTTTAAAAATTCCTACTAGGTATATCTTTAACAATTCTTTTTCTTCCATATTCTTGGCTATATTTGATAGACGAGAGTGATATTATAAGTTTTATTCTGTTAACGTGTTTTAAAGTCTAAGATTTCTTCTAGCTTGTATTCCATGTTCATTGCTGTTATTTTATCACTAACTAATTAGTTACAGCCAGAGATTTTAACTCAGTCGCAAATATAAAGCTCTTCTTTGTCAGAAAGACCACACACACCTCTTGAAAAGTTACTTTCAGATTTGATCACATAATTTCCAAGTGTCTTCCAAGAAAGTGAGCATGATGGCCCTGAGTGAAAAACTGTGGCACTTGACCAAAACCTCAGTTTGTTTCTAATCATGTATGGATGGAGTGTAATTTGATTAAAGCTGACTGGCCTGAAATGATCCCAGTAAGATGCTGAACTGGATCTGGATGAAAGTCTCACTATTTTCTGCCCTCATCCAAGCACTAAGGCATCACTGAAATTAATGAGTTTGGGATTTCATGTCCAAATCCATTTTTAATACTACCACCTTATGTTTCCATAGTACGGTACGCTTTTCAAAATGCTTTTATCTATAGTATTTGATCCGTGCAGTCTGCTTTTAGCTTCTATATTTCAAAGGCCAGTAATGGTTAGGTTGGAAGTAATACCTATCAGAATAGTGACTTTGAAACTTTGAAATCATTTCCAGGTGTTTTGGATAGGCTACATTTGAGTGATGAAACTTTAAACTTTCTTTTTTATAAAAGAAAACTTTACTGCTTGAAGTAACCTTTTTAGAAATTAGTAGCCCCAAAGGTTTCAGGGTGTGTTGTATTGTTCTTTTTTACAGTGAATGGGTGTAACTTACTGCAATGTGAATAATGCATAATATTTGTAAGGAAAAGTAGGGAAGTAGCCAAGGAGAAAAGATGGGACAAAGAAAACTGTGAGTTTTCTTTAAATATCTGAGGCAATGGAAAAGAATTTTAAGCAATTTCTTGACAAAAAAGACTCTCCTTTTTTTGATTACAGTAGGGATGCCAATGAGATGGAAAAAAAATCAAGGAGAAACGGAGAATAAAATAATGCCTGCACAGTATATATATTTTGGGGGCATTGTTGAGGTTGTACTTGTGATCTAATATCCATTTTTAAGTGTTTTGTAGATATTAAAGTTAATTTGCATGCGTACATATATATGTATATATACACATATAATAAATCCAGATATACATGTATTATATATCTATGAATAATACACATACATAACACATGTATAATAGATACTCCTATTAATCAGTATTATCACTTAGATTACTCAAGACCTGGAATATATATTTGGAACAAAAGTAAAATCCCTTATTATGATTCTACTTGCCAGCTCCTTATTATGGTCAACGTCAGGGCTCTGGGCCAGGCAGGAACTGAAGTAGACAGTTGGCCCTAACCACTGAACCACCTGCCTTGAGCCCCTTCAGGCATGAGAGATGGTGGAGAACCATCATCACCACTCAGGAAGCATGTGTCAGGGGCCCACTCTGTCCTGCGGCTCTACCTGCGTCCTCTCACTTGAACCTCGTAAGAACCTTGTTAAGTTGGGGTTATTTTGAGCCCTATTTTTCAGGTGAGGAAATGGGCACAGAGAGGTTATGACTTTTACACACAGAGTGCTGGGGCAGGGACTCAAACCCAGATCTGTCTCTTCTCTGGAGAGGTGCCCGCATTTGGAGGTGAAAACTACCCCTGTGGCCATATGACAGTCCACTGTGACCGGACACTGAAATGACCAGTCCAGGGGGCTTGTGGGCTGGGGTCTCAGCTTCACCACTGTGCTGCTGGGTGACTTCAGGCAAGGCCCATTCCTCTCTGGACCCTGGTTCCTCATCTGTGTACTGTGTGTGTGCGTTTTTTAAAAATCAGCTTACTTTTAAAATTTGAAATATGAAAGTAAACACAAAGTTAAAATAGCAAATGCTCAGCTTCGTGTACCATCTAATCCTGTTTTATGTATGTGCATGCGTGTGTGTGCGTGTGTGTGTGTGTGTGTGTGTGTGTGTGTGTGTGTTCTGGGCTACCTCAGAGATCCATTCTGGCTTTGAGTGTGGTATGTCCCATCTTGGGCAGGTCCAAGGGAAGGCATGAGCGATCTGGCTTTGGGACAAGTATGGGGCTGGCCCTAGGGCCCGGATGCTTCTCCCTCCGCTGCCTATCACAGAGGGGAGTTTGTCTTGCAGGAAACAGCCTCATCCATCAGTGGCAATGGGGGGCTGACAGTGGCCACTCCCCCGCCAGTCCTGGCTGGAGGCAGACTCATAAATCCCACACCAGGCCGGGCTTTAAATTCCTTTGATTCACATCCGGCCTCTTGGAGGACAGAGACATTTGGGGCTGTGGGGCTGGCTGTTCTCTCCTGGGCAGGACAGGTGGGTATTGGGAAGAAGCCTCTTCATGGGCCCAGCAGTCTCAGATGGCCTCTCCGAGGATATGCAGTGCTGAGCCCCCAGGATGCCTCAGGCTCAGCCTGAGCCACCTCTGCCCAGGCCCAGGCCACCTCTGCCTAGGCCATTCCTGTGCCCTGGCCTGAATCACCCTGGAGGTCACCTATGTGGACACACTCTGTGGCCTCAGAGATCTCGTGGGGCCTGTGGCCCAGAGGGTTGGCTCCATGAACTTCACAGCATGGTCACCTGCCAATCCCCATGGCATTCTGTCTTGGGGCTGTGAGGACACGGTGGGAGATCAGGGCCCAGTCTGTGCATCTCTCATTCCAGGGAGGCCGGGGCCCCGAATCCACTGTCCCTTAGGCAGGAAGGGGACAGGGACACTCAGTCCAGGGAGGCAGCCATTTGTCACCTTTCATCAGGACTTTTGCCACACTCAGATGCCACTGGAATTCTTCTTTACTTAGTGTTTTTTAAAAATCAGCTTACCTTTAAAATTTAAGTGTGTGATTTACCCTCTTCTTTAGCCATATTTGAGAAATCAGGGTCTGATATACTAGTCAAATACCCGCACACATATACATATACACATACACATGTGCACATACATGCTCACCCAGACATATACATATACACATATATGTGAAAATATACACATGAAATATATCCATGAAAGTAAACACAAAGTTAAAATAGCAAATGCTCAGCTCCGTATACCATCTAATCCTGTTTTAGGTTTAGAGTGGCTCTAGTCTTCCCCCCATTATGGGTGATTCCTTACTGGTGATACAAAACAGGTTCAGATGGTTCACAGAGCTGAGCATTTACTAGCCATTCTAGCCTTCCCCCATTTTACAGATAAGGAAACCAAGGTCCAGAGAGGTACAGGGCCTGCCCGAAGTCACACAGCGCTGGGATTAGTGGCCAGCCCACCTGACTCCCAGCTGAGTGCTCCTTTTACAGAAGCACACTCCCTGTCTGCGGTGTGCAGGGCCCCTTCCTCCAGAAGCACAAGTGGACTCTCAGAGGCCTTTTGGAGACTGTGCCCTAACACAGAGGGTTCATTGGAAGGTGGGCTTCCTGGTGGCAGGCTGACGGGCAGGCGGACGGTCTCCTGGGTCCTGGTGGGACCAGGCACTGGCCCCTGGCTCTGTCTGTGCTTTATCTTCATGCTCATGGCTCCTGCAGCGCCTCAGCATTTGGGGAAGTGGGGAAAGGAGGGTCCCAGGGGAGAGAGAGAGCAGGGCTGTGGCAGCAGCCCTTCCCCAGGGAGCTGCTTACTGAAGAGATCATTAGTGGTACCAGCTCTCAGGCTGGCAAGGAAGGTGGCCTCATTAGCAAGCACCTTCCCCTGCGCCACCTCCACCTGCCCACCTGCAGCCTCCTGACACCCATACTGCCACTGCCACCACTGCCATCACTCCAGAGATGCGGCATGATGGGCCTCCTGTTGGGGACAAGGCTGCTAGCTCAAGGGAGCCAGGAAGGAGATGTGTGTGTAGGGTGGCAAGGGTGCGTGTACACTGCACACACACACAGAGACACACAGACATGCTCACATGCATGGACACACATATTGCATTAATAGAGGTGTGCACATAAGTCTAGCGCACACACACACAACACAGACTTGCACAGTAACGCGCAACTCCCCAAACACACAGTGCAAGCACACGGATCCAACAGAGACGTGTACACACAGGGGTGGTTTTCGGTGTGAAGCCCCACAGTGCACACGTATAGAGACCCATATGGAACACAGGTGCACATGCACCCTAGGAGATGCACGTGTGTATTCACACAAACATACAGTCCTGTCTCCAGACTCCGGAGTGTGCATGGAATTGTACACACATGAGTACGTGTCAACAAACATGCAGACCAGCCCGGGGCATACCACTGTGTGTGCAGGGATGCCCACGTGCACACGTACATGCGTGCAGAGCACACACCAGTTATTTTTTTCTTGGAATCTAACAAGGCCCAAGGAGCAGGGAGTGGCTAATTCCCTGGAGGAAGTGAGGAGACCGGAGCTGAGGACACATTTAATTAATTCTTCTCATTCCCAGCCGAGGGAGAAAGGGAGAGAAGGAGGGAGAGAGGAATGAAATGACAGAGAGGAGAGGAGAGGGGAGAGGGGCAGCAGGAGGGTGAAGGTGAAGTGGGGAGGAACCGATGTGGGCAGTGAGGAGGCTGAGGGACCCCGGGCCCAGAGGCATTAACCTTTTCAGCTTACGGCAGGCCCAGGGACCTCATCACTCAGCCCCGATCCCAGAACCAGACGGATCGTTCAAGGTCAAGTGGTGGGGCTGGTGCAGAAGTCCACCCGCAGTGCCCCCTACACACAGCTCTGGGGATGGGGCACACACGTCTTTCACCTGCTCCCACCGAGTGGAAACCTGCCCCCCAACCCCGAACCTCCCACGCTCAGTCCCACTTCTGCTCTGTGCCTGCATTGGCTTAGGGCCCTGGGGGCTCTCCTATCACAAGTGCAGGGCAGGGGCAACACAGCTGCCCAGGGAGGCCCCTGCTGGGCACCAGGACAGCTCCTCCCACCCCTGCCCTGACCTCAGCCTTGAGACAGAGTCAGGGAGATGGAGGTGGACAAGGACAGGGGTTCTGAGAGGGAGGGAGGATGTGAGCCAGGAGAGAGGGGAGGTGGGGCCGGGTGGGAGTGAAACAGGGAGATGGGGGGCAGTGAGAGAGAGGGGGAGACACTAAGCCAGAGATGGTGAAGGATGTGAGAGGGGCCAGGATGGTGAGAGTCAGACCCAGAGACACACAGAGAGGACGCTAGAAAGAACAAGAGAAACAAAAAAAGGTCAGAGGGTCAGGAAAGGCAGCCAGGCTCTGTAACTCTCCCTGGTCAGGAGGGAGGCAACTCGCCTGGGGTGTGAGCGAGGAACCCTGGCCTAGAGAGGATGCTGTGTGACCCCGCCCAGGCACCCCACCTCTCTGAGCCTCGGCTGCTGGTTTATAAAGCAGGGGGACCGGCCCTGTCTCTGAGAGGGCCCTTAGGCTCCGCAGGGAGGCTGGCCTGGTCCCTTTCTTCCTTCTACTCCCCTGAGTCATGTGGGCCTGCAGATGGGGGTGGGGGTCTCCCTTCTGGGGCCCTGAGTGGGCAAACCAGGTGAAAGAGGAAAGTTGCTGTGGGGCTGGTGTCGTGTGCTGCAGCCGTGAGCATGGAGTGATGGAGCGTTTGCCCTGAATATTGAAAATACATAAATATCCATTGTCAGGCACCAAGGCAGATATAAATACAGAAGGGAGGGTGTGCAGCCCTCAGCCGTAATTTACCGGCTCTGCTACCTGCGGGGGCTTGGGCACTTGCACTTGGCCGTCAAGAGGCTTTTCCAGATGGCTTCATGACCGCCAGTGGCCACCTGGATCCCTTCTCCTGGAGAAGTGGCTCCTTGGGATCCACCGCCTGGGGTGAGGTGGGGCAAGGCAGGGTGTGTCATTCCTAGGTCTGCTCCGTCCTAGGCCTTTGGGGCCTCTCCCGCCTTCTCCTCCTCCAGCATCTCCTTGCTTGGGAGGGATGGAACCACATCTGTGTCAGGCCTGGTGTGTACCCAGCCCTGGTGCACTTGGATAAAATCAGAGGCGTTCCATTCCTGCCCATGGGCACTTCCAGGCTGCGAAGCAGAGATGACACCCTAGGTCCTGCCCTTAAGAACTCACCCAAGGGAAACAGATGGTAGAAGGGTCTGGATAAGCCAGCATGGGGCAAGACCCGGGTCCACTCTGGAGCAGGCCAGAAGCCAGAGAGGAGAGGCACATGGCCAATGGTGGCCTCCAAGAGTCTGGCCGCAGCCCAGCACACCCAAAGCCCTCAGCCTGGAGGGAAAGCAGCAGGACCTGGGGTGGAGGTCACGGCCCGCTGGCAGGCAGCTCTCTCTCTGACATCCTCCTGAGAGGACATGGGTCTTGCCCTATGCTGGCTTATCCAGAACCTTCCACCGTCTAAGGAATGTGCTCATTCTCGATGAGTAGACAAATGGAGGCCCCAAGGCAATTCCCTGCCTTTCCTCCCAGAGCTGGAGCTGGGACTTGAGCACCCTGATCCCTGCCACCTTCACATGCTGAGGGGCATCTTTCTCTTTGGGTTGGGACTCTGTGTTCAGGGCACTCACCTTCCCACAGCAGAAAGCCACCAGCCTCTATTGGGGGGTGTGGAGCGTTCTCCCTTCCAGGGTGCCCAAGCCTCCTTTTCCCAGGAAATGGAGGCTGGGCTTCCCTGCCCTGAGCAGGAGGCTGCACTGGGAGGCAGGGGCTGGACAGCCACCTGCTGCCTGGGCCGAGGGTGGAACCTGTTTGTGTGGGATGCAGGCATTGAATCATGAACACGCCAGGTTGAGTGGCCCAGGGCCCTGCACAGAGCAGGGGCTGGGATCAGGTGGCATTGGTGGGGAGGGGCCGGGGCGGTGCTCCGTGAAGGGAGGGCTGAGGCTGAGGTGGGGGTAGCAGAACCGCGCCTCCTATTCCTTGCCTGCCTCTCTCATGTTTCCCTCCCCCATTGTCAACAGGGGCTCTCTGAGGCAGAGTCCTCACAGTGAGTGATGCCTGCCCGGGCCCTGCCCTCCAGGCCTGTTCTGCCAGAAACACCCACAGGTCAGGGCATCCAGGTGCCTGGATGGACAGCCACAGGCCAACTGCCTGGTCAGCCGCAGCCTTCGCCGGCTGCTCTCCTGTGGCTGCAGAAAGTGAGAGGTGCTGCAGCCGCCAGCCCCCGCTCCCCCGCTGCTAGGCTCTCCTGTCTGTCCTAGTCCTCGCGTCAGGTGCAAGGGCGCAGGCCACAGTGGAGTCTCTGGGTCTTCCCCGGGTGACTTTGCTGTTGGCTCTGGGCCCCACACTGGCCCTTCTGTGCCATCTGGGTGGCAGGATAGACGTCTGCGGGGCACATTCTCCACACCCCCTTGCATGCTGCTCCTGGTTCAGTTCTTCCAAGAGGAGGTGCTGGCAGGCTCCAGCACCTGCAAGACACGTGCCTCTCAGCGGTTCCAGCATCAGCTCAGTGGCAGTTCCAGGAGCACAGCAGTGAGTGCAGGCTGTGGGCTCCAGCTCAGGGCATCTCTGGATCTGCCTCCTCCTCCCAGCCCTTCCCCCATCACCTCAGCAGCCTGGCCGTCCTGGAACTCCCAGGATGCTCCTCAAAATGGCTCTAAAGCCCTTATTCCTCACTTCTTCCTGGAGGGGGCCCCACCTTGGCTCTGGGTGGCAGGAAAAGCTCTTTTCCCCTCTGCGGGAATGATCCCACTTTGCCAGTTAAATGGAATGGTCTTCCCCGAATCTGTTCTCTGGGTCATGTGTGCGCAGCCAGGCCTCCAGTGGCAGTGGTAACAGGGGCCTCTCCCCACTGGCTGCTCCCCAGGGTCTCCTCTGCTCTCTCCTCCCTTCTCATGGGCTTCTTCATCTTCCTTGGGGTTCTGTTCCCCCATAGCTCAGGGTCCCCCAAGTTATTAGGGTGACAGTCTGGCCTGAGTTGTTTATGATCAGGCCAGAGGTTCTGCATGTCCTAGGCTTGGCCTCTGGGGTCAGATACTCATTGCCTTCTGCAGGGCAACCAGGAGCCATGGGGACCTGGGGGTGAGGCAGTCTTCCTTAGTTCAGGGTGGGAAGCAGGCAGGGGCCTCAACCACAGGCAAACTAGCAACTGAGATGGCATCAGCAGCCCTGCTCACAGTCGACCCTTGCCTCGGCTCCACCTACCCCGCCCAGGCTGCACCAATGCCTGCTGTATGCCCAGCACCAGGCTGGGCTTATGGGGGAACCAGACGAACAGGACTGAGACCCTGTTCTGGAGGAGCTGAGGGTCTCATAGGGGAGACATAGACTCCTCAGATGCCCGAATACCAGGCTCTAAGGAGCATGAGGTGCGCAGGGAAGGGAGAACTCAGCTCTGGCTGAGGAGTTGGGGATGCTTCATGTAGCGGGGGATATTTGACTTGCGCCACAAGGTGAGATTTTAATGTGTGGTTGGTTCCAGGGTTGCTGGAAACATCCCAGAGAGAATAGAACCACCGGAACAAAGGCCCGGCTCGGTAGCAGGGTGGGAAGAGCTGACTACTAACCACCAGCCTAACTTGTTTAGTGAGAATGCTCAGAGCAGTGGGGATTAACCAAAAAGTGGGTGGTCGGGTTTTGAGCCCCTGGTGCCCGGACCTGCTTCTCCTCCTCCTGCTTGCCCAGGTCCTCTGGGGCTCCTCTCCCGTGGTCGCCATGGGAACTCCAGGTGGCTGAAGTTTGCTTGAGCCTAGCTCCCTGAGATGGGCTGTGGGTCAGGGGAGGTGGAGGGAACTGGTCCCCAGCCTGGGCTCTGAGCACCCCTCCCCTGGGTCCCAGAGTCTCCATCTGAGCTCTGCCCATTTAGCCCTCACCCGGTCTCTTCCTCGCCTCCTCCCTCCCCTACACTCCACACAGCCTTCCAGTCACCAAGTTCTGACTGTTCCTTCCACTTGTAAAATCTCCCTGGGAGGCATCCACTCTGCACCCACCTCCCTGCCTCAGGCCTGGCTCCACCCCTTCCCTGTCCCCTGGATGACAGCAGGGGCCTCCTAGGGGGTCTGGCTCCTTCAGTCTGCTCCTCCTGGGTGCTGCTGCTGTCCTCCTGACCAGCGTCTGACAGTCTGGCAGCTCCTCTGCCCCTCCCTACCCCAGCCTGGGCTCCCACCACCCTGGGATGGCTGAGTCTGTGAAATGGGTGGAGTGGTGTGTTGAGCTCCACTTCTAGAACCGCATTCTATGGGGCAGTAGCGTCTTTCTGGAATTAACAGGTATGCCTTGAAAATGGGTTCCATGTGGAATTGGTTTGGGAAGCACTGCACAGCCTCTGCCTCCCGGATACTCACAAGGCACTGTAACAGGTGAAAGGCTCCCAGAGGTTCTGGAGTAAAGAAGTCTGTTTTGATTTATTTAACTCCGAGGTTCCCAGAGTGTTTTGGCTCTAAATAAGGAATGTCTATGAATAACTCCAGGAACAAGTTTCTCTGGACCACCCTTTGGAAAATGCTGGAGGAGCCATAAAGTGTGGTGCCTTGTCTTTGGGGATCTGGGGTCCTGAGGCCTGCTTCCCCCGTCTGGCATGCCGGGGTTCCCACAGGTGCACAGGCTGATACGGGGCTGAGGAAGCACTGGAAAATTGGGCCGCACCATGGATGCCTTGCTTCCATCTCCTGGCGCACAGTATGGTTCCTGGATGTGTTTTGTTTAAACCACACGTTCTTTTGAAATTTGACCTGGTTGTCAACATTTAAAACCTGGGAGATTCCACCACAAATTCTGCATTTTAAAGTTCTCTTAAAACACGAGGAGCCAGCCAGGTGTGGTGGCTCACGCCTGTAATCCCAGCACTTTGGGAGGCCAAGGCGGGCGGATCACGAGGTCAGGAGATGAGACCATGCTGGCTAACACGGTGAAACCCCATCTCTACTAAGAATACAAGAAAGTAGACGGGCATGGCGGCGGGCGCCTGTAGTCCCAGCTACTTGGGAGGCTGAGGCAGGAGAATGGCATGAACCCCGGAGGCAGAGCTTGCAGTGAGCTGAGATCGCACCACTGCACTCCAGCCTGGGCAACAGTGCAAGAATCGTCCCAAAAAAACAAAAAACAAAAAAACCACGAGGAGCCCTATCCACACAGTGCGCATCTCTCCCTCTGTGGAGCCGAAGAATGGCAGGACCCATTTACATGCAAAGCACCCAGCCTGCAAGCAGACAGTTTCCCTCCCCAGCGCGGGCTGAGCCCCCGAAAACATTGGAGTTTCACAAATTCCTCTTTATGATGGTGACTTATGCCTGACCCACCCTCCTCTTGGGGGGTCCTTCTTTGAGGGGCTGAGGCAGGTGGGCCTGCTGGCTCCAGCATGTTCCTTACCTCCCATGAAGTACCATGTACATGGTGCAGTCTAGGCTATGAAGTCCACTGGGCTACCCCACCATTACCCTCGGTTCCCATGACGGGGGTGCCAGAGTGGCCCAGGGGCAGCAGGGCTGTGGGAGACAGAGGGAGAGCCTGCCACAGCCTCCTCTCCAGTGACCACCTGGCGGCTCAGCTGACAGGATAGTCACAGCTGCTCAGGTCACCCTGGTCACCGGAGCATGCTGGGTGGGAGAACCACTCCCTGCAAGAGCGAAAAGCTGAGAACACTGCCAACCGTGCTGGCACCCCTGAGCCAGCCCGCCGCTGCAGAGAGCCCTCTACAAAGAGCCCGCTCTGTGCTGACGGAGGCTGGAACCTGGGGAAATCTGGCTCAGGGCTGCTTGCTGGGGCCCAGGGTGGGGTGGGGCTCCACCCCTGCCCTGGGATGACTGTGGGTGAAACAGGACCCTGACTTGCAGGCCCCAGTCTGAGGTGGAGGGAGGGGGCCCAGACCAACCTCACCCGAATGTTAGGATAACAGGAATTTCCCGCCAGGATGAGGCTGGCACTGGTTTCGGTTCTGTCCTGGGTGGAGGGGGAGGTCAGTAGTGGACTCTCCAATCAGTGGGGCCTTCACGGGCTCTGGTCGGAAGTTCCCACACACCCCCATCAGGAGGTCTGACTCCGGCCACCTCCTGCCTTGCCTGAGCCTGTCCTGCTCGTGGCCCTCCCCTTCTAAGCCTGTCTGAACACCCCTACCTTGGGGACCCCTCCTGTGTCTTCCTTCTCCAGGAAGCCCCTCTGATCCTCCCCCTCAGAGCTCTAGCCCTCCTCCAAGCTCCATCCCTGCCCTATCCCAGCCTTCCTATACAGCCCCACAAGTCAAAAAATCGTGACTAAAATGAAATATCTCCCTGACAAAAAACTAAAAAAAAAAAAAAAGACACTGAAGTCTCAATTAAGACTAAAAAAAATTAAAAAAAAATAAAGTATCCTTTTTAAAAGTGGCCACTGTAAAGCCTCCAAAACCCATTCCATTAACTTAAAAAACAAAAAAACCTATATAAGTAAATCAGTGGCCACTACCAAAACACAAACTAAAAACTTTACACTTATTAACAAAAAAATTTAAAAAAAAATTGAGCCTTCATTTTCGCCTTAAAATTCTCCTATGTTTATAATTCAAAAAAAAAAAAAAATCCAACAAATGACACATACTAACCAACTTAAAAGCATTAATGCCGTAATTCAACCCATGGAGAGTCTCCAACCTGAGTTGCCCTCTCAGGCCATAATCCCCCAAAATTGGCCTTTAATTATAATTAATCTAAAAGATTACTTTTTTACCATTCTTCTGACAAAACAAAATTTAAAAAAATTTACTTTTACTATACCAGCCATAAATAATAAAAAACCAGCCACCAGGTTTCAGTAAAAAGTGTTACGTCAAAAAATACTTAATAGTCCAACTATTTGTCAAACTTTTTTGTAACTCAAACTCTTCAACCAGTTAAACACAAGTTTTCAAACTGTTATTCATTATATTAATAATATTTTGTATACTACAAAAACAAAAACAAATTAACTATTACACATTTCTACAAGCAAAGGTTACCAACACAAGACTGACAATAATATCTAATAAAATTCAAACCTCTAATCCTTTCCATTACTTAAAAATGTAAGTTAAAAAAAACCACAAAAAATAAAAATTAAACATTAAAAACATTAAATAACTTTCAAAAATTACTAAAAAATATTAAACTCGGCCAACTCTAGACATCCCTACTTATGCCATGTCAAATTTGTTCTCTATCTTAAAAAAAAATCCAAAATTAAATAATGAACATTAACTCCAAAGACAACTAAAAAAATTAATTAAAAAAAGTTCAGTCAACCCAAATAAATAAAATGAATCACTTAGCCCCACTCCAACTTTTAATTTTTACTACTACACATTCTCCAACAGACATTATTGTTCAAAATACAAATCTTATGAAGTGGTCCTTCCTTCCTTACAGCACAATTAAGACTTACATTGTACTTAAATCAAATGACTACATTAATTAGACAAAACTACAAATAATAAAATTATATAAAAATAACCCAAATAAAATAATTGTTCCTTTAAACAAAAAACAAATTAAACAAGCCTTTATCAATTCTGGAATATAACAAATTGGTCTTACTAATTTTATAAAAAATTATTGACAATCATTACCCAAAAACAAAAATCTTCCAGTTTTTAAAATTGACTACTTAAATTTTACCTAAAATTACCAAACATAAACCTTTAAAAAATACTCTAACGGTGTTTACTAATAGTTCCAACAATAAAAAAACAACTTACACCAGACCAAAAAAACAAGTCATTAAAACTCAATGTCACTTAACTCAAAAAACAAAATTAGCTACTGTCATTACAATATTACAAAATTTTAATCAGCCTATTAACATTGTATCAAATTCTACATATATAATACAAACTACAAAAAAAGTTAAAACAGCCCTAATCAAATATCAAATATAATCAGTTAAACCAACTATTTAATTTGTTACAACAAACGGTAAAAAAAAAAATTTCCCATTTTATATTACTCATATTCAAACACACACTAATTTACCAAGGCCTTTAACTAAAACAAACAAACTAATTTACTAGTATCATCTACATTCATAAAAACACAAAAACTTCATGCCTTAACTCATATAAATACAACAAAACTAAAAAATAAATTTAATATCACATAAAAACAAAAAATATTGTACAACATTACACCCAGTGTCAAATTCTACACCTGCCCACTCAAAAAACAAAAGTTAATCCCAAAAGTCTATGTCCTAATTCGTTATGACAAATAAATATCACACATGTACCTTCATTTGAAAAATTGTCATTTGTCCATACAACAGTTAATACTTATTCACATTTTATATAAACAACCTACCAAACAAAAGTACTTCCCATATTAAAAAACATTTATTATCTTGTTTTACTGTCATAAAAGTTCCAAAAAAATTAAATAATAGGCCAAAATAGTGTAATAAAACATTTCAAAAATTCTTAAATCAATAAAAAATTACACATACAACAAAAATCCCCTATAATTCCCAAATACAAACCATAATTTAAAAAACTAACACTCAAAACTCAATTAAACAATAAAAAGCATAACACTCCCCCAATACAACTTAATCTAACACTCTAAACTTTTTTAACATATATAAAAATCAGACCACTACTTCTACAAAACAACATTTTACTAATAAAAAAACCCACATAAAAAAACTAATTTAATTTAAAAAACATAAAAAATAAAAACATTAAAAAAAGCTTTACTTGTGTTTCACCAAAAAAAAAAAAATCAACTTCCTGTTTAAATACCCACTAAACATTTCAAATTCTACAATAAACCCATTAAAAATACAAAAACCCACCTCCACAAAAATACAAACACCACAATCAAGCATCATTAACTCACCAAATAAAATAATAACATCAAAAAAAACAAAGTCGCCATCCACCAAAAAAACAAAGCCACCAACTTAAACACAATTAAAAAAACTAACACAGTTAACTAAAAAAAAACCCAAAAAAACACAAAAGTGACACAAACTCCAAAAAAATACTGTTTATGGCTTTAATAATTATATCAACAATAGTAAGTATCCCCATGTCTACAAAAACAACTACAACTAATTATACTAAGCCTATGTACCTTTCCCACCCTTAATTCAAACAGTCACATAAATAAATAATCCTATTAAAATATATATTAATAATACATGGGTACCAGGCCCCACAAATAATCGTTGCCCTGCCCAACCTAAAAATAATAATAATATAAATATTTCCATTAAATATTATTATCCTATTTGCCTAAAAAAGACACCAAAATATTTAATACCTACAACCCAAAATTAGTAAAAGTACCTACTATCAATACCAATAAATTTACTTGTCACATAGTAAGTAAAATGTCACTCAAACCACAAATAATTTACAAAACTCTTCTTTTCAAAAATCATTAAAATCTAAACCTAAAAAAAAACCTTGCCCCTAAAAAATCAAAAGATCCAAAAGTCTTAGTTTAAAAAAATGTATAACTAATACTACAATAATACTACAAAACAATAAATTCAAAACTATTATAAACTAGGCCCCTCAAAACCAATTATATTGTAATTCTATGGGCCAAACTCACTCGTGTTCGCAGGCCCCATCCATCTGGCCCATTAATCCAGCCTATAATAATAATTTAACTAAAAAACTAAACCAAATTTATAAAAACTTAAAATCACCCTATCCATAAAAATAAAATTAAAAAAAATTTTTTTTTTACTATGCGTAAATGTATGCATAGGCCAGATTTATACTTCTCTCCACCCAAACATCTCAGTGTAGTAAAAAGTAACAGAACAACATTGCCGCCAACATATCTCGCCTCCAGCCACAGGGCGGTTTTCTCCTATCTCAAAATAAAACGAATGTACAATCGGGTTTTACACCGAGACACTCCGTTCCCAGGGGCATACAAGAGATGGAGGCCTTCCTCTTACTAATCCTCCTCAACACAGACCCTTTATGGGTGTCGGACTGGAAGACGGTCAGGTCTTTCCCTTCCCATGAGGCCGTATCTCAGACCGTCTCAGTGGGGAAAAGCCTTGGACAATACCCAGACTTTCTTGGGCAGAGGTCCCTGCGGCTTTCCGCAGTGTATTGTGCCCCTGGTTAATCAAAAATGAAAAATGACAATAATTTTTACCAAAAATACTGCCCGTAAACATATTATTAACAAGACACATTCTACACAGCCCTAGATCCCTTAAACCTTAATTCTATACAACACGTGTTTCTGTAAACACAGGGTTGAAACTAAAGTTACAAATGAACATCTCAAAACAATTATTCAGGGTACAAATCAAAATGAGGTTTCTTATGTCTTCCTTTTCTACATAGACACAGTAACAGTCTGATCTCTCTTTCTTTTCCCTACAGACACCAGGCTTCCCTTCCCCTGGAGCAGCCAGACCTTCTGTGGTATCTTGAGCAAGCGCCTGGTCCTGTCTGGGCCTCTGCAGACTCAAGGTCTGGTGCCTGACTTACACCCTGTTGTCATATCCTGCCATCTGGCCCCATATGGAGTCCTACAGGGGACTCTCAGACCCAGGCGTGAGCACTGGCTCAGGCCCCTCTCAGAGGTCTGGCGGCCCAGCATCTGCCCACGGGCCTCCTCTCCCCCTCCTTTTCTCCAGGCTCCTGCCTCTGCCACAGTTCCCTGGAGGTGGCCTCTAGCCTGGCCCAGGGGCTCACACACTCCTGAAGGAGGCAGGGCCAGACTCAGGCAAGGCCTTGGAGGACACATCCCAGTGGGCAGGGCCCAGCACTCTTGGGGTGGAACTACAGGGAGGAGAGGCAGGGCAATTGAGGCTTGAGGTGCCTGGCCTCACCCAAGGTGACCAGCCTGCTCCTTTTCCTCAGCCTCAGAGGGAGCAGAGGACGGAGGTGGGGAAGAGAGGCCAGGGACACAGTAGGGCTTGGTTATGGATGATGGGGGGTCCTTGTGTGATATAATTAGGCTTTGTGTCTCCACCCAAATCTCATCTTGAATTATCCCCATTTTCCCCACCTGTCAAGGGAGAGACCAGGTGGACGTAATTGGTGGATCATGGGAAGGGTTTCCCCCATGCTGTTCTCATGACAGTGAGTGAGTTCTCATGAGATCTGATGGTTTTATAAGGGGCTTTTCCTACTTGTTCAGCACTTCTCCTTCCTGCCACCTCGTGAAGTTTCCTTGCTTCCCCTTCACCTTCCGCTGTGATTGTAAGTTTCCTGACACCTCCCCAGACATGCTGAACTGTGAGTCAATTAAACCTTTTTCTTTTACAAGCTATCCAGTCTCGTGCAGTTCTTTATAGCAGTATGAAAACAGACTAATACACTGTCCCTGCTGAGGGCTGCCCGGCTGGGCTCTCCCTGCATTGGCACCTGGGTTGCCAGTAGCACATTATTTGGTCTAACAGTTTTTGTTTATCATTCTGAAACTGAGCTTATCTAATACATTGATAAATTATTTCAAAGGTATTTTTATAGTTCAAATCGCTTCACTTTTACCCTGACACGTATAAATGACTAGGAATGACCTTCAGATAGCGTTTAGCAACTGTAACCAATCTGACAATAATGTGTTCATCAGGTACCTGTGGATTAAATCACATACTGGCATATTTAAGATGAATGTCAGTCTGAAAAATAAATATACTATATTAATTCAAATACGACTCTTTGTGTAGGTATTTTGTCATATGTTTAAGAAAAAGCTAAAGAGAATGGAAATCCTATGACAATAACTCAAGTCTTTCTTCAAAGTGCATGCAGTCTTTTGCAGTACCTCATTCAGCCAAGTATTTGTTCTCTACCTCATTCAGTATAAGGCAGCCTTTAATTTGCTTAGAAGGCAACATTAGAAGGTTAGAGTTCAGCAGGAACATAGAATTTTAAAATGTGACTTCAACTGAATAAATTTGAATTTCTGTAGGGAGTAAAGAATCAAAACACCTATTTAAAGACTGCAAAATATGATAATTATTTTTAAAGTAATTGATTAAACCTGGTAGGTTTTCCCAAAATGAAAAACAATCAGTTCTAAAACCAAAGCTGATTTTTAGAAAATGTGAAAATGTAAATCAACCCTATCCATAATAGATTCTCTAAAACTTTATCTTACAGTCACTTTCAAATAACTATTCAAAAATGTAACTGCTATATTAACATCTTAAAATAATTTAAAACATTTTAAAATATGAATACTGTAGTTTAAAACAAAGAATCTAGGGGAAGGAAAAGTAGACAAAGAAATGCCAATTCCAGTCCAAAGCTGTATTTGCCAAGTTTTCTTAGAATGACTTTTACCGATTTATGAATTCTTATAAACAGAATGCATAATGGAAATACTGATTTTTGTCTAAAGTGGCATTATTGACTGCTGCTGTGATGCTACTGTAATGTAATACATTATTAAATTGTTTCAAGGTGCTGTTTTGCCTAAAAATTTTGTGTGTCTTGAAAACTATAGTATTGGGTATTGAGACTCTGCAAATTCTCGGCATGCTTGGCATGAGGTAATCGGTTTTTATTCTTACAAAATTGTAACTATGTAAGTGTGTTTATTAAAAGAACACAAACTAAAAAAGTTAACAGAAATTAAAGTTGTGGGATGAAAAAGTTACAGGATAAAAAAATACTGTGGAAAAGTGGCAAAAAAAAGTTGTGGAAAAAAAGTAAAAAAAAAGTTTTATGAAAAGTTATTTTAAAAAGTTATGAAAAATTAGTTACAGGATTTAAAAAAAGTCATGGGATAAAAATAAAAATAAATAAAAGCAGGCCCCTGTCAGCATAAGCCTGGAGAAGTGGGTCTGGAGTCTTCACCCCCACCATGTCCCTACAACCCCTCCCCAGTCAGCCCTTTACCATTAGGGTAGCAAGACAAGACCCTTGTCTAATGGAGGGAGACAAACAGACCCTTTACCACCTTGACCAAGGCTGAGTCCTTACATTTCTGGATGATGATGTTTGTTATTTAAGAGCCAGAGGTTGGTGGAGTTGGTTTGTTTGGAGGAGGTCTGACGGCCTTCTTACTCTCACCAAAGCAACTTTTCCCTCAGGGGGGCTCCCATCTTCTTACTCAGAGAGGCAGCTGAGGCGGGACAGTGGAGTTAACTGTAGACCAGGCCAGGGCACAGGCTGCTGGGGGTGGCCCCCCTTCCCCCGTGTACATACTGTAGCTGTGTAACATTCTGTATCGTACCTAGCGGAGGTTGCAGCTGGCATATGAGGAAGAGGTTCTTATAATTATTCGCGGCTGGGAAACTTATTTATTGCTAGCATAGGAGCGAGGAAGCAGGCGGGGATGGGGTCATGGCTGCCTGGTGATGGGACTCCTGTTTTTTGTTTTTTGTTTTTTGCTTTTGATTTTGGAATAAATGGATTTAGCCATACTGCTCGGCCTGGTATGTTCCCATTTCCCTCACTGGGTCCTGCAGTTTGTCCCACTGAATGAGGAGCCCCAGAGTGTCTCAGCATGTCCAGCTGGGCTGTTGGGGACCTTCCAGGCCTGTTACCTGTATGCTGCCTGGTGACACCTGGTGGATTTCATGGGGACTGCCATGGCGCCTACGGAGTACACTCTGGCCCTGACAGCCAACTGGTTGAGAAGCCTGATCTAGCTGTGGCAGGGAAGACAGATACCAGTGCCCAAGGGCACTGACTTCCATCCACCCCAGGTGTCTTCCGTTCTGTCCCCCTGCCTCCCTCTCCTGTCTGCACCGGGTGGCCTGTCTGTCCCTCCAGAGTGCCGGCTGCCCCGCAGGTTCCCTCCAGGCTGAGTTCAGGGCCCTGTCCCTTAGTGGCCAGAGCTGGCTTCACAGGGTAAGAGCCAGCTAAGCTCCAGGGACTTTCCAGGAAAAGTGTCCCTTGAAAAGGGTGTGACCTTTTCACTGCTCCCAACAGCACCCTAAAAATGGCTTGGCCTTTTCCATCCCCTGAGCTCCATAGAGAACACAGCCAGCAGAGGACACATTCTCTGTCATCCAGAAATGGGTTTCTCAGCCAAGGGACAGCAGGACTGGTAGAGACTGTCAGGCCACACAGCTGCCTGCACAGCACCGCCATGCTTGGCCAGAAGGGCGGGAGGGATGGCGGGGGCTGGCTGTCCACAGGCCGCGCATGTCCCGGAAGCTCACTGGAGGTGGTGCACTTTGGAGGGGCGATGTCAGGAGACAGCTTCCTCTTGCTGGGCTACAAGATTCCACAAGCACAGCACGGGACTGATTCCCAGTGCTAGAGGTGAGGCAGTTGGCCACGTATATATATGTATATATGTGTGTGTGTGTGTGTGTGTGTGTGTGTGTGTGTGAGAGAGAGAATTTATAGCTATTTATAGAACAGGGCAGGGGCATACCACAGAGGGGGCACAAGTTTTCAGCAACGGTCACACCTGGACGTGTCAGCTCACCACTACAACAGACTAAGTCACAGAAGAAGGGGGCTGGCTTTGGGGCTGGGGGAGCCACTGTCAAGTCACAGGACACCCGCCCAGGCAGGCTTGGAAAGGGAGGTCTCTGAGAAGAGGAGGGATGTGTTTAGAGGTCGAAGTGGGGCCTGGGGCTCTCAGGACGGGATGGACTTGCCTGACCCGATCAGCTGGCAGTTGGAGAGAAAGCAGAGAGAAAACGGGTTAGAGAAAAGCCAGAGCTGGTGAGGCAAGTGCAGAGTATGGGTGCGCTGCAGCAGCTGTGGAGGGCCGGGGAGGGGAGGGCGTAGGTGTGGGCGTGGCAAGGTTCCTGGAAAAGAGGGGCTGGAAGGGAAAGGGGAGGGAGATGGAGGGAGAAGCTGGAGCTTCATAGGTAGTGCCTGGGGACTGCGGCGGCCCTCCCTACCCCACACACGCTGGCCTGTCTCATGGAACCCAGGCAATCCACCCATCCACCCACAGTTCAGACCAATGCCAGCTCCCTCGGGCTTCCCTCTTCTGTGGTCCCCATGTCTTCCAACGCACTGGCCCAGGGCCACCTCTTGCTTGGAGAGCCCCATCCAACAGCCACCAGACCTGATAGAGAAGGAACACTGATTGAACCAAAATGGTGGAGCTATAAGGGATGGCTGGCTGGAGTGAATGCCAGAGGCCCCTCTGGGCCATCAGAAAGCCCAGGGTCCTCTGAGGAACCCTGGGGAAGGCAGGGAGGGCAGGTAGCCGGATGCCATTGGCCATAGACTTCTAAGTCTAAGAGGGGAGCCTTAACTGGTTGGCGGGGGGCTGCAGGTTACATAGGTGAGGCTGGGCCCTTCCTGCTGGGAAAAGCAGAAGAGGGAGACTCCGTGGCAGGAAAGGGAAGTGAGCTCTCTAGGCGGAGCTCAGCTGGGCCAGCAGCACTATTGGCTGAATAGCACAGGCAACCCCTAGAAGCAACAGGCCAAGGTGCGTGAGCCTGCTGGCCAGCAGTAGTGCTTCAGCAGGGGCCAGGGACCCTGCCTTCAGTCGCACGCTAGCAGCTATCATGGTACCTGGGAGGGAGGGAAGGGGGCTGTGTGTCCTTCCATGGCCTATGAAGTGTGTTGTGGGATGACCGCGTGTATAGGACTCTCAGGCTTTTATCCTAGATCACCACTGGATTGCTGACAGATAGAGGACGTGGGACCGTGACTATCACCCCTAATCTGCCGTGGATTTGGCTCTTGGCACTCCCAGGCTGGGAGCTGGATACCTGCCCTGGCAGCATGACTCAGACTGCGTGACAGGTACGGCGTGCCCAGGATGATGTTCCCAGGCCTCTGGCCGCCTGAGTCCAGCCCCCCACACAACCCCCTCCAAGCTCCCAGCCCCTACACCATAAACCATGAGCTCTGTGCCCTCTCTGATGGTTCCACAACTGCCACCTTGGGCATGGAGCCTGTTGTAAGAGCCCCCAGGCTCAGCCATGGAGACCTTGAGCAGTGGCACTGAGTCCCATGGCTCACAGGGAGCAAAGTGAGACAGCCAGCAGCACAAGGACAGAAAGAGGAAAGAGCAAGTCTGCAGCTCCAGAAGGGAGGGGCAGGGAGCCTGGCTCTGAGGCTCCAGGTATGCCCCCTGTGTGGAGCTGGGGCAGCGGGGCAGGCAGACCATTCATGCAGCAGGCAGTGAGGCATGTACCTACCATGGCTGACGCTCCTCAGGGGCCACTGATAGTGATTCTGAAAGACAGCTTCAAATCACATGGCAGGTCACATGCATGGGTGGGGCAGGCCTGGGGGTGGGGGACACACGCACATGCCGGAGTGTGCACACACATGCTGTGAGGCCCCACGGCCCACATGCACACACTCACACACATGCCCACAAACAACACGCATACGTCGCCCTCCCCGCCACCTCCCAATGCCCAGCACCCTCACCGGCCGGCACGTGCCGCATGGATCTGGGGCGTGCAGCCACTCGGCACGCTGAAGCACATGCGTGGGCAGAGTCACAACACAGATGCTCACCCGCACACAGAGGCATTTGCACCAGCTCCCTGCACACTCGTGCCTGGCGTGCTCAGAGGACCACCCATGCTGCTCAGGGAGACAGGGCTTGCTCACTAATGTCCGGCTGTCATTTCTCCACCTAAGAGCCTTCCATGGCTCCCTACTGCCTACAGCGTTGAATCCCAACAAGTCATACTCTTTGGACTTTGAAGGTTCTCCACCCTGTGCCCCACCCTCCCCACAGAGCTCTTCCTCATTCTGTCTCTGTTCCCTGCTTTGGCCAGTGGCTATCCGCGATGTGACCCACACTACACCTCTGCCCACACTGCAGCTCTTTACCCAGTTGCCCTCCAGTTCCTCACCACGTATGCCTATCTCAGTCATGCCCCAGACTGCATTGAAGCCAGGCTGCCTTGAAGAAGCTCTCCCAGACTGCCCTTTTCCCCAAGGCAGGGTCATGATTTACCAAAGGTTTCGTGTGTGTTAGCAAGACTGGAGTCGGAGCAGGCATCAAACTTTACATCCCATATGTCACACCTCACCATAGATCTGGGTGCCAAATAGCCTGAAGAGTCTGAACTCACGTTGGAAGTTAGCAAAGTGCTCCTACAGCCGCATCTGCAGTTAACATAGTATCCCTATGGCCACTGTCTCCCTTGATCCCCACAGCCATCCTAGGAGAAAGGCAGAACGTCATTTGCTAGAAGGGATGCTGAGGCTCTGGGAGGGAAAGGGACTTGCCTAAAGCCCCAGGGTGAAGCAGCATCTCTGGACTCTCATAGACAGCCTAGAGCTGCCAGCATTCCCTTAGGATCTGTGCCCTCGGGCCTGGCTTAATTTTTTCCTCTGCAAAGAGCCATCTGTAGGGCCAGAGGCTGGCAAAGCCTGACTCATTACTGGACGCCAGTTCCTTTGCCTGACTTTCAGTGATTTCTACCTTACCCTGGGGTTTTATGTTGCTTGTCTCAACACTGTCACTTCTCATTCCTCCACAAGTTGAATTGCTCACTCCAGCCACTTGAAGCATGCTCTTCTTAACACAGTTAGCTCTAGGCACATGGTTGGTGCTAAAAAGGAAAAAAAAAAGAAGAGCATTATGTCAATTTCATTGATTAACAAAAGCGATGGCTCCACTGCAAAGCAAAGTTGATACTCCTGGGCCTCTGAGTTCAAGAGCCTTTTAGACAAATGGCTCTGAGCTAAAACATGATCATGCATGCATATGCATCTGTCTTGGTCTGATGAGATAATCTGGATACTTGCTTGTTATCCTTGAGCATTTTCCTGCCTCATTAATGTATGTGTAGCCACCACAATAATAATCATAGCTAATAATGGCTACAGCTGAGGGCTTTCCTGAACCAGGCAGTGGTTTTAAAAACTTTAACCCCTAAAGCTGAGGACTTTCCTAAGCTAGATAGTGGCTTTGAAAACTTTAAAGTTTTCACATAGACTGTCATTGAATAATTTCTGTTTTTCAGATCAAGAAACTGAGACTTACTATCATATTTGGGATTAAGCTAAAAAAAAAAAAAAGAAAAGAAACAGAGGCTGAACGCTGTCAAGTATTTCACAGCCAGCAGGAAATCGGAACTTGAACCCAGGCAGTCTAGCCCTGGGATCCTTTCCCCTTACCCATTATCCAGTGTTGGCTACACAAAACTAATGAGTACATATTTTCAACTATAGTTTAAGTGGGTGACATATTTTTCACTATATTTTATGTAGGTGACTTTCAGTTTGGGGGTATTCTACTTACACAATCTATTGAGCTGGATATTAACTGAGAGCAAACAGAAACTAATGAACTCTGAAAAACATAAAACATGAGCAACATGACGTCACTGCAAGAGACAAAACAGCACATAGCCTTCTTGTGACTGTATTTTGCTGACAGTCCATGAGCTGATAGCCTGAACTCAGCAGTGCTGTTCCCTTGGGAGACACACACACACACACACACACACACACACACACACACACACACACGAGTTGGTGGTTTTCTGCCCCCCACCCCCACCCCAACACACACACGAGTTGGTGGTTGTGCTGCCCGGAGCCTCCAGTCCGCGAGTGTGAAGAACGGACCAGATGGGTCCAGCAGTGCTGGGTCAAGGCCAGGAGGGGCAGCCGGAAGCGCGCGCATGCTCTGGACTCCTGCAGCCGCCGAAACGGGTGCGCAGGGGGCGCGCGGGTTGAGGGGTGAGGGGCGACGGGTGTGAGGGGCGAGAGGGACGGGAGCGGGGTAGGGGCAGCCCTTTCCCAGGCGATAGCGGGGGCTGTGGTGCTGTTGCCCTTTTAAGCTGCGGCTTGACAGGAGCAGCGCCTCCTGTCGGTGGAGTCTGTTACAAGGGGAGCAGCCGCCCAGGCCGCCACACAGCTCCCCGCAGAGGCCTCGGTGCCCCTTGCCATTTTCCAGCCCTACTCCGACTAGAGTTGAGGCATCAGGGAGAGGCGGAGCTGGGAGAGCGCCGCCGAGAGGTCCCGCGGGTGGTTGCGGCCGTGACAGCGGCTCCCGACGGGCTCACCTTCCGCGCCCCTCCCGCCAGAGGTGAGAGTAAAATGTCCGTGTGAGGGTTCAAGGCCAAGCTGAAGTTGTTGGCCTCTATCTTCCACAAGAACCAGGAGCCGCCGCCGCAGCTCACGCTCCACTGCAACATCACGGTGAGGCGCCCAGTGGCGGCCTCACGGGGCAGGGCGAGGGCGGAGAGGAGGCGCCCAGAGTCCCGGGACAAAGGCGAGCCTGCCCGGGAGAGGCCCCGGTTCCCCAGGCGGGGCGAGCGCGCCCCTTTCTCCCGCGTCTGGCCCGCCCCGCTGTGTGAGGCTTGCGTGGGAGGAGGGGGAGGGCGCGTCTCTCTGGCTCCTTGCCGCGGGGCTGGCTTGGGGGCTGCCGGCACCTCTCGCCCCAGTCGCTGCGCCCTGAGGTGGGAGCCCGCGTCGCCCGCAGACCTTTTGGGGCCCATGATCGCCCTCAGTCAGCTAGCCTGCTCCCCTGGACCGCGACGGGGAGTGGCAGGGCGGCTCCCGCTGTTGTTTGAGCCCAGTGAGGGAAGGGGAAAGGCCTTTAAGATTTTCGGTTTTTTGGCCGGGCGCAGTGCTCATTCCTGTAATCCCAGCACTATGGGAGACTGAGGCAGCTGGATCTCCTGAGGTCAGGAGTTCTAGACCAGCCTGGCCAACATGGTAAAACCCTGTCTCTACTAAAAATACAAAAATTAGCCGGGCATGGTGGCAGGCGCTTCTTGAGATGGAGTCTCACTCTGTCGCCCAGGCTGGAGTGCAGTGGAGCGATCTCGGCATACTGCAGCCTCCATCTCTTGACAGTCTGTGGGTTCAAGCGATTCTCCTGCCTCAGCCTCCCGAGTAGCTGGGATTACGGGAGCCCGCCACCACGCCTGGCTAACTTTTGTGTTGTTTAGTAGAGACGGGGTTTCATCATGTTGGCCAGGCTGGTCTCGAACTCCTGACCTCAAATGACCCATCTCTGCCTCCCAGAGTTCTGGGATTACAGGCCTGAGCCACCGCGCCCAGATCCAAGGCCCTTAAGCTTAAATGCCTCGTTCTTCAGTCAGGTTTTCCTTGTTCCCGCATGTTCAGCCAATCGTGTTTAAGGAGAAACTAACAATGAAAACGGACTCGTTGATGGAGGAAAAGTTGGAATGCAGCCTCTGGTGCTGTTTGAGCGATCCCTCTATCCCGGGTCGCTGCTGTGTTCTGGAAAGGCGCATTGTACCCTGGATGCAGCAGGTAAGAGTCCTGTCCAGGTGCTCTGCCCGCTTTTTCTTTCAGGCTTCTGTATCAGCTGTTTTTCCCCTGTAGAATGTGCCCCTGACAGCCACCCCCTAACCCTACCCAATTTGTCTTTACGTGTCTGACCATCAAGGCTCTTCTGGGTCATATTTAATTCATGCTGATATTTCCCCTTCCTCCCCTCTTTAGTCCTCACTATTTTTGCTTTGGTTATGTTATGCTGTATTCTGTAAGGCTTTAAAAAAAATTTTTATGGTGGCAGGGGAGAATGTTTTATAATTATGCTTTGTGCTTTTTATCTTCCACTCAATAAATGCTTGGTAAATATTTGTTTTATTGAATGTATGACTCTATTCTAGCTATATTGTGCTTGAACAAAAACCTTAACTGCCTTGTAAGTTAACTGCTAAGAATTTGTCAGAAGTGCAGACATAACATCAAGAACTTGTCATGGATAGTACAAAAAGGTCTCTAAGGGCTTGATGGAGGCCTGTAAATTGACTTCCTATGAAAGAGAGTGTAAGAAGTGAAAATGTAAAGCATGACTGGAGAGCCAGAGTGATGAAGCCAGGGTCCCTTTCTCCAGATCCTTTGTAACAGTGTTATGTGATCTCTTCTAGAAGATCGTTCTGAAAGATAATGCTAACTCGGAACCTAGGAAACCATCCAGTGGGTTTCTGCAGCTTAGGTGTTTCAAATCCTCATCAGCACGTTTGTTTTCTCTGCCTCAGTTTGCTTACAATGATGTTCTCAGTAGCTACAATTGCTGTCTTTGAATATGTAAGCATTTTTTTTTAGATGACAGGGATATATGTGCATTTTTATTTTACCAAGTGTTAGAATTTTTACTCTGCTTTTGTGGGCTCTGGGTTAGCTACTTGGTTGTTGTAAAATGATTAGCAGGGAAAGCTGTGTGTGTGTGTGTGTGTGTGTGTGTGTGTGTGTGTGTGTGTGTGTGTGTGTGGTTTCTTTTGTTGTCAGAGGACTTAGAATTTTATTTTATATGGTAATTCTGTCAATTTACTTTATTCTCCACCCCACATTTATTGAACAGCAAATTATGAAAGTAATGTGTCCCATAAGCAGCCTTCAGAAGAATTACAGCTGCTGTATATCTGAAATTCTTTTTTTTATTTTTTATTTTGAGATGGAGTCTCACTCTATCACCCAAGCTGGAGTACAGTGGTGCAATCTTGGCTCACTGGAACCTCTGCTGCCCAGGTTCAAGCAATTCTCCTGCCTCAGCCTCCTGAGTAGCTGGGATTACAGGCACCTGCCACCGCACCTGGCTAATTTTTGTAGCTTTAGTAGAGACAGGTTTCACCATGTTGGCCAGGCTGGTCTTGAATTCCTGACCTCGTGATCAGCCTGCCTCAGCCTCCCAAAGTGCTGGGATTACAGGTGTGAGCTACCGCACCTGGCTGAACTTTCAAGAAGAAGTTTGTGCATCAGTTTTCAAAAAATTATGATATCAAAAGATAGCTGTGCCCTACATTTGGAAAGATACAAAAACTGAACATACTGGCAGGCAGTTTTGCTTGCTGGTGCTTGAGATAGAGGCACACATTGGTCTCAGTGGAATTATGGAGAAAAATAGATAAAGTTATTTCTAAATAAGACCAAAAAATCCTTTTCTTAAGCAGTGACAGGTAAAGAGGTTGTCTTGACTAACCTTGAATTGTGTTGCCCTTGATTGAGACAGTTTTATGGTGGGATGGTAGTGGTGATAAACTTGCTGGAAATTTGTCTGCTTATAGTAACCTTTGTGGTAGCTGTCACAGACAACTTCATCTTCACAGGCCTTGAAATTAGTATAAAACTAACAGAATGGAGGAGAAACAAAGGACCTGAATAATTAGATGCTTAGATAATTGTTCCGTGTTTTCATAACTGGTGAAAAAGAGCAGTATTAGAAGCACTTACACATTCTATAGAAGGAACACTGCCTGAATTTATATTGCGATTTTTGAGCACCATTAACTGTATAAAAACAGGCATATTGTAGGTAATATTTTAAAGACAAACAGAAAATTTATCTTTTCAAGATGGATCTAAAACTTATCAAAATTACAAAATTTAAAACGTGATTGAAAAATATTAATGCATAGGTTTAAATATTGGTCATTTTAAATGTCTTTCAAAATAGATTGTCTCTTAAATATTCAACTGAACAAACTTTGAACATGTAGAGTTTGTGCCGAAGGTTAAATTTCCTGGGGTGATGGATATTTTGTAATATGGAAAACAAAACCTTCTTATTTTAAGAAATTTAGAAAACTTTTAGGCAAAACTAGAAAATATTACCTATGTAATTCTACCACTCAGAAGGTGCCACTGTCAGAAATTTGTATCTTTCCAGTCATCTGCTCACCTCTTTTCTCCTGTGCTTATATATGTTTCCTCTCCCTTAAAAATCAGATATTTGTTTGTAATCTGCTTTTTCACTCAACAGTATTGTAGATCCATGTTATAACTTACTCCTCTACATTGCCTTCAGTTATTGTGTGCTTTCTGTTGGATGACTTTACCATGTAGTCAGTCATGTTTTCTGGTACTGAATACATACGGGTATGTGTGTGTGTGCGTGCGTGTGTGTGTGCGTATTTTTTTGTAACTTAACTAATGCTTTAGACATCAGTAGGTAGACGTAAATCCTTGAAACCTTCCACGTGGTGACTTTCAGTTCTCATTGCTGAATTTGTTTCCAGAGATGGAAGAAATTATATTGTATGGGAACTTTTTTTTTCTTTTTTTTTGAGATGAAGTCTTGTTCTTGTCGCCCAGGCTGGAGTGCAATGGCGTGATCTCACTGCAACCTCCACCTCCTGGGTTCAAGCAATTCTCCTGCCTCAGCCTCCCGAGTAGCTGAGATTACAGGCGCATGCCACCATGCCTGGCTAATTTTTGTATTTTTAGTAGAGACGGAGTTTCACCATGTTGGCCAGGCTGGTCTTGAACTCCTGACCTCAGGTGATTTGCCCACTTCAGCCTCCCAAAGTGTTGGAAATACAGGTGTGAGCCACTGTGCCCAGCCTTTTTTTCATCTCAGTACCAGCTTTTATTTATCAGATTGGTAAAAATGTTAGAAAGTGTGCAATGAAATGGGCATTCTTACAGTCATGGCAAAAAATATAATTATCTTTGACTTTCTAGAAAGTAGTTTGGCTTTCTAGAAACTTGTTTGAATTCTCCCTGTTTAGGCAGGATGAATTCTCACTACCCCAAGGTGGCCAACCTTGTCCCTGTGATTCCATCTCTCCCAGAAAGAGAGGTCTAGTCTCAGGGAAAACCCAGATTTGTTTGGCTTAGCCCACCTGACAGCTAATCACTGGAAATGGGGTGGGCTGGTAGAATCCTTTGGTCAGGCTTTGTGTTGAGAGAGAGGTGGAAAGATGGGAGGGAGGTAGCAAAACTTGCCTCAGTGGAACTATGTAAGTTAATATAGAATGGCAAAAGGATGTTTCTTCCAAGGAAGAAATTCTAGGGAAGCAAGAAAGTGGAGGGGAAGGCAGCAGTTCTCCAAGTTTTGGGGTCAGGATTCCTTTACACTCTTAAAAATACATTGAGGGCCCAAGGAGCTTTGGTTTATGTAGGGTATATCTATTGGTATTTATCACTAGAAATTAAATCAGAAATATTTAAAATATTCTTTAAAAGCTCACCACATATTGTTATAAATGCTTTTATGAAAAGAAAATTTCTAAACCCAAAGTAGTACAATCTTACACCTTTTGCAAATTTTTTTGATGTTTGATATGTCATTTGCATGATGTTTGACATGTCATTAGCAAATTGATATGTCAGTTTGCTTCTGCATTCAATTTATTGTGTGATATTTTCTTGAAAAAATGTGAACAAAGACCAATCTCATACAGATAACATTTTAGATCATTGTGGATATATATATATTTTTTGAGATGAGGTCTTGCCCTGTTGCCCAGGCTGGAAGGTAGTGGTGTGATCACAGCTCACTGCAGCCTCAGTCTCCGGGGACTCAGGTGATCCTCCCACCTCAGCCTCCGGAGTAGCTGGGACTACAGGTGTGTACCACCACATTTGGCTAACTTTTTGTATTTTTTGTAGAGACAGGGTTTTGCCATGTTGCCTAGGCTTCTTTTTTGATACTCCATCAAATCTTGGTTTTTCTTGAACTTTGGATCTTCCACCCTTGCATGATATTACAACATCGTGCATTGGTCACTTATAAAATAGTGGTTCACTAGGATCTTCTACATGTTGATACATTTGATTGTACAGTATCAAAATACATTCATCAATACCACCATCAATCTCATCAGAATACTTTTGGAAAGTGATGGTGGACATAAGTTTTCTAAAATTCTAATTTTTTGTTCAAAAGCTTGAATTTTATTAGTAATTTTGTTATTGAATTTTATTATAGCCTGTCTGTTGTTTTCCTTGAAATGACAGAATCTCATGTTTTGAGAAAATATCTGCCAGAAATGCGAGTTAAAATAACATTTTTTGTCAGTCAGCCTTTCAAGTAAAAATGGTATTCCATTAAAGTGGTTAATTCACTTCATGACTTAGTCACTCAAGGGTTTTTTTCTCAGGCAGCCTGTAGGAATGCTCATGTATACTTCCCATTTCATCACTTGAAATATTAAAAAGATATATTCAAGGATTTAGATATAGTAAAATATTCACTGCTTCATCATAGACATTTTTTTTTTTTTTAATTTTTGAGATATGGCCTTGTTCTGTCGCTGAGGCTGGAGTGCAGTAGCGTAGTCACAGCTCACTGCAGCCTCAACTTTCTGGGTTCAGTCAATCCTCCTGCCTCAGCCTTCCAAGACGCTGGGACTACAGGCATGCAGCCACTGTGTTCAGCTAATTTTTGTATTTTTTGTAGAGATGAGGTTTCACCAGGTTGCCCATGCAGGTCTTGAACTCCCGGGCTCAAGGGATCCCCCTGCCTGGGCCTTCCAAAGTGCTGGAATTACAGACATGAGCCAAAATTCCCAACCTTATCATAGACATTCTTAAATGAAACTAACCTTTTGTTGCCCTTCCTTTTTATTTTTATTTTTGAAGACGGAGTTTTGCTCTGTTGCCCAGTCTGGAGTTACATAGGTGCAATTTCAGCTCAAGGCAACCTCTGCCTCCCAGGTTCAAGTGATTCTCCTGCCTCAGCCTCCTAAGTATTTGGGAATACAGGCATGCACCACCACACCGAGCTAATTTTTGTATTTTTAGTAGAGATGGGGTTTCACCATGTTGGCCAAGCTGGTCTCAAACTCCTGACCTTAGGTGATCCGTCGACCTCAGCCTCCCGACGCACTGGGATTACAGGCGTAGGCCACCATGCCCCACCCACCCTTCCTTTTTAAACCTTTCCTGTTCATAGTGAAGAATACCATGACTACTAGTAGTAGTTTGGTGTTACTGCCTTTGTTTGTGCTAAAGTACCAGCATTTTTACCCACCATTGTATTTGCACACTTACAGCAAATGTCACCATGTTAATATTCCTGTCAAAATAGTTTGGACTTGGGGGTCTGAGGGCCGCACTTTGGGAACCATTGAAATAGGTACTTAGACGTACTAGATATCATATCTTTTCATCTACAAGGTTTTTAAAAACTTGATTTCAGTTAATTTTTTTTTTGTAATTTTTAAAATATGGTTTTGAGGGGTTTCAGTCCAGAGCAACAACACATATTTTATTTTGCTTACGCTGAAGTTTACTAGAAAATACTAACCTAACAGAATGAAGTCCTAAATCTAATTGCAATTTCCTTAGCCAAAATAAAAAAAACCCAAAATTAAAAGCGTAAAAATAGTCCATATGGTGTATTCTCAGTGTATGCTGAAGAATTTATAGAAGAAAATGCAATACTCAGTAAGTGGTGTTCTTTAAGAATAGGATTGGCTGGGCGCAGTGGCTCACGCCTGTAATTCCAACACTTTGGGAGGCCGAGGTGGGCGGATCATCTGAGATCAGGGGTTCGAGACCAGCCTGACCAACATGGAGAAACCCCGTCTCTACTAAAAATACAAAATTAGTGGGGCATGATGGCACGTGCCTGTAATCCCAGCTACTCAGGAAGGCTGAGGCAGGAGAATTGCTTGAACCCGGGAGGTGGAGGTTGTGATGAGCTGAGATCGTGCCACTGCATTCCAGCCTGGGCAACAGGAGCGAAACTCGGTCTCAAAAAAAAAAACAAAAAAAGAAAAAAAAGAATAGGAGTAATTCTGGAGTTTCTTTTAGCCTGTAGGAGTAATTCTGAAGAGTTTCTTTTAGCCTGTAAAGAGATTTGGAACACAGTAAGAGAGGAATGAGAAGAATGAGAATAGTAAAATAAACCATTATTGAAGAGATATACTGTTAATGATGTCCTCCATCAATACAACTTGTTTTTCTTTTTTTTTTTTTTTTTGTTTTTTGAGATGGAGTCTTGCTCTATCGCCAGCCTGGAGTGCAGTGGACATCTCAGCCCACTGAAACCTCTGCCTCCCGGGTTCAAGTGATTCCCCTGCCTCAGCCTCCTGAGTAGCTGGGACTACAGGCACCCGCCAGCGCGCCCAGCTAATTTTTTTGTATTTTTTTAGTAGAGATGGGGTTTCTCCGTGTTAGCCAGGACGGTCTCGATCTCCTGACCTCGTGATCCGCCCACCTCGGCCTCCCAAAGTGCTGAGATTAGAGGCGCGAGCCACCGTGCCCGGCCCATCTTGTTTTTCTTAAAAAGGAACCTTCAGTAAATATTTGGTTTCTGTGGCTTCAGCTTTAATTCAGATTACAGTTTTCAAAGCAGTGTTGCCTAAAGTTGTTTGTGCAAAATTGTTTTCTGTGACTTCAACCTAGTTATTCTGAAGCTAATATATAATAATAATGGTTTTCCCCCAATTTATAATAGAGAACAGTACAAAGTAACAGCAGAAATGTCTGTTAGTGGGTGAAAGCACATAATGCATAGTTCATTAGCTTTTTTAAAAAATCACATGTAATTGTGTTACAAAAATATATGTATAGTAATGGCATTTACTTGGTATTACCTGGTTTGTGTGATAGAATAAAATATTAGAATTTTATGGTGTTTGAGTTAGTTATCTATTGCTCTGTAACAAACTGAGCAGCTTAAAATAACAAACATTATCTCAGTTTCTGTGGGTCAGGATTCTGTCCAGTTTACCTTGGGTTCACTGGCTTGGCCTCTCACCAGGCAGTGAAGGTGTTGGTGGTGGCTGTGATCATCCCAAGGCAGGATAGGGAGAGAATCTGTCTCCAAGATCAGGTTGGCAGGATTCATCTCAGAGGCTGCTGGACTGGGCCTCCGTTTCTAGATGGCCATTGGTCAGAGGCCTTTTACAATACCTTGTCACGTGGGCCTCTCCATAGGGCACCTCATCACATGGCAACTGGCTTCCATCAGAGGGAGCAATGGAAAGAGCAGGAGAAGGGTGACCAAGGCAGGCATCGTAGTCTCCTTGTAGCCTCACCTCAGAAGCGATGTTACTTTTGCTGTATTCTCTTTGTTAGAAGTGAGTCACTAGGTCCAGGGGTGGAATTTTACAAGGGTGTGAATGGCAGGAGGTGAGGGTGATCAGGGCCATTTAAAGGCTGCCTACCAGTGTTGAAGAAAATTGTTGACTTCTATGAGCTGTAGCAGCAGACAGTGCTATGCAAGGAGAATGGCTGTCTCAGAAGTCCAGCTCCTCACATGGGTTTAAACGTGTTGCCTTTTCCCCCTGATACATTTTGTTTAAATCCATGGTCATCTTGCCATTTAGTGGTGTGGTTTAATTGCATATTTGGGTTAGTCTGTATGTAAACATTTAACATAGGTGTCTCTGGGTTAAACAGGAATCCTATTCATCTTCTTCACCGATATGGTCTGTGGACTCTGATGAGCCAAATCTGACATCAGTTCTGGAACGTCTAGAAGATACTAAGGAGAACAGTTCGGTGAGGAAAGAAACCAAGCTATTTTCTCTTTTCCTCATGAACATTATATTTAGAAATTAAATGTTAAGTGATAATATTATATAAAAACATGATTAACAACTGTAATCTTAGAGGAATTAAAGTCTGGGTATTTTAAGTCCTCCAAATCTTATTTACTACCTGGTTTCTCTTTATTATTTCCCACATGTATAATCTTAGTTTAGATTAGCAATTCGGGATCTCTTTTTCCCTGAATTCTAACCATTAAGCCAAGCAAGCATTTTGGGTGGAGACCACTAGCCAAGGTGGGAAGTAGAAAGAAGACCAAGGTGGAAGTGAAGGGAGAGATGGGGAGAATGACACCAAAACTAGTGGGAGGGGATTGCCTTTTCTTTCAAGGGTCTGTAAGTCTGCAGTAAAAGTCAAAGGTATTCAAATAGGAAGTTTGTTTTTGTCTTTAGTATATAAAGAAGCATAACTTTCCATTTTGCAAAAACTTTAGAAACCTTTTTTTCTTGATTATAAAACTTATAAGCAACCATTATTGAGAAGATTAGTAAAATATAAAAAAATAAAAATCTCACATAATTTCTCTACCTAATATAACTACTGTTGACATGATAGCTAGTTTCTATCAGTATGTATTGCTTCTTTGTTATCAAAGTACTTATACCCTTACAGATATGTTTAAATAGTTGAGGTCATATTCTATAAATATCTATAAATAGCTGGGTGCTGTGGCTCACACCTGTAATCCCAGCACTTTGGGAGGCCGAGGCAGGCAGATCACAAGGTCAGGAGTTTGAGACCAGCCTGGCCAATATGGTGAAACCTCATCTCTACTAAAAATACAAAAATTAGCCCGGTGTGGTGGCAGGTGACTGTAGTCCCAGCTACTCGGCAGGCTGAGGCAGGAGAATTGCTTGAACCCAGGAGGCAGAGGTTTCAGTGAGTCGAGATCGCACCACTGAGGTCCAGCCTGGGTGGCAGAGCAAGACTCCATCTAAATAAATAAATTATGTATACACACACCCTCATATATATATACACACATATGTGTGTGTATACACACACACACACACACACACACACACACACACACCCCTACACATGACCGATTGCCTCGCCTCTAGCGTTGGGAATCAGTCACCGTGCTGTCCTTGTGGAGTCTTGTGGCCCAACAAGAGGAAGCTCTTCCCTGACATTGCCCCTCCAAAGTGCGCCACTTCCAGTGCGCCCCACTGTCATGCCCGGCCTGTGGACAGCCAGACCCTGCCATCCCTCCCACCCCCGACCAAGCATGGGGGTGCTCTGTAGGTAGCTGTGTGGCCTGACAGTCTCTACCAGTCCTGCTGTCCCTCAGCTGAGAATCAAACCCATTTCTGGATGACAGGGAATGTGTCTTCTGCTGGCTGTGTTCTCTGTGGAGCTCAGGGGAGGGAAAAGGCCAAGCTATTTCTAGGGTGCTGTCAGGACCGATGAAAAGGTCACACCCTTTCCAAGAGACACTTTTCCTGGAAAGCCCCTGGAGCTTAGCTGGCTTTTATCCTGTGATAAGCCAGAGGCTCTGGGGGGTGAGGGAGCAGAAACCCTCCTCACCCCAGCCAACGGGGACCTGTATACCTCTGCCAGTCTCTCACTTGGCCTTGCTGCTGTCCTCTGAGACTGCCTGTTCCTCCCTCTCTGTGACTCTACACCACCATCACCTCCTCCAGGAAGTCCTCTGGATTGACTCCTAGCTTATTACATCTTTATTGTGCAGACCCTCTCCATTCAAAGCCCCTCTTCAACTGCCCCCCCCCCCCACTACCTCCAAGACAGAGATTCTGGATTCTTGCAACTGCAGCCCCTCAGAGAGTGTAAGAGGGGCAGAAAAAGGAGATCAGGAGGTGAGGGAAGCAGCGCTGTCAGAGTTTCCAAAGCCCCGGCCAGCAAGGCCTCAGAGGCCTCTGTTGGAGTGGGGGCCTCCCTGGCTATGCGCTCCAGCTGCACAAGGCAGCCTCTGTGAGCCTCTCCCACTCAGCCCTACAGGAAGCAGCAGGGCCCAGCCTCAATGGACCCATTCAGACCCCAGCGCTCCGGAAAGTACCTCTGCTTTCTGCCACCATTCCACTCTGGCCAAACAGGCTCTACTCTCTTCTGATGGGAGGAGGCCGCAGGCAGGTGGTTCAGTGGTTAGGGCCAACCATCTACTTCAGTTCCTGTCTGGCCCAGATCTCTGACGTTGACCATGCCCTAGTGGGTGTATGTATACCTTTAGTGCAAGGGTGGTGTGACAGTTAATACTGAGTGTCAACTTGATTGGGGTGAAGGCTGCAAAGTATTGACCTACTGGAAGTGTCTGTGAGGGCATTGTAAAAGGAGATAAACATTTGAGTCAGTGGGCTGGGGAAGGCAGACCCACCTTTAATACTGGTGGGTACCATCTTTCTAATCAGCTGCTAGCGAATATAAAGCAGGCAGAAAAACATGAAAAGGTAAGATTGGCCTAGCTTCCCAGCCTACATCTTTCTCCCATGCTGGACACTTCCTGCCCTCTAACATCGGACTCCAGGTTCTTCAGTTTTGAGACTCGGATTGGCTCTCCTTGCTCCTCAAACTTGCAGACAGCCTATTGTGGGACCTTGTGATTGTGTAAGTTAATACTTCATAAACTCCCCTTTATATATCTATCTATATCTATATCTATATCTATTATCTATATCTATATCTATTATCTATATCTATATCTGTCTATATCTCCTATTAGTTCTGTCCCTCTAGGGAACCCTGATTAACACAGGTGGGTAGGCACAGGGAGATGTGCCCCCTTCCCCGTGGGTGCTGGGTAGGTAAATGTTTCGCAAAGGGCTTTCTTGGGGAGAGGGAACCCTGATTTTCAGTATTTGCCTCTTTTCCTGGTATAAATATTCCCACTGTGGGCAGTATCACCTGCCTCTCAAAATTCCTGAAAATTCAACAGTTGGCTCCTGGCAGCTGCTGTGAGCCGTTCCAGCCGGTGACTGTGGTGGCTCCATCCTGCAGGGCCATGTGCCCCCACCCCTTGTGCTATGGCCACCCTCACTTTAGTGTGCTGTGTTTTGCTCTTAGGAATCAATGTCTTTGCAGATAAGGCACCCCAGTAGCTGGCCACCACCTGCAGTTCCCTGGTCTGTCTCTTGCTGGCACCAAGCTGTGCTGTGCCTGCTGAGACTGCTGGGCCACCCCAGCGCATATGGTCTGCGGGGCTTACTTGATTCCCTTAGCTTCCCAGCCAAGGTGCTGGTGTTGCCAGCAGTGCTGGCAGGAGGAGGGGATAACTAGAGGGGATTTAACTCAACCCGAGGGGCTCTTACGGGATCTTTCCTGGATATCCCTCCAGGTGGGGCTGGCTGCCCTGAGGGTGTACAAACTTCCAACTCCTCCAATGGCTGAAGCTACTTCCTCGAGCAGATGGCAGCTGGCTCAGGCTGGCTAGGGACCAGTGCATGTGAGGTCGGTGCTGGATCACCCCATCAAGGCCATCAGCCTGTGCTTGTTCTTGGGGTTTGAGGGAAACCCAACAGGGATGAATCACAGTTTTTAACCTGTGTTTGTCTGCCCCCCAGCCCTGGACATCTGCAGGCAAAGTTAAAGTTATATTTGGCTCTTATCACCACAAAAGGCATAGACCAGAAATTATGGCATCGGGTTGGAAGTCAGGGAGGCTAATTTGGGGAAACTGCCTGGAGGAAGCAGCAACTCAAAAGAGGAGGAGTCACACTGTGGGACAGAACAGGCCCTGCATAAGAACCACTAACCCCAGGCAAGCCCAGACATGGCCTTCTGCCTGGGGAGGCCCTCTTTGGCCTGCTCAGCAGACCCTCAGCCCCTTCTAGGCCCTGTCTTCAGCCTCAGACTGAGTGGTGGCCTGGGGAGGTTGGGAGCTGAGCTGTTCTCATCCCTGGTTCCTTGGCCACGGTGGAAACAATGGGGCCGGATCTGACTGCTCAGCGGGGACTGTGAATAGCTCTCTAGCAGGAAGCAACAGCAGGGGTAGTGGAGGAAGTGTGGGCCCACTTTGGTTTGACACTGCATATGGTCCCCATCTGGCCTGAGAGCCTTTACTCCTTGGCAAACTCAGGCCAATAAGCTCCTGCCCCCACCCTCAATGGCAGCTGGAAGAATGGCCTGAGGGAGAAGCAGGGATAGGTGGGCTGCAGTGACATCACCCCCAGATCCCAGCCGTGGCCCCAGCCAACCCATGGAGGTGGGGCATGGCACAGCAGGTGCTGCACAGGAGCCCAAGCACAAGGGCACTTAGGAGAAGGAATCTGAGCAGGGATCGATCTGGCCTGGGGGTGATTCTCCAGAAACTCCATTCCTCGGGGCTGTGACCACCAAGCCAGGTGATCAGGCCAGTGATGTTTCCCTTTGGGCCAGGTCGGGGAGCCAGACCTGGGAGGGAGACTCCTCTGGGGCCCAGGGGAGGTGAGTCAGAGCTGGCAGAGGCCTCTGGCTCCAGGAACCTCCAAGGAGGAGACCTGAGTTGCTGGGAATTTCTGGGTCTGACCTCCTGCCAAGTCAAGGTCTGGGCTGGACACAAGGTGAGGCTGTGCCTTCTGGTGCCAGGACCAAGGAAATGCTGGGATCTGGGCAGTGCTCAGAGGCAGCACCGTATGGCAGAACCATGAGGGTGCACCAGCACGGACCCCTTTCTGCAACCCACCCATCCCTCCCTGCAGCACCTCGCCTCCTCCAGGCAAGAATCTGAGCCTTGACCACAGCTCCCTCTCTCACACAGCTTCCTTCTTTGGTTAGAACCACCTGGAGGTGACTGTGGCCATGGCTCTGACTGACATAGACCTGCAGCTGCAGTTCTCCATGTCCCAACCCGAAGCCCTCCTTCTCCTGGCAGCAGGCCCAGCTGACCACCTCCTGCTGCAGCTCTACTCTGGACACCTGCAGGTGAGTGACGTCCCCCTGGGATTGGGGCGAGATTCCTTGTCTAGCTTTGAGTGAACCCCAGCTGGCTGTTGACCTTGTGTAAGTCACTTTTCTTGGGGTCTCAAGTTCTCCACTGTGGGATGGGCAGCAGCAGCTCAGAAATGGTAAATCCTTCATGAACTGGCTCTGCCCACCGGCTCCTTCCAACCATGTTTCCCACCACAAGCCCTCACTGGCCCTTTGTGCTCTGACTACACTGAACTGCTTTCAGTTCCTGGCCATCTTATGGTCACTTGCAGCCAGGCCTTTGGTCATCACACTCCTCCTGCCAGGTGTGTGACCCACCCATTCCCTGTACCTGCCGAACTCTAGTCTCTCCTTGAAGTTTCAGTGTGGGCATCCCCTCCTCCTCGGCGAGACCCCCTCCTGGGCCCCCATGACCCCTGCGCATCCTGGTGGCACTGCACCAATTTATCTGCAGCACCACTGTCTGTCCATGAGAGTAACAGCACCAGTACTGCCTCAGCTTCATTTTTCCATTTCATCCTTCAAGACACCACAAGCTTTATTATCAAGGAGTCTTGTGGCTCCTACTTGAGTCTTACCCCATACCAGGAAGAGTTTAAGAACCCAGGGTCTTAGTCCAAATTTGGGGCAGGCTGGGTGCAGTGGCTTATGCCTATAATCCCACCACTTTGGGAGACCAAGGTGGAAAGATCACTTGAGCCTAGGAGTTCAAGACTGGCCTGAGCCACACAATGAGACCCCATCTCTATTTTAGAAGGAAAAAAAAAAACAAATTAACAAATTTGGGGCAGCCATCTCTTTCCACACCCCAGTGGGAAGAGGACTAGGGCTTGGTCAGTCTGCTGCTGTCATTGCTGCTCATTGCCACAAGGTGTCACTGTTGAACACCTATGTGGTGCAGTCTGGTGCTGATGGCTGCTGAGCTGTGCAGGTAGTGATGCCACATCCCTACAGAGATGCACCATACCAGGACTCCAAGATCATGGTTCTTAGTGTTCTGGTTCTGCAGTTCCCATACTCTGCCATCACCTATTCTAGCATCTGGGAGCACCATACCAGAGCCATTTCTTGTGTCAATGTCATGGTGACAGAACTATGTCCTTCATCTCTCCTTGAGATATTCCTCCACCACAGGTCAGGCAGCTTTTTTTTTTTTTTTTTTTTCCAGAACACAGAGCATCTGCCTGGGCTCCCTGTCCCTGAACAGTTAGCCTGGCTTCCTTCAGTGACCTCGAGAAACTTTGCCAAACTTAGGGGGACTGATCAACGGATTCTCAGTTACCCATTATTCCAGGGGTGAAATCTAGATTCCAAGACAATATTTCTGGTGCTTCTCACTCAAGGAAAGAGGAGGAGAATTTAAAAATACAGGTTGGGTTTCTAGAAGAGCATCTTGCTATATGTCAGTTCCTTGTGGGCAAGGACCACATCTGATTCACACCAGGGTCCCCAGAGCCCATCCAGGCCTGGCCCAGAGTTTCCTTTGGTGAGTGTTTGGAGGATGAATAAAGAGATGGCAGGAAGGCAAGAGGAGTGGCACCAGAGGCCCTTGTCCTAGGTTTTCTGCTCTGGGGCCCCCTGTGGGGAACCCACTGTGCTTTTATAAGGGAAATGATGGATTCAAAGTGCTGCCCCCCATCTCCCATTCCCCGTCTCTCCTCAGGTCAGGCTTGTCCTGGGCCAGGAGGAGCTGAGGCTGCAGACCCCAGCAGAAATTCTACTGAGTGACTCCGTCCCCCACACCACAGTTCTGACTGTCTCAGAGGACTGGCCCACATTGTCAGTCAATGGGTTTCTGAATGCCTCCTCTGTAGTCCTGGGAGCCCCCCTAGAAGTCCCCTATGGGCTCTTTGTTGGGAGCACTGGGAGACTTGGCCTGCCCTACCTGAGGGGAACCAGCCATCCCCTGAGGGGTTGCCTCCATGCAGCCGCTCTCAATGGCCGCAGACTCCTCCAGCCTCTGACCCCCAATAAGCATGAGGGCTGTGCTGAAGAGTTTTCTGCCAATGACGATGTGGCCCTGGGCTTCTCTGGGTCCCACTCTCTGGCTGCCTTGCCTGCCTGGGGCACTCAGGATGAAGGAACCCTGGAGTTTACACTCACCACACAGAGCTGGCAGGCACCCTTGGCCTTCCAGGCAGCAGGCTGGCATGGGGACTTCATCCATGTGGACATATTTGAGGGCCACCTGTGGTCCATGGTTGAGAAGGGCCAGGGTACTGTATTGCTCCTCAACAGTGTGCCTGTGACTGACGCACAGCCCCACAAGGTCAGCATCCACATCAACATTCACCAGCTAGAAATCTCCATGGACCAGTACCCCACATGTACTTTGAACCGAGGAGTCCTCAGCTACCTGGAGCCACGTGACAGTCTCCTTCTTGGGGAGCTGGTGCAGAGGCCTCTCGTCACCTCCAGGAACACCGCTCAGGCCTGACACCAGGGGCTGCCAATGCCTCCCTGCTGGGCTGGCTGCATGGAAGACCTCAGTGTCAATGGCTAGAGGCAGGGGCTGTGGGAAGCCTTGCTGACGCACAACATGGTGGCTGGCTGCAGACTGGAGGAGGTGGAGGAGTATGAGGACAATGCCTATGGCCATTATGAAGCTTTCTCCACCCTGGCTCCCGAGGCTTGGCTGTCCGTGGAGCTAGCTGAGCCATGCGTGCCTGAGCCAGGGCTACCTCCTGTCTTTGCCAATTTCATCCAGCTGCTATCAGTGCAGTGGTGGTGACCGAGGGTGGCACAGCCTGGCTTGAGTGGTGGCATGTGCAGCCCATGCTGGCACTGATGGAGGCTGAACTGCGTAAATCCCAGGTGCTGTTCAGCGTGACCTGAGGGGCACACTACAGCGAGCTCGAGCTGGATGTCCTGGGTGCCCAGGCATGAAAAATGTTCACCCTTCTGGACGTGGTGAACTGCAAGGCCCGCTTCATCCACGATGGCCCTGAGGACACCTCTGACCAGCTGGTGCTGGAGGTGTCAGTGATGGCTTGGGTGCCTATGCCCTCATGCCTGCGGAGGGGCCAAACAGACCTCCTGCCCATCCAGGTCAACCCTGTCAATGACCCACCCCACATCATCTTCCCACATGGCAGCCTTATGGTGATCCTGGAACACACACACAAGCCTCTGGGGCCTGAGGTTCTCCAGGCCTATGACCTGGACTCTACCTGTGAGGGCCTCACCTTCCAGCTCCTTGGCACCCCCTCTGGCCTCCCCGTGGAGCACCGAGACCAGCCTGGGGAGCCGGTGACTGAGTTCTCCTGCTGGGAGTTGGAGGCCGGCAGCCTAGTCTATGTCCACTGCGGTGGCCCTACACAGGACTTGACATTCCGGGTCAGCAATGGACTGCAGGCCAGCCCCCCGGCCATGCTGAAGGTGGTGGCTGTCCAGCTGGCCATACAAATCCACCGCAGCACAGGGCTGCATCTGGCCCAGGGCTCTGCCATGCCCATCTTGCCTACCAACCTGTTGGTGGAGACCAGCGCCGTGGGGCAGGATGTGACCGTGCTGTTCCATGTCACCGGAGGCCTGCCGTTCAGGGAGCTGCAGAAGCAGGGGGCTGGTGGGGTGGAGGATGCTGAGTGGTGGGTCACACAGGCGTTCCACCAGCAGGATGTGGAGCAGGGCCACGTGAGATACCTGAGCACTGACCCACAGCACTACACCGAGGACACCGTGGAGAACCTGGATCTGCAGGTGCAGGTGAGCTGGGAAATCCTGAGCAATCTGTCCTTCCTAGTGACCATCCAGAGAGCCACTGTGTGGATGCTGCAGCTGGAGCCACTGCACACTCAGAACACCCAGCAGGAGGCCCTCACCACAGCCCACCTGGAGGCCACCCTGGAGGAGGCAGGCCCAAGCCCCCCAACCTTCCACTGTGAGGTGGTTCAGGCTCCCAGGAAAGGCAACCTTCAACTACAGGGCACGATGATGTCAGACGGTCAGGGCTTCACCCAGGATGACGTACAGGCTGCAGAGGTGACCTATGGGGCCATGGCACGTGCCTCAGTGGCAGTGGAGGACACCTTCTGTTTCCATGTCACAGCTCCACCATATTTCTCCCCACTCTGTACCTTCTCCATCCATATTGGCGGTGACCCAGACATGCCTGTCCTCATGGTGCCCGAGGGTGGTGAGTGTGTCCTCTCTGCTGACCAGCTCTTCATCAAGAGTCTCAACAGTGCCAGGTACCTCTATGAGGTCATGGAGCAGCCCCGCCATGGGAGGTTGACTTGGCGTGGGACACAGGACAAGATCACTATGGTGACATCCTTCACCAATGGAGACCTGATGCATGGCCAGCTGGTCTAGCAGCATGATGACTCCGAGATCACAGAAGATGATATCCCATTTCCTGCTGCCACCAGGACCAGAGCAGTGGTGACGTGGCCTGGGAGGAGGTATGGGGTGTCTTCTGAGTGGCCATCCAGCCTGTGAATGACCACGCCCCTATGCAGACCATCAGCTGCGTCTTCCATGTGGCCTGGGGTAGGTGGCGGCTGCTGACTACAGACAACATGGCCTTCAGCAATGCTGATTCGGGCTTTGCTGAGGCCCAGCTGGTGCTGACCCACCAGGACCTCCTCTCTGGCAGTATCATGGCCACGGATGAGCCCATGCAGCCCATCTGCCGCTTCATCCAGGAGGGGCCTCAGGAAGAGGCGAGTCCTGTTCACACACTCAGGCTGACCACGGCTGGATCCCGCTGCAGGTGTCCGATGGGCAGCACCAGGCCATCACGGTGCTGGAGGTGCAGGCCTTGGAGCCTTACCTCTGTGTGGCCAATGGCTCCGGCCTCATGGTTCCTCAAGGAGGCCAGGGTACCATCAACATGGCCGAGCTCCACCTGGGCACCAACCTCAACATCTGCAGTAGGGATGAGGCCCACTACCACGTCACAGACAGCCCTCACTGGGGACAGTTGCTCCAAGCCACTCAGCCAGCCACAGCCTTCTCTCAGCAGGACCTGCTGGTTGGGGCTGTTCCCTATGGCCACAATGGCAGCCTCAGCTCCTGCAACACCCTGGCCTTCTCAATGGATGTGGGACCAGTGCACACAGATGCCACCCTACAAGTGACCATTGCCCTAGAGGGCCCAGTAGCCCCACTGAAGCTGGCCCAGCACAAGAAGATCTACATCTTCCAGGGAGAGGCAGCTGAGATCAGAAGGGACCAGCTGGAGGTGAGGAGCTGGAGGTGGTGAGCGGGGTGTGGACCAGGTAGAGGGCCTTCCTCCCAGCCTCCATGCCGGGAACACATGTGACTTGGGCTGTACCTGTGGTGGTCCCAGCTTGCGTGTGTGCACGTGCCTCAGATATGCTCCCATATATGTTGTGTTCCCAAGAGTTTCTGGGGAGCTTGCTGTACACCCATCCTCCTGGGAGTGGTGTGTGCCTCTAGAGCTGGTGCCCACTCATGTCCATGGCATGGCTGAGCATGCAGATTCCTGGACGCCACCCAGCCCTACAGAATCTCTGAAGTGGAGCCCGAGAATCTGCATTGCAGTCAGTTCCCTGGGAGGGCATCACGGGTCCTGAACTTTTGGGATTGCTGGCCGTGGAGACAGGCCGCTGCCTCTCAGACCCCTGTGTAGCCTGCTCTCTTCTCAGAGCCCAGACCAGGACCAGGAGGGTCTGTCAAGGGCTTCTGCTTACCCAGGAACCTCACAGAGCAGCCACGGGCCTTCCAGAGATCTGACATGCCCTGTGACCTCAGGCCAGTCCTTGCCCGCTCTCAGCCTTACTCTTCCACACTGCTTATTTCGGAGACCCTTCTGGTCTGCATCTGGAGCTTGGGGCCCATGGTGAGCCAGCAGATCTGGCATCAGGAAGGCCTCATGGGAGGAGGCAGTGTTTGGGCCGGGCTCTGAAGAGTACAGGCCATTAGGAGCAGAGAATGGGGAGTGGTATTCCATGCAAAAGGAACATTCCGGCCGAAGGCACAAAACAGGAATGTGAGTTTGGAGGCAGTTTAGCCTCTTGTGGATGGCCCATCAGGTGAGGGAGCCCATGTGGCCTTTGGGGTGTGAGCTCTGTAGGGCCTGTGCTGGGGGTGCCTGTGCCTCTAGGAGGGGTGGGGTGGGGTGGGGCAGGGCACCCTCTGATGGTCCTGGGTGGTAATAGCAGGGGTTGGGGAGGATGCTGCCAGCAAACCAGCCACAGGCCTGAACAGATCCTGAGCAGGGGGCCTGTGTGCGTGTGCACACACGCATGTGTACCTGTACCTGTGTGACTGCATCGGCATCTGATGAACTCATATGTCTGTGTCACTGAGTCTGGGGACATGTGATTATGCACTTCCCTGAGGGAGTGCATCTCAAGCTGTGTGACCGACACCCCGTAACCATGTGTGGGGTGGGTATTAACATGTGACCAGCTGGGGCAACCCAGTGAAACCCCATCTCTACACAAAACATTTAAAAATTAGCCAGGCATGGTGGCACATGACTGTGGTCCCAGCTACTTGGGAGGCTGAGCCCTTGAGCCTAGGACGTTGAGGCTGCAGGGAGCTGTGATCACACCACAGCACTCCAGCCTGGGTGACAGAGTGAGACCCTGTCTCAAAAAAACAAAAAATATGACCAGCTGCATGTCTGGCTGCTGTGTGTGTGAACCCACATGTGTGTGTGTCACTAAATGAGCAGTGGTATCTGGGGAAATAAGTGGAGCAAGATCAAGGCTGTTCTGGCTGCTTAGGGCCACAGTGGGCCCCTCTGAGACCCCTCTGCGCATTCCCTTGTGAGTCCTCATGACCTCTGTTAACCAGGTAGCCCAGGAGGCAGTGCCGCCAGCAGACATCGTTTTCTCAGTGAAGAGCCCACCGAGTGCCGGCTACCTGGTGATGGTGCTGCGTGGCATCTTGGCAGATGAGCCACCCAGCCTGGACCCCGTGCAGAGCTTCTCCCAAGAGGCAGTGGACACAGGCAGGATCCTCTACCTGCACTCCCGCCCTGAGGCCCGGAGCCATGCCTTCTCGCTGGATGTGGCCTCGGCCTGGGTGCTCCCCTTGAGGACGTCACGTGGAGCTGGAGGTGCTGCCTGCTGTCATCCCCACTGGGGGCACAAAACTTCAGCAGTAGAGGGGGCACAGTCGCAGCTGCACCCTGGCCCCTCCACTGCTCCGCGTTGCCAGGTCCTACTTCCCCACTCTCCCGGGCCTTGGCCTGCAGGTGCTGGAGCCACCCCGGCATGGGGCCCTGCAGAAGGAGGATGGGCCTCAAGCCAGGACCCTCAGCACCTTCTGCTGGAGAGAGGTACGGCTGTGAGAGAGGCCCAGGGGCTGCAGCCCAGCTCTGGGGGCAGAGTGGAGGGAGCCCCGGGGACTCCCAGTCCAGGGGTTATACAGAGAGGAGACAGGGAGTCACATTTCAGAAAGACCTATGCTTTAGATGCTGTATCTCGGGCTGGGCGCTGTGGCTCATGCCTGTAATTCCAGGACTTTGGGAGGCCGAGGTGGGCAGATCAGGAGGTCAGGAGATCAAGACCATCCTGGCTAACACGGTGAAACCCTGTTTCTACTAAAAATACAAAAAATTAGCCGGGTGTGGTGGCCCGCACCTGTAGTCCCAGCTACTCAGGAGGCTGAGGCAGGAGAATCGCTTGAATCTGGGAGGCAGAGGTTGCAGTGAGCCGAGATCACACCACTGCACTCCAGCCTGGGCAACAGAGCGAGAGACTCTGTCTCAAAATAAAATAAAATATCCCCTTTCTTCCTCACAACTCCTCTGGGAACCAGAACTTATGGTCCCCATTTTCCACCAATGGAAGCTGAGGCCCTAAAAGGGTCAGTCTCTTCCTGCACCCAAAGGCAGAACATGAAGGGTGCTGCTGGGGTCTGACTGCCAGCCCTGGGCCTGCCCCTAGGTGGAAGAGCATCTGATCCAGTACCTGCACGATGGGAGCAAGACACTGACGGTTTTGTCCTGATGGCTAATGCCTCTGAGATGGACCGCCAGAGCCATCCTGTGGCCTTCACTGTCACCATCCTGCCTGTCAATGGCCAACCCCCGACCTCATACAAACTCAGGCCTGCAGGTGAGCATATTCCTGGGACCACCCCCAATGTCTGCTTTGAGAAAGAGGCCAATGTCCCCTACTTCCCGGCACAGATCTCCCCCCCTCTGAGCCTCAGTTTCCTCCTCTGCAAAATGAGGACACTACTGTGTGCCTCACGCAGTTGTTGGAAGGAGAGATGTGAGATTGTGCTGAAATAGAACACAGGCGGGAGGTTTTGTTATTGGACATTTGCAAGTACGGCAGGCAGACTTCTGAGCAGCCATGGGTGGCTCTGCTGTTCCTTCTCCTGTGGCTTAGGACCAGAACACCTGAAAGAATCACTTACAAGCCCTTAAGGGCTGGCGTCAGGGTGGGACCGTTAAGCTTCCCACCTTCACCCCAGCAAGTGAAGGCCTCAGCTTGGCTTCCCAAACTCCTGCCCCTTGTCCACAGCAGAGCAGGGCCCCCATTTGGCAAAGGTGGAAGTTGAGGCCCAGACATGGGATGGAACTTCTCCATGATTGCAAAAGTAGTTCTGGTGGAACAGAAAGGGCATGGCTTTACTAAGCCCAAGTGGCAGGGCTTTGAACCCCAGCTTCTGGGGCGCGTCCTCCCCAGTCAGCAGAAGCCACTGAAGGTTCCGCAAGAGGGCTGACTTGGGCTGTCTCTGACATGGGGCACCGGGGGGCTTTGGTGGTCTAGGATGTGCCTGTAGGGGGTGGCCTCATGGTGCGGAGGCCACAGAAGAGTGGGACACAGCACCCTGGAACCACAGGCTGGGATGGCTCTGTGGCAGTGCGGCCACCAGGTGGTGCCATCTACCCGTGTTTGTTCCGGGAGCCCAGTGATGGGGCCCTGCCTCCCACAGTATGGCCCCTCTTGCCAAGGCTCGGCCTGAGGGCTCCCTGCGGCCAGGGGAGGAAGCCCAGGAATGCCAGAGGGCTGTTTTCTGGGCATGTGAGTCCCACTGCAGCACTGCCCACAAGTAATTGACCCAGCAAGACTGGTACCAGGACCTCAGGAACGGGTGCCTGTTCTGCTTGCTAGTGGGAGGCCTGAAAAGGGGCCCCCTTTGCCCAACACGAGGAGGGCCCGTAACTGCTCTGGAAGCACCTGGGCCCATCCCAGCACTGCTTCTGTGCTGCAGGACAGTGCCAACCATCAGGCTTCAGCTCTCTGCGCCTCCCACCCCTCCCTTAGCTGGAAGGAGTGCTCGTTTCTAAAATCACTGTTCCCACCTGTGCCCAGCCCCTGCCAGGCACACATGGAGGGTCTGAAAGGAGACTGCTGCCCCACCAGTGAGACAGATTAAGGAGCACTGTTGGTCAGCGCTGGGGGTTTCTGGGGGTGAGAACTTGGTGAGGGTAAGAGCTAGGGCCTTCCTGGGTTGGGTACACAAGCTGGTCTTGAGGGACACACAGGACTAGGACAGATGAAGAGCAGGGATGCTGGGCCTGGAGGGTGGCCTTCCCTGGGGTGACAGGGAAGGTGAATGCAGGGAGGCCATTTGTGCAGGGGAGCCACAGCAGCGCCAGCCTTGATGCCACCTGAGGGCCTGAGCCTCAGTGGGGTTGGAGCCCTGGTGGCAGCCCAGGGCCGGGGAGGAAGGGGTGGGTAAGTGTGGCAGGGCAGAACCTTCACAGGCCTGTGTCCCCAGACGTGGGAGGGGGCCACCGTGCCCATCCCTACAGAGGCTCTGAGGAGCATGGATGGTTACTCTGGGCCCAAGGACCTGGTGTACACCATTAAGCAGCCCAGCAATGGGTGGGTAGTGCGGTGGGCGGTGCCGGGCACTGAGGTGCGCAGCTTCATGCAGACCCAGCTGGATGGTGGGCTCGTGCTGTTCTCACACAGAGGTGGGTGCTGAGGGCCGAGCCCCAGGTTTCTGCTGCCCACGGGGGCACCCTGAGGTGGGGAGCCAGTTCAGGCCAGCTGGACCCAACACCCTTGTCCCCAGGGGCCCTGGACAGAGGCATCCACTTTGGCCTCTCTGACGGTGAACATACTTCCTCCAGACACTTAGCTTCTGAGTGACGGCCCAGAAGCAAGTGCTTCACTCGCTGGAGGGCAGCCAGACACTGACTGCCCAGGTGGGTGTGCTGATTGTGGGCATTCCTGGGTGCAGGGGGCTGGGGCAGAGCTGAGGGTGGCATGCCAGGGTCACACTGCCTCTCTGCAGCCACAGGCCTCGGCCTGGATCACAAAGGCTGATGGCCCCTTTTGCCTCTGGCAGAGTCCGTCCAGCCACTCAGCAGCCAGAGCCTCAGAGCCAGCAGGCACCGACCCCCAGCTCCTGCTCTACCATGTGGTGCGGGGCCTCCAGCTAGGCCGGCTCTTCCACGCCCAGCATGACAGCACAGGGGAGGACCTGGTGAACTTCACTCAGGCAGAGGTAAGGGCCCCACTCTGCAGCCACCACTCAGATGCGCCCAGCCTCAGGTGGCCACTGTGCCATGGACATCATGTGGACATGGGCACCAGCTCCAGCATCACCGGCAGCAGACACTCCCAGGCCTGCCATGGTCCAGGACCTGGTGTCCTGCCCTCTAGGCGTCATCAGGCTGGCAGGGCAAGTTCATGTTCCCAGAAGGAGGGAGAAGAATGCAGGAAGTCGGGGATACAGGGCCCTAGAGCAGGGCTGGGGTCTTGGGGTGTGGCTTCCCAAAGGAAGCTAGAGCTGGACCCAAGGGTCTGGAGAGGGAGAACCATGTAGGGGCACTAGTGGCACCCCAGTAGCTGGTGAGGGGCAGTGCTTGGTGGGGGATGGAGTCGGAGGTGAAGCAGCTGCTGGGGCCTGTGGGCAGAGGTGTGAGCCTCGGGCTCAGATCAGGTGCCAGCCAGAGGAAGAGTGGATCCTAGGAGCAGATGAGCTGATGAAAGGCAGCTGAGTCGGCCAAAAGGGGGAAGCCACTGTTCATCTGTCCTGGTGGCTTCAGAGAAGAACTAGAGCTCTCAGCCATGGGTAGTGGCAGACTCTCTGTGGTAATTGTGCCATGGGGGCCAGCCCAGTCATGGTTTAAATGAACACCTCTCCCCAAAGGCAGAATGGGAGTTGTTCCATAGCAGGGCAGGGCAGGGCAGACTCTTGTGGGCCGTCCTGGGCAGGCAGCACACCTGATGCCCCCATCAGGAGGCTGCGTGAGCATCTGGACCCAGCACATGATCACAGTGAGTTCTGGGCAGGGAGCGGTCTTGTGGGGCGCAGAGCTGACTCTGTCACTCAGGAGCCACGGCCCGCAGCACTGCCCCAAGTACCTCCAGAGGGGACCCCTGTCAGCCCTTGAAAATGGCAGAGCCCACCCCAGCCCCCTTTTCAAGCTCCCTTGCTTCGGCAAGGACCTCCTGAGCCTGGCGCTCTCCCTCCTGAGAGGTGCAGATGGTACTCAGCAAGTGCAAAGCCGAGGTTTCTTGGGCCTCTCACATCAGCACCTCCCAGACCTCGGTTCTGTATTTCCCTGGAGCTCCACTCCTGCTATGGTGCCCTTCCCACAATGAGATATTCATCAGGTTGGTGTCTACAGCTGCTGCGTACCCTCACTTGCTGGGAGCCTTTGTCAAGAATGCCCAGGAATGAGGAGGGCACAGGACGCAGACCATCAGCAACCCTCTTGCACTCTATAGTCCCATGTTACTCAGAGCTTCCCCATGCTCCAGCAAGATGAAGGACTAGATTGAATGGGCACCAAGCTGACAGTGCCACCCAGGAAAGCCGGGAAGAGGCTACATGGGCTACCTGGCCCACTCAGGGAGGAGGGCAGGACTGGGTATTGTCTTGACAGCAACCCTGTCCCACAACACTGAACTGGGTAGGGAAGGGGTCAGGTGTCCTCATTTTTCAGATAAGAAAACTGAAGCTCCCAGAGGGCAGGTAAATGTATTCAGAGCACATGGCAAGTAAGAGGCAAAACTTCTGCCAGCAAGTCCAGGATTTTTTTCACCAGAGGACATTGCTTGGTCCCCAGACCTCAGGACCCTGTGTTTTGCCTCACTCCCACCCACAGAGCTCCTGTATCCAGGTATCAACTCCAACTCCCACTCCTGGAGGCCGAGGCAGGAGGATCACTTGAGCCCAGGAGTTCGAGACCAGCCTGGGCCACATAGTGAGACCTTGTCTCCACACAAAAATTTTAAAAATAGCTGGGCTTGGTGGTGGCATGTGCCTGTAGTCCTAGCTACTCGAGAGGCTGACGTTGGAGGATCACTTTGAGCCCAGGAGGTGGAGGCTGCAGTGAGCAGTCATCACTGTACTCCAGCCTGGTGACAGAGCGAGACCCTATCACCGCCCCCCGCCCCACCAAAAAAAAACTGAGTAGACAGGTGTCCTCTTGGCATGATAGGTCTTAAGTCCCCTCCCAGATCTGTGACATTTGACAGGTGTCTTTTCCTCTGGACCTCGGTGTCCCCATCTGAGTGAGAAAAGGCAGTGGGGAGGTGGATCTTCCAGTCGAAGCGGTATAGAAGCCCGTGTGAAAAGCCATACTCCAAGGGGCTCCAAGTCCAGCGCACAGTCCCAGAAGGGCCCAGCAAGGCAGCCAGGGCGGCACAGGCACCAGGTCCCAACCTTCTTCCCTGTTTGCCCACTCTCAGACCCCGGAGTTCATCATCTCGGAGCCGCTGGCCAATATGTACTCATGTGGGAACCAGAACACACTGATGGAGGAGTTGGCAGAGCAGGCACAGCAGCACGACGAGATGCTGCACATGCACCACGCGCTGAAGGAGGCGCTCAGCATCATCGGTGACATCAACAGGACCACTGTTACCATGCCCCCGCCCGTGGACGACACCTGGTTGCAGGTGCAGAGCATCCCTGACGCACACAGGTACCAGAGACTGCCCCCCACGGCCCCAAAATCCCCCACCCGGGATGCCCAGAGGAGTGCCCTGGGGACAAGTGGCACACCCCCTCACCGGGGTGGCTCCCACCTGGAGTGACGGGGGGAGCTTGACAAGGAGCACTGGCTGCGGGGGGGGGGGGGGGGGGGGGTGGGATGTTCTCGCTGCTGGGGGCGGGGCTTAAGCTCCGGCAACCGCCTTGGGGTGTGGCAGGGAGGAGCTTCAGTGCATGGGTGTGGCCGGCACTGCGCTGGGGCGGGGCCGCCCATCTCTCCCCTCCCTGTGCCTCCCAGGTCGCCCAAGTCCAGCGCCAGGATGCCCAGGCCCTGCCATGTCCCTAGCCCGGCCTGGGTGGCAGGGCCCAGCTCCTGGGCGGCAGGACCCAGCTCCTGGGCTTCCTCCTGCTGGGTCCGCCCTTGGGGAAGTGTGCCCCATACCCTCCAGGCCAGAGGCTTCCCCTGATCCCTTTGGGCCCTACCCCCCTGGTGCTCTTGTGCCCCAGCCGGGGTCCCCAGGTAAGTAGGGGCTGAATGCAGCCAAAGAGGCCGCTGGACAGGCGTGGCCAGGAAGGAAATGGGACTGGATTCCAGAGCACCACATCTGGCCGCCAGAACTGGCCGTCTCCATCCAAGGCACTGGGACCATGGGTGCCGGAGCCACGTGTGGCCGAGGGCTGGCAGAGCCTGCCCCCCAGGGATCACTGAGTCCTGGAGGTGGTCGTTTTTGAGGAGGGGGCTGTGGGGCTCGTCCCACCTGCCGCCTTCTGTCCAGCACTTGCATGACACTTCCCTCTATTTTCACTCTTGGCGGCTGCCCACACTTTGCATTTCTCTTCCTTTCTTCTCGCTGTCCTCCATCCTCCATTCCGTCCAACTCCTAGCCCAGTCCCGGGGGCGCCTACTTCAGGTCTGAGAGTCTGAACTCCGAGATGCTCTGGGTGTGTGGATTTCCTTCAGCTACCCTGATGTCCCCACTTCCAAGTCCTGACTCCTTTGAGCCATCCCAGGGGGTGTCCGGCCACTGGACCACAGGAGCAGAGGCGAGTCTGTGACTGTGTGACCAGCAAGGTGTGTGATGTGTGCGTGAGCGAGCACACGAGTGTAAAGAATGGCACCCAGACCTGAGCTAGGACAGAGGGAGCCTGGGGGCCACAGGCAAGCTCATTTCTTCTCCACACCCCTCCCCGCCCGACCCTGTCTAAACTAATGGGGTAGTGGTAGCCGCAAGGGCAGGGATGGGAGTGGCTGAAGCCTACTTCACTCCCAAAGATTTCTAAGGAAAATGGTTCTACTGCATCCTTTGGCTGGGCCTTGTTGACCCGTGACCCTCTTTCAAGAACATTCACTCTGATTTCCAGTGTGCCGTCTCCACTGGCCACGTTCTCTAAGGAAGAACAATAGCATCTGTTTTTGTTTCCAAATGGCTGGAGAGTGGGGCTGTGGGACCAGCGCCCATATATAAAAATGAAGCAGGGATTGGGGCTTGCCCTGTGATGTGCTGTTGACCAAGTTAGAGGGGTATAGGCAAGCAGCAAAGTATTGGGCAAGATCACTGGACTGGGAGTCCAGAGATGCTGCTTCACCCTGGGGCTTTAGGCAAGTCCCTTTCCCTCCCAGAGCCTCAGCATCCCTTTTAGCAAATTATGACATTCTGCCTTTCTCCTAGAATGGCTGTGGGGATCAAGGGAGACAGTGGCCATAGGGATGCTATGTTAACCGTAGATGCGTCTGTAGGAGCACTTTCCTAACTGCCAACGTGAGTTCAGACTCTTCAGGCTATTTGGCACCCAGGTCTATGGTGAGGTGTGACATATGGGATGTAAAGTTTGATGCCTGCTCTGACTCCAGTCTTGCTAACACACACACGAAACCTTTGGCAAATCATGACCCTGCCTTGGGGAAAAGGGCAGTCTGGGAGAGCTTCTTCAAGGCAGCCTGGCTTCAATGCAGTCCGGGGCATGATGGAGATAGGCATACGTTGTGAGGAACTGGAGGGTAACTGGGTAAAGAGCTGCAGTGTGGGCAGAGGTGTAGTGTGGGTCACAATGAGGATAGCCACTGGCCAAAGCAGGGAACAGAGACAGAATGAAGAGCTCTGTGGGGAGGGTGGGGCACAGGGTGGAGAACCTTCAAAGTCCAAAGAGTATGACTTGTTGGGATTCAATGCTGTAGGCAGTAGGGAGCCATGGAAGGCTCTTAGGTGGAGAAATGACAGCCGGACATTAGTGAGCAAGCCCTGTCTCCCTGAGCAGCATGGGTGGTCCTCTGAGCACGCCAGGCACGAGTGTGCAGGGAGCTGGTGCAAATGCCTCTGTGTGCGGGTGAGCATCTGTGTTGTGACTCTGCCCACGCATGTGCTTCAGTGTGCCGAGTGGCTGCACGCCCCAGATCCATGCGGCACGTGCCGGCCGGTGAGGGTGCTGGGCACCGGGAGGTGGCGGAGAGGGCGACGTATGCGTGTTGTTTGTGGGCATGTGTTAGAGTGTGCATGCGGGCCGTGGGGCCTCACAGCATGTGTGTGCACAATCTGGCGTGTGCGTGTGTCCGCCACCCCCAGGCCTGCCCCACCCATGCATGGGACCTGCCATGTGATTTGATGCTGTCTTTCAGAATCACTATCAGTGGCCCCTGAGGAGCATCAGCCATGGTAGGTACATGCCTCACTGCCTGCTGCATGAATGGTCTGCCTGCCCCGCTGCCCCAGCTCCACACAGGGGGCATACCTGGAGCCTCAGAGCCAGGCTGCCTGCCCCTCCCTTCTAGAGCTGCAGACTTGCTCTTTCCTCTTTCTGTCCTTGTGCTGCTGGCTGTCTCACTTCCCTCCCTGCCAGCCACAGGACTCAGTGCCACTGCTCAAGGTCTCCATGGCTGAGCCTGGGGGCTCTTACAACAGGCTCCATGCCGAAGGTGGCAGATGTGGAACCATCAGAGAGGGCACAGAGCTCATGGTTTATGGTGTAGGGGCTGGGAGCTTGGAGGGGGTTGTGTGGGGGGCTGGACTCAGGCGGCCAGAGGCCTGGGCACATCATCCTGGGCACGCCGTACCTGTCATGCAGTCTGAGCCATGCTGCCAGGGCAGGTATCCAGCTCCCAGCCTGGGAGTGCCGAGAGCCAAATCCACTGCAGATTAGGGGTGATAGTCAGGGTCCCACCTCCTCTATCTGTCAGCAATCCAGTGGTGATCTAGGATAAAAGCCTGAGAGTTCAATACACACGGTTATCCCACAACACACTTCATAGGCCATGCAAGGACACACAGCCCCCTTCCCTCCTTCCCAGGTACCATCACAGCTGCTAGCGTGTGACTGAAGGCTGGGTCCCTGGCCAGCGCTACTGAAGCACTACTGCCAGCCAGCAGACTCACGGACCTTGGCCTGTTGCTCCTAGGGGTCACCTGTGCTATTCAGCCAAGGAGACCACAGTGCTTGCTGGCCCAGCTGAGCTCCGCCTAGCGAGCCCACCTGCCTTTCCTGCCACGGAGTCTCCCTCTTCTGCTTTTCCCAGCAGGAAGGGCCCAGCCTCACCTATGCAACCTGCAGCCCCCCGCCAACCAGTTGAGGCTCCCCTCTTAGACTTATAAGTCTACGGGCAGTGGCATCTAGCTACCTGCCCTCCCTGCCTTCCCCAGGGTCCCTTCAGTGGACCCTGGGCTTTCTGACTGCCCAGAGAGGGGCCTCTGGCGCTCACTCCAGCCCGCCATCCCTTATAGCTTCACCATTTTGGTTCAAGCAGTGTTCCTTCTGTCAGGCTTGGTGGCTGTTGGGTGGGGCTCCCCAAGCAAGAGGTGGCCCTGGGCCAGTGGGTTGGAAGATGGGGTGACCACAGAAGAGGGAAGCCGGGGGGGTTGAGCATTGGTCTGAACTGTGGGTGGACTGCCTGGGTGCCATGAGAGAGGCCAGTGTGTGTGGGGTGGGGAGGGCTGCCACAGCCCCCAGGCACTACCTATGAAGCTCTAGCTTCTCCCTCCATCTTCCTCCCCTTTCCCTTCCAGCCCCTCTTTTCCAGGAACCTTGCCACGCCCACACCTACGCCTTCCCCTTCCCGGCTCTCAGATGATGGTGGTGTTTATCTCCCTGTTCTCGGGAGCCCAAAAAGAATGGCATGCAGGGGTTGCTGCCCATGCCTGGGTGCTCCTGGGGAGTCCTGCATTACAGGAAGCAGCTGCTGGATCTGCTGTGCAGTGGGGTTGTCGTGGGGAGAACCCTCCCTGTCCTCTCCTGGTGCAGCCTCCACGCTATCAGTGAGGCTCACCTCACAAAGATCTTCAGAGAGAGGGAGGGGGGTGGGAATCTGAGCACAGTGCGAGCCTCCCCTGCTCCTGCCTGCCCACCCCACCTGAGGGCTCTACTCACCACCCTGCTCGTCAGCACACCCAAGCTCCTGGGCTACTGGGGCTCCTAGAGTGGGCTCATCAGCAGGGTTCTGGGCAATGGTCAAAATTTGCCATGCCCCTCCTTGTGGTCGCCCACAAGCTGCAACACCTGCCCCGCAGCTCCTGCAGGTTCACCTGGAGGAAGGGGTGTTAGCTGCCATGCCGGTGCCGGCACGCACGTTCACCCCCACCTCCACCCCCACCCCCACCGAGATGTTGCACACCCTACCTTCATCTCCTCCTGGTCCTGGGCCAGCCTGACGATGTCCTCCTCTCCCAGTGCTGCGTCTCTGACACTGCCCCCTGGCTGATGTACTTTCCTGCAGGAGGACATGGCTCAGATGCTGGGGCCCCTCGGATGGCCTGGCAGCTCCCCCCAGCGGTGCCCTAGCCTCTCGCTCACTATGGTGTCTGTCTGTCCTGAGAGGTGGATGAATTGAAGCTCTAGTTTCTCTACCCGCTCCTTCAGGTCCACCTTCTCCTTCCATAAAGTCGCTGTGGAGCCAAAATAATGGGGTCACATGTCAGGAGTCACCTGCCTTGTCCTGCCCCACCGCCCCCCTTGTTGGCCCATGCCAGGACCTACTCACCTGCAGCTTCTCCATGGCCCCCTGCAGGGCCCGGTGGGTCTCCCCAAACACAGACTCACCCCCACTCTCTGGGGCTGGGGCCGCTACCTCTGGCTTCTTCTGGGACGAGGCCACTGGGTGAGCCAGGGGCTGGCAGCACACCCTTTGTTCCTCCTGGGCACTGGCTCCAGCGGAGTTGAAAAATGCCACCTGAAGACAAGAGGTGAGTATTCTTGTAGGGGTATACACATAACAACTGGGGCAGGCAGATGGAGCATAGCCCCTTCCTTTCGGGCCTCACAGAGTGCACCTGTTGGTCACAGGTGAAATGGTGTCTGACCACTGGCTCCCAGGAGGAGTGAAAGTCCACAGAAGTCAGAAGGCGGGGAAACCAAGAACATAAGGGGGTTTCGGAGGGACCACAGAGGAAGGTGGCAAAGTAGGGGCAGGGAAAGTCAGGCTCACCATGGCCTCCCGGCTCTCCAGGTCCCCTGGGATGTTCGGCATGGGCCGAGGCGCCTCCTGCTCACTGTCCAGATGTCCTCCTCCATCTCCTGTGGGGGGTGGCCAGAGGGGTCCTCAGACAACCCAACAAGGGAGGTACAGTGGGCCCGCCTCTGCCCCCACACTCACTGTGTAACCTTGAGCCAGCCCCTCCCCAGAGGGGAATGAGCTGTTCTTTATTTTGAATTTTAAGAACCAAGATCTTGCTATATTGCCCAGGCACAGTCCCACTACCGATTGGCGCAGGAATTCTGACCTGCTCCCCTTCTGACCTGAGCCAGTTCTCCCATCCTTAGGCAACCCGATGGCCCCCTGTTCCCAGGAGGTCACCATACTGATACTGAACTTAGTGCGGACACCTTGTCGGCATAATGACCGACACAAAATGCTTAAAAGGTAACCTGACTCTTTGTTCAGGGCTCAGTCCTTTAGATGTTAATCTGACTGGGCCAGTGCACCTAATAATATATATCCTCCTCAGTCTCTCTGATTCCTAAATTATGCTGCTGTACGGGGAGAGAGGCAGCAGGGTAGTGGAGTCATACCAAGCAACAAGACAGGGTAGTGGCCAGGCATGGTGGCTCACACCTGTAATCCCAGCAATTTGGGAGGCCAAGGCGGGTGGATCACCTGAGGTCAGGAGTTCGAGACCAGCCTGGCCAACATGATGAAACCCCATCTCTACTAAAAACACAAAAATTAGCTGGGCATGGTGGCAGGTGCCTGTAATCCCAGCTACTCAGGAGGCTGAGGCAGGAGAATTGCTTGAACCCAGGAGATGGAGGTTGCAGTAAGCCAAGATTGTGCCATTGCACTCCAGCCAGGGGGACAAGAGGGAGACTTCACCTCGAAAGACAGACAGACAGGCTAGTACGTTTTCCACAAATTTCAATTTTACTCTCTTCCCCCACCACACACACACACAAAGCATTTGAGGGATGGGAGGAAGAAACTGAGATCACAGGAAAAATTGTAAGAGACATTCAGAAGGACAGGTCTTAGAAATTTACTAGTTTTGGGGGGAGGTCAGAACAGGTGTATATAAAAGAATATTAAGACAGTTCCCAGGTTTAGGCATATGTGACTAGATAGAGTGCTAGGAGATGGATACGTGAAAATTTAAATATCATCATTTTGAACACCCATGTCACTCCAAGTGAGATTCCCTAAATATATGATATACAGACAGATATATGGGTTTGAAACTCTGGAGATGAATACAAATTTAGGAGTCCCTGGAACACAGGTCATGACTTAAGTAATGGGAGTCAAAGATTACTCAGAGAAAGCACAGAATGAGAAGAGAAGAAGTAGGACAAGGAAGAAGAGATCGGAGGAGACCAAGAAAGGGTGATAAGATCAAAACAGGAGAAAAGAATCCGACAGAAGTCTCATTTGATTATCATGTCCCTTCCCAGAGGACAGGGACATGTCTTTTTTGTCTTTTATACCCAATTATCACAGGTCCTGGTGCAGCAGACACACAGTTTTTTTTTTTTTAATTGTGTTGTACTATTCACAGTTTCCTGTATTCACCAGGGGAGAAAAAAGTAAGTATAAAGAAGCACAGACACAGATGTTTTTACACTGTGTACTAAAGGGGTCAGATTATACACAATATTTTATGCCTTACTTTTTTACTTAATATATCTTAGAAGTTTGCACGTGCTCTTATGGAAAGACTGGCTGCATTTTTTGGTCCACAACAGAACAACAGAATATTCTATTATAAAACGGCACACTATAATTTTTATTTAACCAACTCTTTATTGGTGGACATTAAGAATGGAGGAATGTTTCAACAAAGGAACAATCAACAGTATCAAAATACTGCAGAGGGGTCAATTTGGGGACTAAGAGGGGAGCCACTGGATTTGACAACTAGGAGATAAATTTTAGTGCAACGATGAAGGCAGAATCCAGAGTATAATGAGCTCAGTGAAAAAAGGTGAAGACATGTAGCTTATTCTCTCAAGAAACTAGGCTATGATAAACTGGCAGAGGCTCTAAGAGTGGGAGGTGAGTTGTTTTCTCCTTCATGTAAATATATTTACCTTTTAAACACTAGGCCCAATTTTATATCCTATTTCATTTAACTTTATGAACATATTTATGTATGTATGCATGTATGTATGTATCTCATGTGATGTTTTAGACACTGAAAAATAACTCATTTCTATTATAAAACTGATATCTTTAGATGTTCAGAAGCAACTTCCTAAAAGGAGGTAGCAGTAATGGAGCTATGTCTATCATTCTTTCCCATCAACCCCCTTGATGGAGATGTAAACATGTGTCCATCAAGCCTTTAATTTTTACCTCTTATCTTCATGGCTCTCCATACAAAACTTAACTCTTTTTTTTTTCTATTTGTATACGTATATTTATATGTATATCTATATCGAGAGAGAGAGAGAGAGAAAGAGTCTTGCTGTGTTGCCCAGGCTGATCTCAAACTCCTGGGCTCAAGCAATCCTCCCACCTTGGCCTCGCAAAGTGCTGGGATTACAGGCGTGAACCACTGTGCCCAGCCTCAGCCTTAACTCTTAAAATATCTTCAAACCAATATTCTTCTGTTCTAATTTTTAAGAATAGATGTGTTTAAACCAACTAACTTATTTTGACAAAAATTGGAGTTAAGACTCAGACTTCCTCAAATAGTTCTCCTAAAACCATTTACAGAATAATCTATCTTTTCAGTATTAAGTTAAAATACCACCTTTTCCTTATACTAAATTCTCGTTTGCATGACTCTGGTTCTAAACTTCCATTGCCTTTATCTGTCTGGCCCAGGGATAGTCCACAATATTTTATTTACTATCTGGTTGAAAGAGTCTATACTTTATTACTTTTTATTACTTATTCTTCTAAACAAATTTTAGAGTCGTTTTGTCAAGTGTCAAAAATAAATCTGCCAGAATTTGTACTGAAATTTGTGTGTGTGTGTATATATATAATACACACACACTATATATAAAATATAAAATGTATATATACAATTTATATATATAAATATTTATAAAATATGAAATATATATATATATACACACACACACTTTTCTAGTTCTTTTTTTTTTTTTTGAGACAGGGTCTCACTCTGTCACCTAGGCTGGAGTTCAGAGGCATGATCTCGGCTCACTGCAACCTCTGCCTCCCAGGCTCAAGTGCTCCTCCCACCTCAGCCTCAGAAGTAGTTGGAAATACAAGTGTGTGCCACAGACACCCAGCTAATTGTCATCTACCCGCCTCAGCTTCCCAAACTGTTTGGATTACAGGTATGAGCCACTGTGCCCAGCAGAAATTACATTTACAAATTAATATGAAGACATGGTGATAACTAACATATTTATAACATGAAATCTGCTCATCCAGGAACATAGAATGCAAATCTTTCATTCCACTCAGCAAAATTTTGTCCTGTCCTTGATAAAAGTCCTGCACATCTAAGTTTATTCCTAGGTATTTAATTTTTGCTGAAATACCTGAAAAAATACTTCATCACTATATCTTCTACGTGATTATAGCTAACACTGGGGAAGGCTATTGATTTTTATATAAAAGAACTTTTAACCAGTAATCTTAAAAATTGTTTTTCTCAGTTGGTTCCTTTGGATATTTTTAGGTAAACAATCATGTCAACTGAAAATAATGATAAATTTTCTATAAAGACTATGACATCACAGGAAAATACAGTAAATACTTTTTAAAAGAATATAAAAGGGCCAGGCACAGTGGCTCACGCCTGTAATCCCAGCACTTTGGGAGGCCAAGGTGGGCAGACCATGAGGTCAGGAGATCGAGACCATCCTGGCTAACACGGTGAAACCCCATCTCTACTAAAAAATACAAAAAATTAGCCGGGAATGGTGGCGGGCGCCTGTAGTCCCAGCTACTGGGGAGGCTGAGGCAGGAGAATGGTGGGAACCCAGGAGGTGGAGCTTGCAGTGAGCCGAGATCACGGCACTGCACTCCAGCCTGGGTGACAGAGCAAGACTCTGTCTCAAAAAAAAAAAAAAAAAAAAAAAGAATATAAAACTATAGAGAATATGACCTCAACTATTAAGCATATGTGTAAGGGTTATGTATTTTAATAGCAAAGAAAAACTATATACTGGTAGAAAATGACCATCATGTCAACAGTCAATAGTGGTTATATTAGATAGAGAAATTATGGGAGACTTTAATTTTTTTCTTTTATCTTTTCTGTACTTTACCAATTTTCTCAACAATGGTTGCTTATGAGTTTTAAAATTAAAAAAAGGTTTTAAAAATTTTTCCAACATGGAAAGTTATATTTCTTTATATACTAAAACAAAAACAAAACTTTCTATTTGAATACCTATGGCAAAACCCTATCTCTACAAAAAATACAAAAAATTAGCAAGGTGGGGTAGTACACACCTGTAGTCCCAGCTACTCTGGAGGCTGAGGTGGGAGGATCACCTGAGTCCCCAGAGAATGAGGCTCCAGTGAGCCGTGATCATAGCACTGCATTCCAGCCTGGGAGACAGAGAAAGACCCCATCTCAAAAAAAAAAAAAAGAAAGAAAGCAAAAAGAAATATCCATAATGATCTGAAATGCCTATCTGTATGAGACTGTCCTTTGTTCACATTTTTTCAAGCAAATATCACACAATAAATTGAATGCAGGTACAAATGACATATCAAACATCAAAGAAATTTGCAAAGGACGTAAGACTGTACTACCTTGGGTTTAGAAATTTTCTTATCATAAAAGCATTTATAACAATATTTTGTGAGCTTTTAAGGAATATTTTAAGTATTTCTGATTTAATTTCTAGTGATAAATACCAATAGATATAACCTACATACACAAAAGCTCCTTGGGCCCTCAATATACTTTTAAGAGTGTAAAGGAATCCTGACCCCAAAACTTTGAGAACTGCTGCCTTCCCCTCCACTTTATTCCTTCCCTAGAATTTCTTCCTTGGAAGAAACATTCCTTTGCCATTCTATGTTAACTTACATAGTTCCATTGAGGCCAGTTTTGCTACCTCTCTCCCATCTTTCCACATCCCTCTCTTGACACAAAACCTGACCAAAGGACTCTACCGGCCCACCCCATTTCCAGTGATTAGCTGTCAGGTGGGCTAAGCCAAGAAAATCTGGGTTTTCCCTGACACTAGACCTCTCTTTCTGGGAGATACGGAATCACAGGGACAAGGCTGGCCCTGTCAGAACTCATCTTGTCTAAATGGGAAGAGGTTAGGCAAGTTTCTAGAATGCCAGACTGCTTTCTAGAAAGTCAAAGATAATTATACTTTCTGCCACGACTGTGAAAATGCCCATTTCATTGCACGCTTTCTAACATTTATACCAATCTGATAAATAAAAGCTGGTACCTAGAAGAAAAAAAGGCTGGGTATGGTGGCTCATGCCTGTAATCCCAGTACTTTGGGAGACCAAGGTGAGTGGATCACCTGAGGTCAGGAGTTCGAGACAAGCCTGGCCAACATGATGAAACCCCATCTCTAGTAAAAACACAAACATTAGCCGGGCATGGTGGCAGGCCCCTGTAATCCCAACTACTCGGGAGGCTGAGGCAAGAGAATCACTTGAACCTGGGAGGTGGAGGTTTTAGTGAGCCAAGATCATGCCATTGCCCTCCAGCCTGGGTGACAAGGTGAGACTTTGTCTCAAAAAAAAAAAAAAAGTTTCCATACAATATAATTTGTTCCATCTCTAAAAACCAATTCAGCAATAACTGAAAGCCACCACTTGGAAGGTTTCAAGGATTTAGCTCTACCTGTTGATGATGTCCAAAGCATTAGTTAAGGTAGAAAAAAAATATACACACACACACACACACACACACACACACACACACTCACCCCTATGTAGTCAGTACCAGGAAACACGAAAGACTAGATGGTACAGTCATCCAACACAAAGCACACAATAACTGAAGGCACTGTAGAGGAGTAACTTATGACACAGATCTACAATATTGAGTGAAAATGCAGATTACAAAAAAAAATCTGATTTTTTAAGGGAGAGGGAACACATACAAGCAAAGGAGAAAAGAGATGAGCAGATGACTGAAAGATACAAAATTCTGATAGTGGTACATTCTGAGTGGTAGAATTATCAGTATTATTTTCTAGTTTTGCCTAAAAATTTTCTAAATTTCTTAAGAACTTTTTGTTATCCATATTATCAAATATCCATCACCCCAGGAAACTTAACCTTGAGCACAAACTCTACAACAAGTTCAATGTTTGTTCAGTTTAATATTTAAGAGACAACCTATTTTGAAAGACATCTAAAATGATGACCAATATTTAAACCTATGCATTAATATTTTTCAATCATATCCTTCACATTTTGTAATTTTGATAAGGTTAAGCTTTAGATCCATCTTGAAAAGATAAGTTTTCTGTTTGTCTTTAAAATATGACCCACAATATGCCTGTTTTTAAACAGTGAATGATGCTCTAAAATCACAATATAAATTCAGGCAGTGCTCCTTACATGGAAAGTTTAAGTACTTCTAACACTGCTCTTTTTCACTTGTTATGAAAACACAGAACAATTATCTAAGCATCTAATTATTCAGGTCCTTTGTTTCTCCTCCAATCTATTAGTTTTATAGTAATTTTAGGGCCTGTGAGGATGAAGCTGTCTGTGACAGCTACCACAAAGGTTACTATAGGTGGACAAATTTCAAACAAGTTTATCACCACTACCATCCCCACCATAAAACTGTCTCAATCAAGGGCAACACAATTCAATATTAGCCAAGACAACCTCTTTACCTGTCACTGCTTAAGAAAAGGATTTTTGGTCTTATTTAGAAATAACTTTCTGTACCTATTTTTCTCCATAAATCCACTGAGACCAATGTGTGGCTCTATCTCAAGCACCAGCAAGCAAAACTGCCTGCTAGAAGGTTCAGTTTTTGTATCTTTCCAAATGTAGAACACAGCTATCTTCAAGGATTTCATAATTTTTTGAAAATTGATGCACAAACTTCTTGAAAGTTCAGAGACACAGCAGCTGTAATTCTTCTGAAGGCTGGTTATGGGACACATTACCTTCATACTTTGCTGTTTAAGAAATGTGGGGTGGAGAATCAAGTAAACTGATAGAATTTCCATATAAAATTCTAAGTGCTCTGAGAACAAAAGAAACTTAAAATACACACACACACACACACACACACACACGGTTTTCCCTACTAATCATTTTACAACTAAACAACCAAGTTGCTAAACCAGAGCCCACAAAAGCAGAGTCAAAGTTCTAACACTTGGTAAAAGAAAAATGCACACATACCCCTGTGAGCTAAAAAAAAATGCTTAAGTATTCAAAGACAGCAATTACAGCTACTGAGAACATCACTGTAAGCAAACTGAGGCAGAGAAAACAAACGTGCTGATGAGGATTTGAACCACCTAAGCTGCAGAAACCCACTGGATGGTTTCCTAGGTTCCGAGTTGGCATTATCTTTCAGAACAATCTTCTAGAAGAGATCACATAACACTGTTACAAAGGATCTGGAGAAAGGGACCCTGGCTTCATCACTGTGGCTCTCCAGTCATGCTTTACATTTGGCAGTGACTATCTCCATTCAACTCAATTCCCTAACCCTAAACTAGCTGACATTTATCAAATACTGCCCTTTACCAGGTCTAAGTAAGTTTAACTCCCCCCACCCCCACCAAAAAAAATTCAAGATACTAAGGGATATACTATTCACAAAAGGGAAACCTGTCTCCTCTTCATATACCTGTTCCTTTCAAGGAAGGGTATAAAAATGGGGATGAGGGAGGATAACCACTAGGAATTTGACCCTATATTATAAATTGGTCAGATAAATGAAAATAATTCCTCTGGACTCAAAGTGATATGGCTCTGAAAACGGGAGAAACATCGGGGTCCTTTGTCTCACGCCAGTTAAACGACATGGACACACAGGAGTGGTTTTAAGGAGCAGAAAGTTTAATAGACAAGAAAGAAGAAAGGCTCCCTGCGGTACAGAAAAAGGGGGTCTGAACAGAGAAAAAGCCCCGTGTGTGGCAGAACAGTACTCGGTTATATTGGGAGGCTGGAGGAGGTGGTGTCTGATTTGCACAGGGCCCAGGGCATTGGTTTGACCAGGCAGGTCATTCATGTAGCCCGAGAAAAACGTGGCCCTCCCACCCTAGCCTTTTAATATGCAAATGTAGGTCACCATGTTGTCCTGCACACATGGGGTCATCTGGAGGTGTCACCTTGAGGTGGTGACTAGAAGAAGAGGGTGGGAATCTCCATGTTGAATGGACACAGTTTCTAAGCGCTGGCATTTGCATATCAAAGCTTGGCAGCCTGTAGTCCCAGCTACTCAGGAGGCTGAGGCAGGAGATTCACTTGAACCTGGGAGGCAGAGGCTGCAGTGAGCTGAGATCACACCACTGCACTCCAGCCTGGGTGACAGAGCGAGATTCCGTCTCCAAAAAAAAGATAAAAAGAAAAGAAAAAGAAATGTTTCTGGAGTTGTTTCTATTAAAAGGGAAAGCCTTACTGAGGCCTCCTTACCCTCTCTATCTGCCTAGTATAATTTCTGAATAACTCCTCTATTAAAAGTACCACTGAGGTGCTTAATATGACATTTCTGATATTTCCCAATGCTCCTCCACAAATTCAATTTGGAAAGGTAATCTGTTCCAGGAGGGCAAACCAAAGAAAAAGTCCTAGGCTCCTGAGTCAAGGCTTGTTTCTTTCCTTTGTACAAGCTGACTACCTTTTAATCATAGTAAAAATGAGAAAAATGCAAGATGAAGTTAACAGCATTGCTTTATTTCCCATGAAAAGCTGTTATAAAGCATTCTCAAAATAAACTGTTATTCAGCCACAAATGACACCATCACTTTTTTATTCATAGGGCACAGTATCGCTGCCAAAGAGCTTTCCTCTATATGCTCTCTTGCAGGGCAAAAAATATTATCTATGTTATACAGAAACACAGTAAAAAAAGTGATTTACTTAAGGTCCTAACTACTAAATAAAAGCTAAACTACTCACTTCCTCCTAGATTCAGAGAGAGCTCCAACATTTTCTAAAATTTGGTATCTTGTTGTTGGGGTAGGCACTTTTTGGCAATAATGAATAGACATTTAATTAGCCAATCAAAAAAACTTATTAGGTACAGTAAGTTCCTCTTCAAAGGTTTAACCTGTTCAACTTCCTTGTTCTTTGTTCCTAAGAACAATTTCCCTGTACCTTCTCACCCCTATTTACCTGCTTAGTTATCTGCTCAGTTACCTGCCTTGTAAACAACTCTTCCCATCAGTCCCAACCTGTAACTCACATTCCCTCTCCCTTCCTTATTAGGGAGAATATTCGCGATAGCAAATCAAGTCTGCTTAGATTGTGTAGTCCGACTCCAGCCCATGTGGGAATGACAGAGAGGTAGGGACTGCGTTAGGGATATAAACTCCTGCTCTATCCCGCTCGGTGTGCTCTTGCATTCGTGACTAATGCAAACAGCACTCTTTTGCAGAAGTAAGTTGTCTTGCTGAGAAAACTTTTTTTCCTGAGTGCTGGTTCTTCCTTGCAGCACTGATCATTTGTTTCTTTTTTCTTTCTTTTTTTTTTTTTTTTTTTTGAGACAGAGTTTCGCTCTGTTGCCCAGGGTGGAGCACAGTGGCTTGATCTCAGCTCACTGCAAGCTCCACCTCCCAGGTTCACGCCATTCTCCTGCCTCAGCCTCCTGAGTAGCCGGGACTACAGGCACCCACCACTGCGCCCAGCTAATTTTTTTGTATTTTTTTTTTTTTAGTAGAGACGGCATTTCACCATGTTAGCCAGGATGGTCTCGATCTCCTGACTTCATGATCCGCCCACCTCGGCCTCCCAAAGTGCTGGGATTACAGGGGCGAGCCACTGCGCCCAGCCTGATCATTTGTTTCTAACAATCTGGGGGCTCGTCCGGAATTCCCATTCTCCTCTGAGAAAAGGGTCTCCAGTCACCAATAGTGAGGAGAAGCATCCCACTGCCTCATTGAGGTGGCCTCATGGTGAGGGATCAGGACCCACCCAGTGTGATGAATAAACCCGGACTCTCAGCAGTCTGGAAAGGAACAGACCAACAACTTAAGAGAAAAGGATCCTCACATACCATGGTGACCAGGTAACTATGTGCACAGACCAATGTAAGAAACATCACAAGAGCGACAAAGTATTTTCTTGGTGGTTGGGATATCTTGGAGATTGAAAGTGTGTGTTGAGACTCACAATTGAGTGCAAAGCAAGTGTTCAGTCCAGATCTGCAGTTCTGTGGTCACCTTATACAGCTTAAGGTAGCCCTTCTGTAAAGGAGTCTGGGTCAGGGGTTTCTACTGAAACAGCCATTGCTAAGAGGAAACCAACGTTCCCGTGAGGGAAGCAGCCAGAGAAGGATGAAGCGAAAGGAGAAAAGTGCAAGAAACCTCCAGCAGGGGGGTTGAGCCTCTAGGAAAGGAAAGGAAAGGAAAGGAAAGGAAAGGTGAGAAATCTCCAGTAGGAGAGGTTGAGCCTTATACAAACCTCTCGTAACTGGGAAGAAATTTCTAGTAGGGGAAATTGAGCCTCACCCCAATCCCTTTTCAAGATGGGAAATACCTCAAGTAATGCAGGGGAGAAAAAGGATAAAGCTAGCAACAATAACATTCCTCCTGATAGTCCCCTAGGGCTTATGCTAAAATATTGGAAAGAGAGTGAAAGGACTAAATACAAGAAAAAGCAGCAAATGATAAAATATTGTTGTTTCATTTGGACTCAGGAATCAATCCTGAAAAGCAAGTCAGAAATTAACTCCTCTGAGAAAGATAAGGTCCCTGTTCCTAGACAGCTCACCAACACATGGAACTTCCTCCACCACCTTCCCCCGTCCAATACCCCTAACCTCCCTCCCCCTCAAGCAGAGGCAGTTGTCCCAGACCCTTCTCCTACCCACATTGTTCCCCCTCTTTATAACCCTGCCTCTTGGGAATTGTCCCAACAGCCTGCTCACTATCACCCTAAGTACTCTTCCCTGAAAGGACTTCAATGTGAGATAGAGCAATGTAAAAGGGATATTCAGAACTTCCCCTTCCCCTCTACCTCGGGAGAATTAGCTCCACCTCTCTTCCCCTGAAGAGAGGTGTCCCTACGAGGAGGAGGTATTCACTTTGTAAATGCTCCTTTAACCAGCTCGGAGGTCCAAAACCTAAAAACAGAGTTCAAGCCACACTATTAGACAACTCCAGTGGAATAGCAGATCGAATTAACCAATTTCTAGGACCACAGTTATATATACTTGGGCTGAGTTAATGTCCATCCTAGGCATCCTTTTCTCAGGGGAAGAAAGAAGCATCATCTGTAGAGCTGCTATGGTAGCCTGGGAACATGAACACCCTCCTGGCCAAAACATTCATGCAGCGGATCAAAAATTCCCCAACCAAGACCCCTGCTGGGACAATAATAACGCAGCCCACTGAAGAGGATACGCAAGAACTTAGGGAAATGATAATAAAAGGGATTCGGGAGTCAGTACTCCGAACCCAAAATCTTACTCGAGCATTCGACATACAACAAAGGAAAGATGAAGGGCCTATCGAACTTTTAGACAGGTTGAAAGAACAAATGAGAAAATATGCTGGCCTAGATTTAGAAGATCCTCTTAGGCAGTGAATGTTAAAGCTTCATTTTGTTACTAACAGCCAGATATCACAAGGAAATTACAAAAGATAGGAAATTGGAAGGACCATCCCACGAACGAGCTTCTTAGAGAAGCTCAGAAAGTGTGTGTAAGGAGGGATGAGGAGAAGCAAAAAGAAAAAATGAAAATTATGTTATCCACCTTCCAACAGGGGGCCCCAAAGGATAAAACACACCAGTATTACTCTCTGTTACCCAGAGACCCACACACTCCCAAACAAAGCCTCCCGAGAGCCAAAACCTATAAAGATCCTAGGCCCCCACTTCCTAAGCCATATAAAGAACATAAGGAGGCAAAGCCGAGAAACCCAAAAATAGAAGAGACAGAATCAATGCTTCAATTGTGAGAAAGTAGGCCACTTCAAGAGGTATTGTCCCAAATTAAAATCAGAAAGAGAAGTCGTCCCACTTACGACCTTTGAGGAGGAATAGGGGGGTTAGGGGCTCTGTCTCTTTTACCTTGAATCCCACCAAGAGCCCTTGATAAATTTAGAAGTGGAACCCAAATCTGAGCTTATGACCTTTTTAGTAGACTCAGGAGCAGCCTGCTCCTCTGTTTGTTACCTTCCCCCACAATATAACCTGGTCCTCAGAGGAGCTTGTAGTCTCAGGGGTAAAAGGAGAGGGAATCAAACTAAAAATTTTAAAAGAAACAGAAATTAGATGTAAAAACTGCTCAGCTAATGTTGAATTTTTGTTAATTTCAGAGGCAGGAACTAATCTATTAGGAAGAAACTTAATGTTAAAATTAGGTATAGGTTTACATATTGGCTCAGAAGGATTCTACACTTCATTAAACCTGCTCACCACTGCAGAAGAAACATACATTCATCCTGATGTTTGGGCAAGGGAAGGAAATTGGGGAAAACTCCAAATTCCCCCTATACATATAAAGTTAAAAACCCCTGGAGAAATAGTAAGAAGAAAGCAATATCCTATTCCTTTAGAAGGCAGAATAGGCCTGAAACCTGTAATTGAAAGCCTCATCAAGGATGGGCTCCTTGAACCCTGTATGTCCCCTTATAACACCCCAATACTGCCTGTGAAGAAACCAGATAGGTCATGTCGACTAGCATAAGACCTCTGGGCCATCAACCAGACAGTCTAGACTACCCATCCTGTTGTCCCTAATCCTTAAACCATTCTCAGTAAAATTCCATATGAACATCAATGGTTTACAGTAATAGGTTTAAAAGATGCCTTTTGAGCATGCTCCTTGGATGAGGACAGCTGAGACATTTTTGCTTTCGAATGGGAAGATCCCCATTCTGGATGACAGCAACAGTATCGATAGACAGCTCTACCCCCGGGCTTCACAGATTCCCCTAATCTCTTTGGTCAAATTCTAGAACAAGTGTTAGAACAAGTTTATACCCCAAAATGTATATGTCTGCTCCAGTACGTAGATGACTTATTAATATCCGGTTAGGCTATAGAAAAGGTATCTGCTTTCTCCATCCATATCCTTAACCATTTGTAAGGAGAGGGGCTATGGGTTTCAAAGAGAAAGCTTCAATTCATAGAGCCTGAAGTTAAATACCTAGGACACTTAATAAGTAACGGCAAACGAAGGATAGGGCCTGAGAGGGTTGAAGGGATTGTATCCATACCTTTGCCTAAGACTAAACAAGAACTCAGAAAATTCCTAGGGATAGCCGGATATTGCCGCTTATGGATTGACTCATATGCCCTTGTCATAAAGCCTCTCTACCTAAAAATCACCCAAGAAAAGCCTGACCCTCTCCTCTGGACTTCTGAAGAACTCCACCAGGTTGAGGAGCTAAAACATCTGCTTATAACTGCCTCTGTTTTAGCTTTGCCTTCCCTAGAAAAGCCATTTCACCTTTCTGTTAACATAAATAAGGGGGTAGCTTTAGGGGTCCTTACCCAAGAACACGGAGGTCACCAGCAACCCATGGATCTCCTATCAAAAGTTTTAGATCCAGTAACCTGTGGATGGCCTGAATGTTTCAATCCATTGCAGCTACCGCCTTGTTAACTAAAGAAAGCAGAAAACTAACCTTTGGGGGAAAGTTAGTTGTAAACATGCCCCATCAGGTTAGAGCCATCTTAAATTAAAAGGCAGGAAGGTGGCTTACTGACTTGAGAATTTTAAAGTATGAAGCTATCCTGTTAGAAAGAGATGATTTAACACTAACCACTGATAATTCACTTAACCCAGAGGTTTCCTGACTGGAGATTCAAATCTAAAGAGACCTGAGCATGAGTGTTTAGATTTAATGATCATACAAAAGTTAGGCCTGATTTAAGAGAGACCCCTTACAAAACGGGGCAGGGCTTCTTTATAGATGGCTCTTCCCAAGTAATTGAAGGAAAAAGGCGTAATAGGTACTCAGTAGTAGATGGGGAGGCACTTGAAGAAGTAGAGTCAGGAAGCCTGCCAAATAATTGGTCTGCCCAAACATGTGAATGAATTGTTTGCATTAAATCAAGCCTTAAAGCACTTGCAAAACCAAGAACGGACTATTTATACTGATTCCAAGTATGCCTTTGGGGCAGCTCACACCTTTGGAAAAATTTGGACTGAACGAGATCTTATTAATAGCAAAGGCCAAGACCTGGGCCACAAAGAATTAATCACCCAAGTATTAGATAACCTGCAGCTGCCAGAATAGCTATTGTCCATGTTCCAGGACATCAGAAAGGTCTTTCTTTTCAAAGCGGAAGGAATAACCTAGCAGATCAAATAGCCAAACACACTGCCGTTTCCTCTGAAAATGCCTGTTTTTCACTTAGCCCCTTGCCTTCCTCCCTCGACTGCAGTCCCCATCTTTTCTCCCGCTGAAAAGGAAAAATTAATAAAAATAGGAGCCAAAGAAAATTCAGAAGGGAAATGGGTGTCACCAGACCAAAGAGAAATGTTATCCAAACCCCTCATGAGGGAAATCCTCTTTCATCTGCATCAAGGGACTCATTAGGGACCTCAAGCTAAGTGTGATGCAGTCCTCGGGGTCTACAGATGTATAGGAATTTACATTTTGGCAAGACAAGTTACAGATAGTTGCCTAGTATGTAAGAAGACTAATAAGCAGATCCTCAGAAAACCACCTGTTGGAGGGAGAAATCCAGGATTAAGGCTGTTCCAAATTGTCCAAATTGATTATGCCGAAATGCCCCCAATTGGTCACTTAAAATATTTATTAGTGATAGATCACCTTACTCATTGGGTAGAAGCTATTCCCTTTTCAAGTGCAACTGCTAGTAATGTACTCAAGGCATTAGTTGAAAATATTATACCCAGGTTTGGATTAATAGAAAATGCTGATTCAGACAACAGGACTCATTTCACTGCACATGTTCTTAAGAAACTAGCCCAAGTACTAGATATAACATGGGACTACCATAACCCCTGGCACCCACCTTCATCAGGAAGAGTAGAAAGAATGAATCAGACTCTGAAAAACCACCTAACCAAATTAGTCCTAGAGACTCGGTTGCCATGGACTAAATGCCTCCCCATGGTCTTGTGAAGATTCCAAACTGCCCCTAGGAAAGATGTCGGCTCACCTCCTTATGAAATGCTGTATGAGTTGCCTTATCTACACTCCACTGCTGACATTCCTCGTTCGAAACAAAAGATCTGTTTCTCAAGAACTATATACTTGGTCTATCCTCCACTTTCTCTTTCCTTAGGACTAAAGGCCTCTTGGCACATACACCACCCCTTGAATTTCCAGTTCACCACCACCAGCCCGGACAGTGACCACATTCTCATCAAAGGTCAGAAAGAAAGGAAGCTCAAGCCCACCTGGGAGGGACATTATCTAGTGTTTCTAATGACTGAGACAGCCGTCCACACCACTGAAAAAGAATGGACTCACCATACCTGAGTCAAAAGAGCACCACCCACTCCAGAATCATGGACAGCTATTTCAGGGCCAATTCCAACCAAGTTAAAGCTAAAACGGGTTTGATCCTCTTATGCTATATTTCTTTTCCCCTTCTATTGCTAGTCCTCTCGTTATTAATGTAACTAGGTCGAGCTCACCCCAAACTATTACCTTTGATGCTTGCCTTGTTATATCCTGTGGAGATCTCCAAAGTCAAAAGCAACTCTCAGCCTCAGAGAAGTATCTCCGTCCCTTTCAGACAAAAGCCTCCCCCATTACGACTCTTGTTCCTTAAGAAATGTAGGGAAACAGGCCTGCCACAGCTGGAATGATATTATGTGGACAACTGAACATCAGGGCTTTGTCAACAGGCAGTTGTAAGTCTCTAAAACCATGTTTGCTTTGTTAAAGGAAACATTCCCCACCCCCTGACTGCCAGTATAACCAATGTAATCCAGTGCAAATTTCTATTCTTATCCCCACTTCTGCCAACCCTAAACCTACTTTAAGTCGCTTATACGGCATAGGAGCCAAAATAGCAGGGACACATCTTATAGAATCCTTTGAAATGCATTTCATTACTTTCTCACCTCCTCCACCTCCTTCTACACTCTCTCTCAACGAAACCGCTGTTCTTCCTTCAACCAAGGATAAAATCAAGGTAAGCCATTGTAGAAGTTAAAAATTTGAAACAAACCATAGCAACTGAGACAGGGTACCAAGATGCAAATGCTTGGTTAGAATGGATTAAATATTCTGTCCGCACTCTAAACAAAAGCAACTGTTACACTTGTGCGCACAGTAGGCCAGAGGCCCAGGTTGTCCCCTTTCCACTCGGATGGTCTTCCAGCCAACTGGGCATGAGCTGTATGGTAGCTCTTCTCCAAGACCCCACAGCCTGGGGTAATGAATCTTGCCAAGCTCTCTCTCTGCTATTCCCTAAAGTCCAACACCCTGCAGGTCAGTCCCTGAGGGCCATCCAGCCTCCATCTATTGACACCAATTTTTACCTCGGGTCTCTCACAACAAGGGGAAAACTTGGCATTTCATGAAGACCTAAAGGGATGCGGTGAACTTAAACTCTCCCAAGAGCTTACCAGTCAGTCTGCCCTTGTTCATCCTCGAGCATACGTATGGTGGTATTGTGGTGGACCCTTACTGGACACTCTGCCAAGTAACTGGAGTGGTACTTGTGCTCTAGTCCAACTGGCCATCCCTTTCACCCTAGCATTCCATTAACATAATAGAAGAGAAAATCAGAAGAGAAGAAGTGACCTTCATGGGTCCTTTGACTCCCACGTTTATAAAGATGCTACTGGAGTTCCACGAGGGGTACCAGATAAATTTAAGGCCCGAAATCAAACAGCTTCAGGATTTGAATCTGTGCTGTTTTGGTGGTCAACTGTAAATAAAAATGTAGATCGGATAAACTACATTTATTACAACCAACAAAGGTTTGTTAACTACACAAGACATGCCATTAAGGGAACAGCCTCCCAATTAGGTCCCATTAACTAAATAGTCTGGGAAAACAGGATAGCCCTAGATACGATGCTAGCAGAAAAAGGTGGTGTCTGTGTCATGATTGGAGTCCAATGATGTACTTTTATTCCTAATAACACAGCCCCTGACGGAACAGTAACAAAAGCTTTGCAGGACCTAACCTCCTTATCCAATGAGTTAGCAAGCAATTCTGGAATAAATGATCCCTTTACAAGTTTAATGGAGAAATGGTCTGGAAAATGGAAAGGCTTAATGTCCTCAATATTTACTTCTCTTGCAATCGTTATAGGTGTGCTTATTCTTGTTGGATGCTGTATCATACCATACATTTGTGGACTACTGCAAAGACTCATAGACACAGAACTTACCAAAACCTCTCTTAGCTCTCCTCCACCCTATTCAGATAAGCTTTTCCTTCTAGAAAACCAAGCAGAACAGCAAAGCAAAGACATGCTAAAAAAGTTTGAAGAGGAAGAATTACAAAAATTAAGAGGGGGGAATTGTTAGGTACAGTAAGTTCCTCTTCAAAGGTTTAACTTGTTCAACTTCCTTGTTCTCTGTTCCTAAGAACAATTTCCCTGTACCTTCTCGACCCTACTTACCAGCTTAGTTACCTGCTTAGTAACCTGCCTTGTAAACAACTCTTCCTACCAGCCCCAATCTGTAACTCACATTCCCCCTCCCTTTCTTATTAGAGAAAATATTCACAATATCCAGCTGAGTCAGCTAAGATTGTGCAGTCCTACCCCAGCCCATGTTGGAATGACACAGAGGTAGGGAGTGCATTAGGGATAAGAACCCCTGCTCCACCCCGTTTGGTGTGCTCTTGCAATCATGACTAATGCAAGCAGCATACTTGCAGAAGCAAATTGTCTTGCTGAGAAAACTTTTTTGCCTGAGTGCTGCTTCTTCCTCACAGCACCAATCATTTGTTTCTAACAATCTCGCTAAAAGCAGCCTAGAAAGCAGCCACTTATGCAGAAAGAGTAATAATTTATGCTCTACAAGTCATATAAAAAATGAAGTTTCATTTGTTTACCGGCTAATTTACTTCTGGGAGACATTTTTCATTCTAAAACAGTGATTCCCTACCAAGAGTTCATAGATGCCAAGAAGTCCATAAAAGGCGTAATGGAATTGCCAAATTATGTTAAATACTTCAAAAGGACTCAAAGCCATATACTAGTTCCCAATAGGCCTGCACAAGTTATTAGAACAAGCTGCTTTGCATTCTTGTGTGATCAGAACCAGTAACTAGATGGCAATCAGGTCTGTTACTGAAGATGGAAAAACTATACTTAAGTTTGTATAACAATCTTTCATAACATGGCTTCACAGAAAAGAAGTATAAAAAGGATTCCTTGGTTGAAAAAGAGTGCTCTTTTCCCTTCATTATTTAAGATTAGGACAAATTTATAAAACAGGAAAAAAATAGCACAAATCCCTTGGCAAACAGAGTAAAACATCTACTCTGTTTTGCTTTTTTTCACTTCTTACACTCTCTTTCATAGGAAGTCAATTTACAGACTTCCATCAAGCCCTTAGAGACCTTTTTGTACTATCCATGACAAGCTCTTGATGTTATCTCTGCACTTTTGACAAATTCTTAGCAGTTAACTTACAAGGCAGTTAAGATTTTTGTTCAAGCACAATATAGCTAGAATAGGCTCATACATTCAATAAAACAAATATTTACCAAGCATTTATTGAGTGGAAGATAAAAAGCACAAAGCATAATTATAAAATATTTTCCCCTGCCACCATAAAAAAATTAAACAGGCTTACAGAATACAGTGTAAGAAAACATGACCAAAGCAAAAATAGTAAGGACTAAAGAAGGGAGGAAGGGGAAATATCAACATGGACTGAATATGACCCAAAAGAGCCTTGATGGATGGTCAGACATGTAAAGGCAAATTGGTTAGGGTTAAGGGGTGGAGGTCAGGGCACGTTCTATAGGGAAACGGCAGCTGATACAGAAGCCTGAAAGGAAAAGCGGGCAGAGCACCTGGACAGGACTCTTCAGGAACGAGCACGCACGTGCGTGAAAAACAACTTAGTGAGGTACCGTTCACCCAAACATTAGAGAAACCGCGTAAAAATGCTTCTTGGTAAGCATGAAGAAGGCAGGGCTCGCCCTGTAGAAGAACTCAATAAACATTTGAACTGTCTAAAGAGTAAAAGTTAATGAATAGGCCAAACTCACTCCTTTCTTTGTTTTAAGAGCTACAACTTTAGAGAATAACAAATCACAAACCCAGTAGACAGGTCCTGGCATTTCAAATCCAACCCCATTTTTCCCTTAATCTTTCCCCTCTGAGCAAATGGTATCGACATGAACAAGCCATGTTGATTTGATCAAGACACTCATCCATGGTTAAAAGAGTCTTTACTTTCAAGAGATACAAACAGAAATATTTACATGGGCTAATTTACTGGGCAACAAGAGAGAAACTCCGTCTCAAAAAAAAAAAAGGAAATAAAAGCATACAAAGTGAAAACAAAGAAATTAAACTGCCCTTATTTGCCAGTGACATTACTGTCTATGCACAAAATTCCAAAAATCTACAAAAAAGCTTCTAGTACTAAAAATGAGTTTAGCAAGGTTGTAGAATCCAAGGTCAGCATATAACATAAAATCACCTTCCTATATACTAGCAATCACCAACTGGAAATTGAGAAGTATCATTCACAACAGTACCACAAACATGAAATAAATGTGTAAGATTACAAAATACAAGCAAGATCCAACTGCTAAAAACTACAAAACACTGACGAAAAATCTAAGAAGGTCTAAATAAATAGATATACCATGTTCATGGCTCATTATTAAAATGTCAGTTGCCTCCTAACTGATTTCCAGTTTCAATGCAATGTCAATCAAAAACCCCAGCAGGCTCTCACGCCTGTAAGCCCTACACTTTGGGAGACCATGGTGGGAGGATTGCTTCATCCCGGGAGTTTGAGACCAGGCTGGGCAACATAGAGAGACCCTGTCTCTACAAAAATAAAAAAATTAGCCAGGCATGGCGGTGCATGCATGTGATCCCAGCTACTTGGGAGGCTGAGGTGGGATAATCGCTTGGTTCAAGGCTGCAGTGAGCAGTGATCCTGCCACTGCGTTTCAGCCTGGGCAACTGAGTGGGACACTTTTTTTTTTTTTTTTGAGACAAGGTCTCGCTCTGTCGACCAGGCTGGAGTGAAGTGGTGCAATCTCGGCTCACTGCAACCTCCATCTCCTGGGTTCAAGTGATTCTCCTGCCTCAGCCTCCCAAGTAGCTGGGATTACAGGTGCCCGCCACCATGCCCAGCTAATTTTTCTGTTTTTAGTAGAAACGGGGTTTCACCATGTTGGCCAGGCTGGTCTTGAACTCCTGAACTCAAGTGATCCACCCGCCTCGGCCTCCCAAAGTGCTGGGATTACAGGCATGAGCCACCGCACCAGGCCATGAAACACTTTCTTCCACCCACGGCTTTCTCTTCTCTCCCCATTTACAGCAATAAGACAGCCTAACCTGGGAAAGAGAGAGAGAGGGAAGCTACTTCCAAATGGATGCCTGTCCCCATCAGTAATAACCAAGTCTATTCAAGTGCTAGATGTTAACTTTAAAAGAAGGAAACATCAAAAGTCCAAGTTTCAGCCGGGTGCAGTGGCTCATGCCTGTAATCCCAGCACTTTAGGAGGCTGAGGTGGGTGGATCACGAGGTCAGGAGTTCAAGACCAGCCTGGTCAATATGGTGAAACCCCGTCTCTACTAAAAATACAAAAATTAGTCAGGCATGGTGGCGTGTGCCTGTAGTCCCAGCTACTCGGGAGAGGCAGAAGATTCGCTTCAACCGGGGAAGCAGAGGTTGCAGTGAGCCAAGATCGTGCTACTGCACTCCAGCCTGGGTGACAGAGCGAGACTCCGTCTCAAAAAAAAAAAAAAGTCCAAGTGTCTTCGCCTAGCTTTGTCAGGAATGTTTTTACCCTCAGTCTGTAAGTGTGACCAAATATATTTTTTAAAGGTTTACCCTCTCAATCTGTTAAGTTCAAAGGTTAACTATAATCTCTTCATAAGAAAACTATTGGAAAGATGGAATAAAATACACAGAAATGTCCTTAACAGGTAAATATTTATTTTTCTTTCTTATTATTATACTTTAAGTTCTGGGGTATATGTGCAGAACGTGCAGGTTTGTTGCATAGGTACACACGTGCCATGGTGGTTTGCTGCACCCATCAACTCGTCATCTACACTAGGTATTTCTCCTAATGCTATCCCTCCCCTAGCCCCCCAACCCCCAACAGGCCCCAGTGTGTGATGTTCCCCACTCCCTGTGTCCGTGTGTTCTCACTGTTCAACTCCCACTACAGGTAAATATTTCTAGAATGTATCTACTCCATCAGCTAGTGTAAGTATTCTAAACTGTGCTAGTATAGCTGCTTTAAATCACTGCTTTCTTCTGCAAATGGTGGCACCTTTAAAGTGTTATCTTGAAGGGGAAGTGAGTGATTTGCTCATGTCTCTGCTGAACTAACACTGTTAACACCCAGTCCAGTTCTACCTTAAACAAGTCTGAGAAATACAGACATAATCCATACTTGTTATTTGTCAAGACTAAGGTAAAATAAGGAAAGTTGGAACTCACTCATATCCTCTTATGACTGATGTACTGAAAACAATCCATCTCTCACCATTTCCTAAATAGCATAGTCACAAAGAGCTCTACCCTACCAAGTACTCTGCAAGTCCCACTCTCAAAGGAAGACTCACAGGTGACTGAGAAGATAAATTTGCTATTGTTTCCATTATCCTTCAGTTCATCTGACACCTTTGAAGAAACGCATTTGGATAAGACTCACAAGTCTCAGGGCCCCTTCTTTATGAAAGAAATAGCTAAGCCTCCATACTCAGAAGCATCAGACTTTTCAGAATGCTTAAGTCATGTAAAAACGTATCAAAATTATTATCATTACAGCTACCAGGAAATAGCTACCTACTCCATGTTAGATACTGCAGTTAAGTATCTCACACAGTTTCACTGATTCCTAACAACACTGCAAAGCATGTTACTAACCCTTAAGGAGTAGGAAGCTGAAGCTCTGAGAGGCTATGCAACTACTCAATGGAAATGTGGGGATCTGAACTCTACCTAGCTCCAAAGGGCGTACTTTTTTCTAAAATTTCTAATTTTTTTCCAATTTCACAATGGAGGCAGAGTTTTCACTACAATTTTAATAATTTCACCAGCTGGGTGGGGTGGCTCACGCCTGTAATTCCAGTACTGTGGGAGGCTGAGGTGGGAGGACGGCTTGGGTCCCAGGAAGACAACTGGGCAACAGTGAAGATTCTGACTCTAAAAAAAATAAGAATTTCACCAAAAGGGGGAACAGATTTCTAAATCGGAATCTCTTGTTAAAATCCTTAGAGCACTAGTTAAGCCCCACTTCTTTTCAAAAAATAACCGACAGATTAAAAAAAAGGTTAGAAGTCCTTTTAAAGTAAATTTCATCAGAGATCTGCAAGTGAATTGTCATTTTGGACAAGTCCCCAGAGTTGGTGGCCCTCTCCTGTGTACACCAGCTACCACTAGGCAGTAAAAGTAATTTACCCAATTCAAACACATACCGTGCCTGCACTATGTTAAAACCACTGGCAAAGAGGGTACAAAGTTAAATAAGGTCTATCACAGCCCTCAAGGAGTTAAAGGACTAGAGGAGGAGTCCATTTATAGTATAGTATGTGTGCAGTTACCATTTAGTCAAGGCAAACGAACTGTGAGAAATCCTACAACAATAGTACCTACAGTATAACATGCCATCACCGCCCACAGAAGGAAAGCAACTGGTGCCCTCGTCACGTTATGTTGTTAGTACTTGCTTACATGATGTCCCTCCCTGACAATCCCTTCCAACCTCTGTCAGCCTCCTTCCCCACAATCACACACACACACAAAACCACACTGCCAGGAAGGGAAGCCATTGAGTGAGTATTGTGAATCCTACAAGTGGCTCTGTAGTTTAAAAGGGCAATGCCTGTGCCTGAAGAAAATTTGTCTTTAGCTTCATCAGGTGAAGAAAATTGGTTTTATAACACAAGGCCCACCAAACCAGAAAAGCCCAGGAACGCTTCTCCAAAGGACTCACTTAGCACGAGAAATCACTCAGAGCAAACTGACGCACACAGTATTTGTCAAATTTTTCTTTTTCATTTAGCAGAAGGTAAGGTAAAGGACTACAACTGAAGTTAATAAATGACACTCTAGCCATTTTGATCATTTGTCACTATAAATGATAGACATTTAAGCTAGTTCCATCTGGGGAAGTGAAACAGAATCATGTTCATATAATAAGCCAGACGAACCAAATTCAGTGGAATACGTGCACCCAAAACTGGACCAGACTTGTACTTAATGCAGCCTGCAAATCCCCAAGAGTCCACGACAGAATACAAGAACAGTAACACTGGTTTATCTCAACTCATCTTAGCTCCCTCACAAACTTGCCAATAATGACCTTTCAAGAACTGCACCGTTGGTCCTCATCTGGGCAATCCCGTGGCTTAGAAAAACTGAATAAAGTGCTTCTTCGAAAAATAAAACAATGCGGGGAGGGGGGAGTAGTAACAAAAAAAAAGGCACACTGGTTTTTACTGTACTGAAGCAATAAATTCTCCAACTAACTTCATTAATGAGTATCAGCAAAGAATGAACACCAAAATACCGCTCAATCCAACTTTCATCGTGAATTCTTGAATTCACAGTAGGATCATTAAATGTGACGGTATCACTCTGCTATAAAAACTATTTCCAAAACAAAACAAACCTATCTACCCCCTTTCTTGATTTAAAAAAAAAAAAAAAGAAGAAAGAAGGAAAATTTGAGGGTTTTTGCTTTTTTCAACTTCACATACCGGTTTGCCTTTGCAAAAAAAAAAAAAAAAAAATGTTTAGTCTCAAAGTATAGCTGCAAGGTGGACCGGCTGCACGGGTCCCAGAGGGCCGCTCGCCTCCGACGGTCGCAGTTTCAGCCGGGCCGCGCCCGCGAGAAACAGCGGAGAGGCCCCAGCAGGCGGGCGCCGCCGGACAGGTTTACCGTCCGCGTCGGCCCCGGGGAACCGCTCCCTCGCGCCCGCAGCACTTGTTCGCGGCGCGGACTCCACACCGCGGCCGCCCGCCCCAGGGGAGGAGTGAGTCCGCCCCAGCGGCGCCAACCCGGGGACCCGGGGCAAGGGTTCGGGGCCATCCGCCGCCGGGCGCGCCCCCCATCCGGAAAGCGGCGACGGCCCCCAAGTTGGGCTGCGGAGTGGGAGGCGCGCCGAGCCCCAAGCAGACAATGCGGGAGAAGGGTGATGCGCAGGGAGGAGGGGTCCGCAAAGCTGAGGTCCCCGCGCCGCCCGGCTACCCATCCGTGCCGCCCGCCCCTGAAGCCCCGCGCAGCCCCCGACCCTCCTCTGGGGCCCGCCCCACCGAGCGGCCGCAGGGGACGGGCCGCGCTCCGCACCCCGACCCCTCCTCAAATCACAAAACTTCCCCCAACTCCGCCAACTAAGTTGCGCTCTCACCGTGCGGCTCCCGGGGCTCCCCCGCGGGCCGAGCCGAGACAGCTCCTCACCTTCGCCGCGGAGAAAGACAATAGGCTGCCTCTCCCCCGGCGGCGGCAGCAGCGGCTGCGGCTAAAGCGGCGGCAACCGAGGCGAGCAATGGGCACGGCGGTCTCGGCCGAGCCGAGGGGCTTCACCGCTGCTGTTCCGGCTCCGCGACAGCTCTGCACGTAGCCCCAGCCACCCCGCGCACCGGCTACAAGCCGCCCGGGGGTGGCCGGGGCACGCAAGAGGGCAGTAACGTCTGCGAGTCCTCCCGTGAGTACACGCGGAGCAAGGGCTGCGAGCTGGGATTGCACGGCAGAGCTGCCCATCCCGCTCCACGAGACCAATAGTAAGGCACCTGGGCGGGGCGCTCAGGTTGCTAAGGGAGGCTGAGGTTGACCGCCGGGGCTGCTCTGTGGCAAAGTGATCACAGCAGGGTGGCTGGCAGAGACTGCTCTGGGAAATGCCCACTCACGGTCTCCTCTCCGCCCTGTTTCTAGAAACTGCCCTTTCTCTGTGTGCTCGTGGTTACCTGAGCTGTAGCATTTAACCACACATCGTGAAATGATTTACTCCTCTATTTCCCCCACTTCAACTCAGGAAGTGGGGTTTAGTCTTCTGTGTCCACAGCCTAGGACAGTCTAAGGTATTAGGTATTAAATATAGGTATTAAACAAGTGTTGGATGGATGCACGGCGCTATGGCGGAATCACAATTGTGACAGTGCATTCCGTGAACTTTTGGCTACTCGATCACCACAGTCGTTCCGTGTTCAAGCTGCAAAGGACCTCAGAAATCATCGGATTGCTTTGAGAAACAAAATGTGGTCCGTGTACCAACGGCGGCCGAGGAGAATATATTAGCTGGTACACGGAGAAACTTCTTTTTTCAAATAGTTAAGTGTTTTAGTGCTCATTAGGAGGGAAATGCCTATCACGTCAAATCATTGTTTCATTAATGTTACTTCTTAGGTCAAATAAAAAGTGGCAAAAAACAAGTGTATTTCAAGAAAAGTGTTAAGTGAAACTTGAGACACTTTATATGCAGTTCAAGAATGTAAAATACTAGTTGACAGTGATTGAAGTAAGAACAGTTGGTTAGGTAGGAGGAGAAGATTATTGGCTGGGAAGGAGGAGGAGGGAACCCTCTGTGGTGCTGATTCTGTATTTTGACCTGGGTGATGGATAACAAAAGTATGTACATCAATAAAAAATACATCCAGTGCACTTTAGATTAGTGCACTTTACACATTTTATACATGTATTTTTAATGTCAATTTTTAAAAAATCTGGTATGGTATATACCCCCACAACCCCCCCCCCAAAAAAATGCAAAGATGCAAATGACTGCCATTTGGGAAACACTGATCCAGGCAGGCTCACTAGCAGTGACCAAACACCTGAGAAAGGGTATTGTGAATACCTGATGTATGTGCCAGGAACTTCCATGGTTGAATAGCTCCAAATCTCAGAAATGCTCCTAACCTAGTGTTGAGCTCTGGTGCATAGATATATTTTCTTTTCTTTCTTTCTTTTTTTTTTTTTTTTTTTTTGAGGCAGAGTTTCACTCTTGTTGCCCAGGCTGGAGTGCAATGGCACGATATCAGCTCACTGCAACCTCCGCCTCCCAGGTTCAAGCGATTCTCCTGCCTCAGCTGCCCGAGTAGCTGGAATTACAGGCACATGCCACCAATTCCAGCTAATTTTTTGTATTTTTAGTAGAGACAGGGTTTCACCATGTTGGCCAGGCTGGTCTCAAACTCCTGACTTCAGGTGATCCACCCACCTCGGCCTCCCAAAGTGCTGGGATTACAGGCTTACAGGTGTGAGCCTCAGCATCCAACCCAGAATAGCTTAAAAAAAAAAAAAAGCCAGGCATGCCCAGTTCTTCATGTGAAATTATTTCTGTATCACCTCATCATGCTGCTCACCCTCTTCCACTGTTCTCTAATTTGTCCTTGTTGATATTTAAAAGCTGGCACAAGGCCGGGCGCAGTGGCTCACACCTGTAATCCCAGCACTTTGGGAGGCTGAGGAGGGTAGATCACTAGAGCCCAGGAGTTCGAGACCAGCCTGGGCTACAGGTGAAACCCCATCTGTACTAAAAGATACAAAAATTAGCCAAACGTGGTAGCCCAAATCCCAGCTACTTGGGAGACCGATGTAGAAGGATCACTTGAGCCCAGGAGGAGAGGTTGCATGAGCCAAATCAGCAGGGCAGCTGCAGAGTGGGGTGCAAGGTCCTCAACCCAGAGGTTCCCTAGGCCCCACTTGCCCCAGCTCATGAGAGCCTGGTTCTGAGCTCTGCCAGGACCGGGGCTCAGCACTGCCCATGAAAACAGGCGTGGCAGGGAAGAAAATCATAACCAAATATTTGTAGTCATTCCAGAACCTCCCTTCTGGAAAGGGAGGTTCCCAGGTTTGTGGGCTCTTTGCCTCCTGGACATTATTGTGTAGTGAAGGGAGAAAGGTTGAGATGCAGAGTTGGAGAAACTAAGAGAGGCCGAACTGGTCCATTTGAGGAAAGATGACTGATCCCAGAAGGGGAGGAGGGGACACCCTGGGGAAGCAGGGGGCTTCCCAGATGGTCCAAGAAGGGGAGGGCAGGATATAGAAAGTCAGAGCATGGTTTTGAGTTTTGGAGACAACAAGAGAAAAGAGGGAGGGATTTGGACAACTATGGAGAGGACTGGGCTGTGGAGAGAAATGTTTAGAGATTTGGAAGATGGTGTGTCATGCGATGTATTGTGAAAACCCCTTCTTCATATCCCTAAAAGACCACCGCTGATGGTGATTCATGGTACAATTGATGATTGTATCATGATATAATTCAGTGCTTTTGCAGAGGGATTGGTGCCTTTTTAAAATAATAATGATGCTTTGGCTTGGCTCCATCTGAATTAGTAGAGACAGACAGCTTGAGCAGGTTTTATCAGAGTTCCATTAGCTAAATATTGGGTTTCCTATTTTGTGGCTTGCTTTAAACCACTTTGTAGGCCCTTCCGCACTGAAAGCCACTACAGAAATCACCTCTTTGGTCTGCAGCTCCACGTCCCCAAGCTCTGGGCTTTCCTGAATGAGTGGCCTCATTCAGAAGATAATACAGCATCCCTCATCCGAAAATCCAAAATCTGAAATGCTTCAAAATCCAAAACTGTTTGAGTGCCGACATGATGTTCGAAGGCCAGATTCAAAGGAAATGCTCATTGGAGCATTTTGGATTTCAGATTTTCGAATTCCAAAATCTGAAAAAAATCCAAAATCTGAAATACTTCTGTAATTTAACCTGTAATAGACATTTGGTCCTGACCTTCCAGCTGAGGCAGCAAGCAGTCAACAGAGGCTCACCATGCATCCCTCCTGCTCCTCACCCTCCCACGGGCTTGTGCCTCACCCCCCAGCCTCCCTTGCACCTGCTGGGGAGGGGACAGGATGCTCCTGCTCTGCCTTCTTGGATCTCGGGCTACTGTGATAATTGCAGGATTCCAGCCAGGGAAAATGCTACAGGTAGAAGTACTTGGTACTCTCCATAGAGAAGTTTCCAGCAATGGCACATCTGCCCCAGGAAGTGTGCTGCCACACCCAGCTAATTTTAAAAACTTTCTGTAGAGGTGTGAATTCACTATGCTGCCAAGGCTGGTCTTGAATTCCTGGCTTCAAGTAATCCTCCCACCTTTGCTTGCCAAAGTGCTGGGATTACGGCATGAACTAGAGCTCCCAGCCGAGAGTTTAGTTTTGTTTGCTAGTGGTGTTCTTGGTATCTTTTCATATTTGAGGCTTTGGTGCTAGTGCTGAAGTATTACACTCACCATCCGAGGTTTGCAGGACTTTTGTTTCAGTATTGAACAGATGGAACTGTTTAGTTCTTCATCTTTGCAGGTATACCAAATGTGCCTACCAGGAGTCTGCTTTATAGCCATTGAAAAGCAAGAAGTAATATAGTAAAATTTTGCCTGGCTAGAGGCTTTGGAAGACAAGTATTTTGGCTTAATTCTATTAACGTGGAAGGATGAAGGTGAAAAAAATTCAAAACTTTAATATCCTGTTTATTGCAATTTGAAAATATAGCCAATGATTCCACTTTTCTTCTCCAGTAAGTTTGGACATTCTGATCTACTTGGTGTTTTATTACAGAACTGCTAGTGTGCCTGAGTCTTACATTGTGAAGATCCTTCTCTAAAACTTCACATGTAAGAGAATATAAATGATATTGGATAAGATCAGGCTGGATGAGAACTGATACCTGTAAATATGCGATTTAGACGAAATCTCTGATTGTTTTCTTATTTAACTCATAAAAATAAAACACATTGGCTGGAAGGTGGGAGCAGGAAGGAGATTTATGTCTTTTAATTGCACGTCATTGTTTCATATAGAGAAAACATATAGTATCCCTGGTTTTGGACCTACAGAAGGAAACACATTTTTCTACCTGCTGTATGCCAGAGGTTCTTGAACACCTGGAGGGATTACTGCAGCACAGATTGCTGAGCCCTACTCCAGAGTTTCTGATTCATCAGGTCCAGGGTGGGGCCGGAGGATGTGTATTTATAAGAAGTTCCCAGGTGCTGCTGGAGCTGCTAGTCCAGAGACTACATTTTTGAGAACTGCTCTCATATACTAACTGTAAGTTGCAGAGCTCTAGAAAAAAAGCTTAGTTTGGTGTGGGATAAGAAGCACACAGGTTATGGAGAAAATCATGAAAGATTCAACCCTTGATCCCAGCCTAGTGTGGATTTCAGGTAACAAGCAATACACAGTGACATAACAAATTCTTGGTTTTCATGACTGCAAGTGAGAGCCAAGTATCAAGTGAGAAATTCAGCTTCATTTGCAAGGCTTAGAGAGGCCAGGTGATTCTAGAAAAATGGGCCTTGTAATTCTCTTAAACCAGTAAAGAGCTTTAAGTGGTTATTAAATTGAAAGCTTTGTGTTCTTACTTATTTTGTATTTTATTTTATTTCTTTTGAGATGGAGTCTTGCTCTGTCGCCCAGGCTGGAGTGCAGTGGCGTGAGCTTGGCTCACTGCAACCTCCATCTCCTGGGTTCAAGTGATTCTCCTGCCTCAGCCTCCCAAATAGCTGGGATTACAGGCACCCGCAACCACGCCTGGCTAGTTTTTGTATTTTTAGTAGAGACAGGGTTTCATCATGTTGGCCAGGCTGGTCTCGAACTCCTGACCTCAGGCAATCCACCCACCTCGGCCTCCCAAAGTGATGGCATTACAGGCGTGAGCCACTGCACCCGGCCCAAAAGCTTTGTGTTTTTAAAGATATTAGACATGTTTCTTGTTTTTAAAAGAAATCTTAACAATAATGTAGGAGAGTAAGACAAACATTTTTCCAAAAAAGAGAAATTGTTGTGATTATTTTGTCTTATTGGAATGTCGGATACTATAGTCGGCTTCATTAATCATCAAGCATGCTATGGATTTTCCATTTTTATAGGATCTATATCTCAGTTAAGGTAATACTGGTAATTCTTGTACTCCATTTGAAGATGAAAAATATAGGCCAAAATCACAGACTTTGCACAGAAGCTGCATAATGAAGACAGCTCTGGAGGAACACATAGATACACACACACAGACACACATATATATAAAGTATATACACATATATTTTTTAAAGTTTATTTTTTACAGTTTTAAAAGTTTTAAAGCAAAACCCAGCCCTTCCCCTCTCCCAGAGTGGGCGGCCCCTCCCCTTTCTCTGAGTGGGCGGGGACAGCGGTTGCATGGGCAGCTTTCCTTATGATGCCACAGGTCCCTCTGGACATGCTGCTGCCTGGCCACGCCTCCTTTCCCTTTCATCTTTCTCACTGACCAATGGGCTTGGAGCCTTAAGGCCGCGCCCCTATTCTGCGTTCCATTGGTGCCCTGGTTACGCCACCTGTGGCTCAGTTGCACAGCTGCCTGGTAGGTGACTGGAGGCATTGAGCAGTGCTCACTGGTATTTCGCTGATGTGGCCCCAACCCCGCTTCCCTCCCCACCCCGCGATGTCAGAAAAAACACAACAGGGGAAATTGGCCGCAGCCAAGAAAAAGGTAAAACACACCAGGTCATGGCCCCCAACCCAGCCACAGATCCCCTCCGATGACAAGACCTGTGCCAGAGTCCATACCACTCCTGAGGCATACCAGATGGGGCCCCCCAACCCCAGCCCCTCTGGGCTCCCCCAACCAAAGCCTAGTCAGTCAGCCCCACCCCTTCAGCAAGCAGCCCAGTCCCTGCCCTTGCCAATCACCCCAGGGTGACTTTGGGCAGGTGACTCCTGGGGCTCCCTGCTCCATAATCAGCCCTCACCTCCTGCCACCCCAAGCCCAACCTCCCTGGGCTCTTTGGGCTTGCGTCTCCCAGGACCTGGGTCCCCCAGCCCCAGGCCCTGCCCTCACCAGTCATCCCTGGGTGGCTTTGGGCTGGTGACTCCCGGGGCTCCCTACTGCAGACTCTGCCCTCCCCTCCTGCTGCCCCAAGCTCGACCTCCCTAGGCTTCTTGGGCTGGCGTCTCTGAGGACCTGGGTCGAAACCGTGTGTTTCCCTCCCCCATCGTGGAGCAGCGACTCGGGCATCGCGCTGATGTGGTCCCCTCCCCTGGGAGGAGTGGAATGCAATGATGTCACAGTGCCCCTAGGAACTGTCATTACTGCTGCAAGACCGGCCTTTGATCTTACAACCCAGTCCCCTAAGTTTTCTCACCCCATTTCTGGTTCCTCTGGTTGCAGCACAAATTTCCAGCTGGAAGGGGAGTGGAGACTATGGGACCTAGGAGCAAGAGGTTTCAGGCTGCCTTACTCCCTTAACATAGACATTGACAGTGGGAAAAGCCTACACTTCCCCTGTGAGCTCAAAATGTTCACAGTATCTCTGGGTGGCAATGGGAGAATGGGTTTGGTTTGGTTTTTTCCCAGGCTTCTACTTTCCAGAGAGACTTTAACATTTTTTTCTGAGTTCTCCACGGTTCTGGGACCAGACTGCCCTTCAGTCAGTGGCCTCTGAAGTGAGATTTGCTCATCTTCTGTGGAATAGATCTTGGGAAACTGAACTTGACAGCTTGAATCTTCCTCATATCGTCTCAACCTGGGGTACTTTGAGTGCCACAGGATAAATGTGGGACATCTTTCTGAAGCATCATTTTCCCTTGATTCTCTTGAGAAAATGCATTAATGTACTTAGGGATGACAGACACATAGGTTTCCAAGCGTATACCAGACTTCGCTCTGAAATGAGGCTTGGGTTGTCCTCTTTCTGATAAATTCCCAGATTTAATAGAAAAGCTGCCTTCTGCCATGAGGACACATTGATATGAAAGTGTGAGAGGTACTGGTACGCTTCTTCACGCTAGCAGACCTGTGAGGATGTATGACTCTAAACCACACGGCCTACAGTTCCTGCCTGCTTAATGTTTACTTTTCTACCTCTGCCCCTGGTTTTGGTCCCTGGAAGCTGCTGATTCATGGCAAAACCCCAGAGCTTGGAGTCAGAGGACTGAGTTTAAGTTCCAGTATTGCCTTTTTTGATCTTTCTTTTTTTTTTTTTTCTATCCATGATATCAATCCCTCTCAGTCACTAAGTGATTGTGACAACACCTTGTACAGTTGTTGGTGGCATTACATCAGATGGTATATAAGGGTATTTTGTCAAAACTGTAAAGGAGGATGTGGCTGTAGGGGCTGATCATTCTCATGAGTGTTACCGCTCTTCTTTCCCACAGTTAAAAGCATATTGGCAGAGGAAGAGCCCTGGCATTCCAGCAGGAGCTAACAGGAAAAAGAAAATCAATGGCAGTAGCCCTGACACAGCCACTTCTGGTGGTTACCACTCACCTGGGGATGTGAGTCTCGGCGGGCCAGGGTCCTGGGGACAGGGGGCCCAAGGGGCAGTAGAGGGTAATTGTTAAGATTGTAGATGGACTGTTGGGTACTGGTTAAGAATTCTGGATTTGAATCCTGCCTCTCCATCTGCTAAGAATTGATTAGGGATTGATTAGCATATGATTTAGGGCAAGTTGCTTGAGGTCTTTGGGCCTCTCTTTTCACATCTGTATAATAGAGGTGGTATTTTTTGACTTCCATTTGTGAAGTTTAAATGAGATTCGTTATTGTTGCTTTTATGTGAATCCTTAGTACATGGCCTGCTGCAAACACCCAGGACACCGAGGAAATGGTCGTTGCTGTTTGATTTTCCTCATCCCCAGTCTCAAGGGGAAGCCAGGCCAATGAGAAGAGCCACTTGCCATCAGGCTGTCCCTTTAGGAGTCACTGAAAGGGCCCCAGGGTGGGATGGTGGGGAGATAAGAACCACGAGAGAAGTTGGCACAAAGGAGTTATGGGAAAAAGGGTCCAAGATAGGCAGAAAAGAAGCTTTTGCCAGTTGATGGGGGAAGAAAGGAAGTCAGAGGGCTTAGACAGTGAGGGGGGACAGAACATCTCCATGTGCACTCTCATCTCTTGCAGTCAGCAACAGGTATCTACGGGGAGGGCCGTGCATCCTCTACTACCCTGGAGGATCTGGAGGTAAGAGGCCCTGGGCCGAGGTGCAGTGACCCTGCAGGCCAGCCCTCCAACCTCCTCCCACAGCAGGGGCTTGTTGCCCCTCTGCCAGCTGAGGCAGCCCACACACCCCCACCAGCCCTAATGATTATTCTCTCTACCCCTCCCCACAATCTTCCTCCAACTCCTTCTCTCTGCATGCACCTCAGAGCCAGTACCAAGAACTAGCAGTGGCCCTGGATTCAAGCTCCGCAATAATCAGTCAACTCACTGAAAACATCAATTCACTGGTAAGAGTCCAGTGGGGTCCCCTGATTACAGCTGGTCAATCCTGGACTCCAGTTTCCTCTTGGGGCCCTGAAGAAAGGAGCTAGGGGCCCCTGATGCCAAGGGCAAATGGGGAGCTGGGCACCCAGGTCTCACCTGGAGGGACCCCAGAGCACAGAACATGCAGCATGGGTCTTCTGCACTGCCCTCTTTGCTGACTCTCTCTTCTCCAGACACCCCTGCTCTAGTCCTTGCCACACATGCCCTGGGGTTGTCACCTCTCTGGGAAGCACTAGCCTGACTGGTTGTCAGGGGTCCATATTTCTGCCCTGCCTCAGTCCCTAATTTGCTTTTTGAGTCTGGACAAGCCATCTCTCCTCTTTATGCTCGTGTTTCTGGAGGAGGTAGAGAGTATCAAAGGTCTCGGTTAGCTCTGAAAGTCAGAGATTTAAAGGCCCCTAGAATGGAAACCTCAGGGCCAAGGGCTCCTGTCTGTCCTTTGCTGTTTTATATCTCTGCTATGAAGAACTGTACCTGGCCTGTACATGCTCAGTAAATGTTTATTGAATGAATGCACGTTTCTAAATCACAAACTGGCAGAAGGGGGGTGGGCCCTTCTCAAACTCTGTCTCTGGAGGTTCACCAGCCCCTCCCTCCAGGGCCCTTTTCCCCCTTTGCTTTGGGCAGGTTCGCACATCTAAGGAGGAGAAGAAGCATGAGATACATCTGGTACAGAAGCTTGGGAGGAGCTTGTTCAAACTCAAAAACCAGACGGGTAAGATGGGGCTGGCATGACCTGGCAGCTGGACTGGCATTAGAGGGCTGTGGGGGTGACTTAGAATGCCCCAGGGAGGTGGGTGGATGGAAGGGCTTTGAGGCAGAGGGAAAGAGGTCTGTGCCAGGGGAGGACAAGTCTTGTCATCTCCATGAGCCTCAGTGTCCCCATCAGTAAAGAGGGAGGAGTGCCCATTGTCAACCACCCACAGTGCTCTCTATCTGAAAGTGACTTGGAAGACTGGCTACCATCCGGGTGTGAGGAGTCATTAGCAGTGAGGCCAAGTTTGGGAAGCCTGAGAGGAGGAGCTGTGCACCGAAGGGAGGATTTTTTTTTTTTTTTTGAGAATCCAGAGGCCCTTATTGTCTGCTTCCTTTCTCAGCTGAACCCCTGGCCCCAGAGCCCCCAGCAGGGCCATCTAAGGTAGAGCAGCTACAAGATGAGACCAACCACCTAAGGAAGGAGCTAGAGAGTGTGGGAAGACAGCTCCAGGCTGAGGTGGAAAACAATCAGATGTTGAGTCTCCTGAACAGGAGACAGGAGGAGAGGCTACGTGAACAGGAGGAGAGGCTACGTGAACAGGAGGAGAGGCTACGTGAACAGGAGGAGAGGCTACATGAACAGGAGGAGAGGCTACGTGAACAGGAGGAGAGGCTGTGTGAACAGGAGGAGAGGCTACGTGAACAGGAGGAGAGGCTGTGTGAACAGGAGGAGAGGCTATGTGAACAGGAGGAGAGGCTACGTGAACAGGAGGAGAGGCTACATGAACAGGAGGAGAGGCTACGTGAACAGGAGGAGAGGCTGTGTGAACAGGAGGAGAGGCTACGTGAACAGGAGGAGAGGCTGTGTGAACAGGAGGAGAGGCTACGTGAACAGGAGGAGAGGCTGTGTGAACAGGAGAAGCTGCCAGGGCAGGAGAGGCTGCTGGAAGAGGTGGAGAAGCTGTTAGAACAGGAGAGGCGGCAGGAGGAGCAGGAGAGGCTGCTGGAGAGGGAGAGGCTGCTGGAAGAGGTGGAGAAGCTGTTAGAACAGGAGAGGCAGCAGGAGGAGCAGGAGAGGCTGCTGGAGAGGGAGAGGCTGCTGGAAGAGGTGGAGAAGCTGTTAGAACAGGAGAGGCAGCAGGAGGAGCAGGAGAGGCTGCTGGAGAGGGAGAGGCTGCTGGAAGAGGTGGAGAAGCTGTTAGAACAGGAGAGGCGGCAGGAGGAGCAGGAGAGGCTGCTGGAGAGGGAGAGGCTGCTGGACGAGGTGGAGGAGCTCCTGGATGAGGTGGAGGAGCTCCTGGAGCAGGAGAGGCTTCGGCAACAGGATGAGAGGCTGTGGCAGCAGGAGACTCTGCAGGAGCTGGAGAGGCTGCGGGAGCTGGAGAGGCTGCGGGAGCTGGAGAGGATGCTGGAGCTGGGGTGGGAAGCCCTGTACGAGCAGCGGGCCGAGCCACGCAGCGGCTTCGAGGAGCTGGTGCGTTGCCCCACCTGGGGAGGCTGCCCTCTTCCCTAGCCCTCAAGGCCTTTGTTTCCCCACCTGTAAAATGGGGCATTGTAGCCTTCACATGAAATGGTACTTCTAAAGGCATCTGTGAGCCAGAGCCCTGCTCTGATGGCTGTGGGAGAGAGGGGATATTTTTCTAACCTGCCTCCACCCTTCCCGGTGCCATGGGAGGCAGACACTAAGTTCTGGGGTCTCCAGTTTTAGTGGGTGGCCACTGATTGCTTCTCTCTGTCCAGAACAACGAGAACAAGAGCACACTGCAGTTGGAGCAGCAAGTAAAGGAGCTGAAGAAGTCGGGTGAGCTGAAAGAGACTGTAACCTCCGACCCATCCAAGAAGATGTGGGAGGCGGGCACCAGCCTCTGGGGAGGGGAGGTGCCAGGCCACAGGCAGCTGCAGCCTGGGGACAGGTGACCCCAGCACCCTCCGGGGCAGTCCTATGACTGTTTCTTGCTTCCTGCCCTCTGACTTTTAGAGGTGGGTAGCCCTGGGGTCCTCCCAGGTCTGGACATCATCATCCCAGCTAGAGGCATGGAGCCCCCCAATCACAGAGGAAGAGACAGTGGTATAAGAGGCTCCTTATGTCGGGTGTGGTGGCTCACGCCTGCAATCCCAGCACTTTGGGAGGCTGAGGCAGGACAATCACTTGAGGTCAGGAGTTTGAGACCAACATGGCCAACATGGTGAAAGCTCATCTCTACTAAAATTAAAAAAAATAATAATAATTAGCCGGGCCTGGTGGTGCATGCCTGTAATCCCAGCTACTCAGGAGGCTGAGACACGAGAATCACTTGAGCCCGGGAGATGAAGGTTGCAGTGAGCTGAGATTGCACCACTGCACTGCAGCCTGGGACACAGAGTGACACTCTCTCAAAACAAAACAAAACAGACAAACAAAAAAGACTCCTTAGATTCAAACTGGATTCCGGCCTCGGTTCCACTGGTCATAATTCAACTACTTTGCATCTCTAAGTCTCTGTTTCTTTAACTTCAAAAGGAAGTTAGCCTTTTCCTTGCAGAGGTGCTGAGGATTAAATGAGATAATACGTGGAAACATTAGGCATGTAGCACACTTAGCAGATGGTGGTTGGCTCCGCCTGCTTTTCCACCAGTCTGTGGCCTACAGTTTAAATGCTGGGAAAAAGGGCGTGAGATTTGATGCTAGGGAAGGAGGCATGGGGTTCTAGGCAAGGGAGACAGTCTCTTAGGCCTGGAGCAAGGGGCCAGGGGCCTGGGCAGGCCACAGAGCCCCACAGTGTCCTCGCTACCCTATTAATGGGCCAGGAATCTGGAAGCCAGCCACCACATGTCCTCATGCCCAGGGTCTTCCGGCAGGTGGAGCTGAAGAGCCAAGAGGCTCCGAGTCTGCAGCAGCAGCCAGACCAGTAGCTGGAGCCCCAGTCCCACAAGGAGCTTGGATGTGCGGACAAGCAGGGTGGTGAGTAGAGCCCTCAGGCGGGGTGGGCAGGCAGGAGCAGGGGAGGCTCGCACTGTGCCCAGATTCCCACCCCCCTCCCTCTCTCTGAAGATCTTAGTGGGCTGAGCCTCACTGATAGCATGGAGGCTGCACCGGGAGAGGACAGGGAGGGTTCTCCCCCATGACAACCCCACTGCACAGCAGATCCAGCAGCTGCTTCCTCTAATGCAGGACTCCCCAGGAGCACCCAGGCTTGAGTGGAGAAGCTGTTGGTACAGGAGAGGCGGCAGGAGGAGCAGGAGAGGCTGCATGCCATTCTTTTCGGGCTGCGGAGAACAGGGAGCTAAACATCACCATCATCTAAGAGCGGGTCAAGGAATTGAAAAAAAAAAACAAAACATTTAAGGGGTTAATATCCTACACAATTCATTTACTTCATTTGAATGTTAGAGCCACTTATGTTTATTTGTGTTTCTAATTTATAGTTTAAATTTATTTGTGTTTCTAATTTATAGTTTAAATTTATTTGTGTTTCTAATTTATAGTTTAAATTTATTTGTGTTTCTAATTTATAATTTAAATTTATTTGTAAAAAGTTAAATGAGAGTGGGTGTTTCTCTCATGTTCACTCTGGCATCTTTTAGCATTTTTTTAATTTGATAATTATAGGACGTTAGCATGCATATCGAGTTTGCCCTTATGTGGTGGGAGTTCAAACACACAAAGACCCACTGTATGCACACAACTGTTCTTGCTGGTTTGGGATAGGCTGCCATGCTTTTTGAATGTTAGTACAGCCTGTATATTCATTACGGAATTCAGATAAAATTTCCTTATGTTCTGCTGTTATGTTTGATCGAATCCTAATCACAGTGAGCTCTTCATTAGCTCAATATGCAGTTTGCCCTCAAGTGCGCGGTCTATTACTTTGTAATATGCCACTGTGAGTACTGACATTTACAGTTGTTTAAAGGTGGAGCACTGGAAACAGCCTTTCCCCCTTTTTCTGTGTATTGGGGATGGGAGTAATAACATTTTGGGGAGGTTTTTAAATCTCCCAGAAGAGGAAAGTGGCCTGCTTTGGCAGGTGTGTGCAGGATAGAATATGTTTCATTTGTTCCGGTGCCAAGAATGAGCGCTGTACTACGGTAGTTCCCTTAGGATTTGTATGTGCTCTGGGCTCATGAAGATACTGCCTCATGAGCTGTGGCAGTTGTACTCTTTTTTGATGACCTGAAAAGGGATTATTTCTGAGGAATGAAAGGCTCCCATCATGACTGTGGATGTGGAAAACCTTTTCTAGCTGAGAGCATTTATATCTACAATACATTTTAAAGTCAGCGTTCATGTTCCCTGTTTTAATCACATGACTACATGTCCCAGTACACAAAAGGGCACTGGTTGGCGTTCTCCTTAATGTATTTAGTAAAGATCAGAAGAAATCCTTTAAGAGTTTAAATGCCCCTGGAACAGGCATATACAGGCTCTAGTCAAGAATGAATTCGAGTGAAGGAAAGCTGTGTGACACCTGGCATTCCTCTGTGTTCATGGAGCTTATTTGAGGCTAGAAGATGGATTTTACCATCTAGACCTCTCTGGCTAATAGCTAGTCTTCAACCATCTGACATAGGAATTTACTTCTTTTCCTTGAATGGAGAACACTTTAAAAATAATAACAAACATTATTATAAACTAATATATGTGAGAGTACTTAGTTGAAACAAAAAGGAGTTTTAGTAGACAGTATTATACTACATTTGAAAATCAAGGAGCAGTTTATGCAACGTAAAATGTTTACAAACTGCAGCGCAATCTACTGTTTGTGACTGTCAAAGTGTCATGAGGAAAGTGTCTATACAATCACAGAGTTATATTTCCTCACAAAGTTCTTTACGAAGAGTGAAATATGTTTTTATACCTCTCAGTTTCAGTTAGAGGCATATTTTGTGTAATATTTATGGCTTAAAATGGACTAAAGGTCCTGTTCTTGCCTTGTCTGAACTTGCCGCTTTTGCATTCTTTGAGTTCAGTTTAAAGACACTTACTTTAACTCCATTTTAAACCCTCGGGCTAGAAATCGTACCACTGTTAATTAGCCACGTTATTTGGTCTAACAGTTTTTGTTTATCATTCTGAAACTGAGCTTATCTAATACATTGATAAATTATTTCAAAGGTATTTTTATAGTTCAAATCGCTTCACTTTTACCCTGACACGTATAAATGAATAGGAATGACCTTCAGATAGCGTTTAGCAACTGTAACCAATCTGACAATAATGTGTTCATCAGGTACCTGTGGATTAAATCACATACTGGCATATTTAAGATGAATGTCAGTCTGAAAAATAAATATACTATATTAATTCAAATACGACTCTTTGTGTAGGTATTTTGTCATATGTTTAAGAAAAAGCTAAAGAGAATGGAAATCCTATGACAATAACTCAAGTCTTTCTTCAAAGTGCATGCAGTCTTTTGCAGTACCTCATTCAGCCAAGTATTTGTTCTCTACCTCATTCAGTATAAGGCAGCCTTTAATTTGCTTAGAAGGCAACATTAGAAGGTTAGAGTTCAGCAGGAACATAGAATTTTAAAATGTGACTTCAACTGAATAAATTTGAATTTCTCTAGGGAGTAAAGAATCAAAACACCTATTTAAAGACTGCAAAATATGATAATTATTTTTAAAGTAATTGATTAAACCTGGTAGGTTTTCCCAAAATGAAAAACAATCAGTTCTAAAACCAAAGCTGATTTTTAGAAAATGTGAAAATGTAAATCAACCCTATCCATAATAGATTCTCTAAAACTTTATCTTACAGTCACTTTCAAATAACTATTCAAAAATGTAACTGCTATATTAACGTCTTAAAATAATTTAAAACATTTTAAAATATGAATACTGTAGTTTAAAACAAAGAATCTAGGGGAAGGAAAAGTAGACAAAGAAATGCCAATTCCAGTCCAAAGCTGTATTTGCCAAGTTTTCTTAGAATGACTTTTACCGATTTATGAATTCTTATACACAGAATGCATAATGGAAATACTGATTTTTGTCTAAAGTGGCATTATTGACTGCTTCTGTGATGCTACTGTAATGTAATACATTATTAAATTGTTTCAAGGTGCTGTTTTGCCTAAAAATTTTGTGTGTCTTGAAAACTATAGTATTGGGTATTGAGACTCTGCAAATTCTCGGCATGCTTGGCATGAGGTAATCGGTTTTTATTCTTACAAAATTGTAACTATGTAAGTGTGTTTATTAAAAGAACACAAACTAAAAAAGTTAACAGAAATTAAAGTTGTGGGATGAAAAAGTTACAGGATAAAAAAATACTGTGGAAAAGTGGCAAAAAAAAGTTGTGGAAAAAAAGTAAAAAAAAAGTTTTATGAAAAGTTATTTTAAAAAGTTATGAAAAATTAGTTACAGGATTTAAAAAAAGTCATGGGATAAAAATAAAAATAAATAAAAGCAGGCCCCTGTCAGCATAAGCCTGGAGAAGTGGGTCTGGAGTCTTCACCCCCACCATGTCCCTACAACCCCTCCCCAGTCAGCCCTTTACCATTAGGGTAGCAAGACAAGACCCTTGTCTAATGGAGGGAGACAAACAGACCCTTTACCACCTTGACCAAGGCTGAGTCCTTACATTTCTGGATGATGATGTTTGTTATTTAAGAGCCAGAGGTTGGTGGAGTTGGTTTGTTTGGAGGAGGTCTGACGGCCTTCTTACTCTCACCAAAGCAACTTTTCCCTCAGGGGGGCTCCCATCTTCTTACTCAGAGAGGCAGCTGAGGCGGGACAGTGGAGTTAACTGTAGACCAGGCCAGGGCACAGGCTGCTGGGGGTGGCCCCCCTTCCCCCGTGTACATACTGTAGCTGTGTAACATTCTGTATCGTACCTAGCGGAGGTTGCAGCTGGCATATGAGGAAGAGGTTCTTATAATTATTCGCGGCTGGGAAACTTATTTATTGCTAGCATAGGAGCGAGGAAGGAGGCGGGGATGGGGTCATGGCTCCCTGGTGATGGGACTCCTGTTTTTGGTTTGTTGTTGTTTTGCTTTTGATTTTGGAATAAATGGATTTAGCCATACTGCTCGGCCTGTTATGTTCCCGTTTCCCTCACTGGGTCCTGCAGTTTGTCCCACTCAACGAGGAGCCCCAGAGTGTTTCAGCATGTCCAGCTGGGCTGTGGGGAATCTTCCAGGCCTGTTACCTGTATGCTGCCTGGTGACACCTGGTGGATTTCACGGGGACTGCCATGGCACCTACGGAGTACAGTCCGGCCCTGACAGTCAACAGGTTGAGAAGCCTGATCTAGCTGTGGCAGGGAAGACAGATACCAGTGCCCAAGGGCACTGACTTCCATCCACCCCAGGTGTCTTCCGTTCCATCCCCCTCCTCCCGTTCCTGTCTGCACCAGGTGGCCTGTCTGTCCCTCCAGAGTGCCGGCTGCCCCACAGGCTCCTTCCAGGCTGAGTTCAGGGCCCTGTCCCCTAGTGGCCAGAGCCGGCTTCACAGGATAAGAGCCAGCTGAGCTCCAGGGACTTTCCAGGAAAAGTGTCCCTTGAAAAGGGTGTGACCTTTTCACTGTTCCCAACAACACCCTAAAAATGGCTTGGCCTTTTCCATCCCCTGAGCTCCATAGAGAACACAGCCAGCAGAGGACACATTCTCTGTCATCCAGAAATGGGTTTCTCAGCCGAGGGACAGCAGGACTGGTAGAGACTGTCAGGCCACACAGCTGCCTGCACAGCACCGCCATGCTTGGCCAGAAGGGCGGGAGGGATGGCGGGGGCTGGCTCTCCACACGCCGCGCATGTCCCGGAAGCTCACTGGAGGTGGTGCACTTTGGAGGGGCGATGTCAGGAGACAGCTTCCTCTTGCTGGGCTACAAGACTCCACAAGCACAGCACGGGGACTGATTCCCAGTGCTAGAGGTGAGGCAGTTGGCCACGTGTATATATGTATATATGTGTGTGTGTGTGTGTGTGTGTGTGTGTTTGTGTATGTGTGTGTGAGAATTTATAGCTATAGAACAGGGCAGGGGCATACCACAGAGGAGGCACAAGTTTTCAGCAACGGTCACACCTGGACGTGTCAGCTCACCACTACAACAGACTAAGTCACAGATGAAGGGGGCTGGCTTTGGGGCTGGGGGAGCCACTGTCAAGTCACAGGACACCCGCCCAGGCAGGCTTGGAAAGGGAGGTCTCTGGGAAGAGGGATCTGTTTAGACGTCGAAGTGGGGCCTGGGGCTCCCTGGATGGGATGGACTTGCCTGACCCGATCAGCTGGCAGTTGGAGAGAAAGCAGAGAGAAAACGGGTTAGAGAAAAGCCAGAGCTGGTGAGGCAAGTGCAGAGTATGGGTGCGCTGCAGCAGCTGTGGAGGGCCGGGGAGGGGAGGGCGTACGTGTGGGCGTGGCAAGGTTCCTGGAAAAGAGGGGCTGGAAGGAAAAGGGGAGGGAGATGGAGGGAGAAGCTGGAGCTTCATAGGTAGTGCCTGGGGACTGCGGCGGCCCTCCCTACCCCACACACGCTGGCCTGTCTCATGGAACCCAGGCAATCCACCCATCCACCCACAGTTCAGACCAATGCCAGCTCCCTCGGGCTTCCCTCTTCTGTGGTCCCCATGTCTTCCAACCCACTGGCCCAGGGCCACCTCTTGCTTGGAGAGCCCCATCCAACAGCCACCAGGCCTGATAGAGAAGGAACACTGCCTGAACCAAAATGGTGGAGCTATAAGGGATGGCTGGCTGGAGTGGTCGCCAGAGGCCCCTCTGGGCCATCAGAAAACCCAGGGTCCTCTGAGGGACCCTAGGGAAGGCAGGGAGGGCAGGTAGCCAGATGGCACTGGCCATAGACATATAAGTCTAAGAGGGGAGCCTCAACTGGTTGGCGGGGGGCTGCAGGTTGCATAGGTGAGGCTGGGCCTTTCCTGCTGGGAAAAGCAGAAGAGGAAGGCTAACTTTTGTGTTGTTTAGTAGAGAGTGGGTTTCACCATGGTGGCCAGGCTGGTCTCAAACTCCTGACCTCAAATGACCCATCTCTGCCTCCCAAAGTTCTGGGATTACAGGCCTGAGCCACCGCGCCCGGATCCAAGGCCCTTAAGCTTAAATGCCTCGTTCTTCAGTCAGGTTTTCCTTGTTCCCGCATGTTCAGCCAATCGTGTTTAAGGAGAAACTAACAATGAAAACGGACTCGTTGATGGAGGAAAAGTTGGAATGCAGCCTCTGGTGCTGTTTGAGCGATCCCTCTACCCCGGGTCGCTGCTGTGTTCTGGAAAGGCGCATTGTACCCTGGATGCGGCAGGTAAGAGTCCTGTCCAGGTGCTCTGCCCGCTTTTCCTTTCAGGCTTCTGTATCATCTATTTTTCCCCTGTAGAATGTGCCCCTGACAGCCACCCCCTAACCCTACCCAATTTGTCTTTACGTGTCTGACCATCAAGGCTCTTCTGGGTCATATTTAATTCATGCTGATATTTCCCCTTCCTCCCCTCTTTAGTCCTCACTATTTTTGCTTTGGTCATGTTATGCCTTATTCTATAAGGCTTTAAAAAATTTTTTTATGGTGGCAGGGGAGAATATAATTATGCTTTGTGCTTTTTATCTTCCACTCAATAAATGCTTGGTAAATATTTGTTTTATTGAACGTATGAGCCTATTCTAGCTATATTGTGCTTGAACAAAAATCTTAACTGCCTTGTAAGTTAACTGCTAAGAATTTGTCAGAAGTGCAGACATAACATCAAGAACTTGTCATGGATAGTACAAAAAGGTCTCTAAGGGCTTGATGGAGGCCTGTAAATTGACTTCCTATGAAAGAGAGTGTAAGAAGTGAAAATGTAAAGCATGACTGGAGAGCCAGAGTGATGAAGCCAGGGTCCCTTTCTCCAGATCCTTTGTAACAGTGTTATGTGATCTCTTCTAGAAGATCGTTCTGAAAGATAATGCCAACTCGGAACCTAGGAAACCACCTAGTGGGTTTCTGCAGCTTAGGTGTTTCAAATCCTCATCAGCACGTTTGTTTTCTCTGCCTCAGTTTGCTTACAATGATGTTCTCAGTAGCTATAACTGCTGTCTGTCTTTGAATACTTAAGCATTTTTTTTAGATGACAGGGATATATGTGCATTTTTATTTTACCAAGTGTTAGAATTTTGACTCTGCTTTTGTGGGCTCTGGGTTAGCTACGTGGTTGTTGTAAAATGATTAGCAGGGAAAACCGTGTGTGTCTGTGTGTGTGTGTGTGTGTGTGTGTGTGTGTGTGTGTGTGTGTGTGTGTGTATTTTAAGTTTCTTTTGTTGTCAGAGGACTTCGAATTTTATTTTATATGGTAATTCTGTCAATTTACTTTATTCTCCACCCCACATTTATCGAACAGCAAAGTATGAAAGTAATGTGTCCCATAAGCAGCCTTCAGAAGAATTACAACTGCTGTATATCTGAAATTCTTTTTTTTATTTTTTATTTTGAGATGGAGTCTCACTCTATCACCCAGGCCAGAGTACAGTGGTGCGATCTTGCCTCACTGGAACCTCTGCTGCCCAGGTTCAAGCAATTCTCCTGCCTCAGCCTCCTGAGTAGCTGGGATTACAGGCACCTGCCACCGCACCTGGCTAATTTTTGCAGTTTTAGTAGGGACAGGTTTCACCATGTTGGCCAGGCTGGTCTTGAATTCCTGACCTCGTGATCTGCCTGCATCGGCCTCCCAAAGTGCTGGGATTACAGGCGTGAGCTACCGCGCCCGGCTGAACTTTCAATAAGAAGTTTGTGCGTCAGTTTTCAAAAAATTATGATATCAAAAGATAGCTGTGCCCTACATTTGGAAAGATACAAAAACTGAACATACTAGCAGGCAGTTTTGCTTGCTGGTGCTTGAGATAGGGGCACACATTGGTCTCAGTGGAATTATGGAGAAAAATAGATACAGAAAGTTATTTCTAAATAAGACCAAAACATCCTTTTCTTAAGCAGTGACAGGTAAAGAGGTTGTCTTGGCTAACCTTGAATTGTGTTGCCCTTGATTGAGACAGTTTTATGGTGGGGATGGTAGTGGTGATAAACTTGCTGGAAATTTGTCTGCTGATGGTAACCTTTGTGGTAGCTGTCACAGACAACTTCATCCTCACGGGCCTTGAAATTAGTATAAAACTAACAGAATGGAGGAGAAACAAAGGACCTGAATAATCAGATGCTTAGATAATTGTTCTGTGTTTTCATAATCGGTGAAGAAGAACAGTGTTAGGAACACTTAAACATTCCATGGAAGGAACACTGCCTGAATTTATATTGTGATTTTTGAGCATCATTCACTGTTTAAAAACAGGCATATTATAGGTAATATTTTAAAGACAAATAGAAAACTTATCTTTTCAAGATGGATCTAAAACTTAAACTTATCAAAATTACAAAATATAAAGCATACTATTGAAAAATATTAATGCATAGGTTTAAATATTGGTCATCATTTTAGATGTCTTTCAAAATAGATTGTTTCTTAAATATTAAACTGAAAACATTGAACATGTTGTAGAGTTTGTGCTCAAGGTTAAGTTTCCTGGGGTGATGGATATTTTATAATATGGATAACAAAAACTTCTTAAGAAATTTAGAAAATTTTTAGGCAAAACTAGAACATAATACCAATAATTCTACCACTCAGAATGTACCACTGTCAGAATTTTGTATCTTTCCCATCATCTGCTCATCTCTTTTCTCCTTTGCTTGTGTGTGTTCCCTCTCCCTTAAAAAATCAGATTTTTTTTGTAACCTGCTTTTTCACTCAACAATATTGTAGATCCGTGTCATAAGTTACTCATCTACAGTGCCTTCAGTTATTGTGTGCTTTGTGTTGGATGACTATACCATCTAGTCATTCGCGTTTTCTGGTACTGAATACATAGGAGTGAGTGAGTGAGTGTTTGTGTTTGTGTGTGTGTGTGTGTGTGTGTGTGTTTTCTACCTTAACTAATGCTTTAGACATCAATAGGTAGAGCTAAATCTTTGAAACCTTCCCTGTGGTCGCTTTCAGTTCTCATTGCTGAATTGGTTTCTAGAGATGGAACAAATTATATTGTATGGAAAAAAACATTTTTTTGAGACGAAGTCTCACTCTTGTCACCCAGGCTGGAGTGCAATGGCATGATCTTGGCTCACTAAAACCTCCGCCTCCCAGGTTCAAGTGATTCTCCTGCCTCAGCCTCCTGAGTAGTTGGGATTACAGGTGGCTGCCACCATGCCTGGCTAATTGTTCTATTTTTAGTAGAGATGGGGTTTCACCATGTTGGCCAGGCTGTTCTGGAACTCCTGACCTCGGGTGATCCACTCACCTTGGCCTCCCAAAGTGCTGGGATTGCAGGCATGAGCCACCACACCCAGCCTTTTTTTCTTCTAGGTACCAGCTTTTATTTATCAGATTGGTAAAAATGTCAGAAAGTGTGCAATGAAATGGGCATTCTCACAGTCATGGCAGAAAGTATAATTAACTTTGACTTTCTAGAAAGCAGTCTGGCATTCTAGAAACTTGCCTAACCTCTTCCCATTTAGGCAAGATGAATTCTGACTATCCCTAGGTGGCCAATCTTGTCCCTGTGATTCCATATCTCCCAGAAAGAGAGGTCTAGTCTCAGGGAAAACCCAGATTTTCTTGGCTTAGCCCACCTGAGAGCTAATCACTGGAAATGAGGTGGGCGGGTAGAGTCCTTTGGTCAGGTTTTGTGTCAAGAGCGGGATGTGGAAAGATGGGAGAGAGGTAGCAAAACTGGCCTCAATAGAACTGTGTAAGTTAACATAGAATGGCAAAGGAATGTTTCTTCCAAGGAAGAAATTCTAGGGAAGGAAGAAAGTGGAGGGGAAGGCAGCAGTTCTCAAAGTTTTGGGGTCAGGATTCCTTTACACTCTTAAAAGTATATTGAGGGCCCAAGGAGCTTTTCTGTATATAGGTTATATCTATTGGTATTTATCACTAGAAATTAAATCAGAAATATTTAGAATATTCTTTAAAAGCTCACCAAATTTTGTTATAAATGCTTTTATGAAAAGAAAATTTCTAAACCCAAAGTAGTACAATCTTACACCTTTTGCAAATTTCGTTGATGTTTGATACGTCATTTGCATTTCCATTCAATTTATTGTGTGATATTTGCTTGAAAAAATGTGAACAAAGGCCAATCTGATACAGATAGCCATTTTAGATCATTATGGATATTTCTTTTTTTTTTTTTTTTTTTTTTTTGAGATTGGGTCTTTGTCTCCCAGGCTGGAATGCAGTAGTATGATCACGGCTCACTGGAGCCTCAGTGTCTGGGGACTCAGGTGATCCTCCCACCTCAGCCTCCAGAGTAGCTGGGACTACAGATGTGTACTACCCCACCTAGCTAATTGTTTGTATTTTTTGTAGAGACAGAGTTTTGCCATGTTGCCTTGGCTTCTTTTTTGATACTCCATCAAAAATTGATTTTTCTTGAACTTTGGATCTTTTACCCTTGCATGGTATTATAACATCATGCATTGTTCAGTTCAGTTCAAAAATAATGGTTCACTGAGATCTTCTATATGTTGATACATTTGATTGTACAATATCAAAATACACTCATCAATATCACCATCAGTCTCATCAGAATACTTTTGGAAAGCGATGGTGGATATAAGTTTTCTAAAATTCTAATTTTTTGTTCAAAAGCTTGAGTTTTAGTATTAGCAATTTTATTGTTGAAATTTATTATGGCCTGTCTGTTGTTTTCCTTGAAATAACAGAATCTCCTTTTTTGAGAAAATGTCTCCCAAAACCCAAGCTGAAATAACATTTTTTGTCAGCCATCTTTTGGAATAAAAATGATATTCCATTAAAGTGGTTAATTCACTTCATGACTTAGTCTCATGAGGGTTTTTTCTCTGACAGTCTGTAGGTGTGCTCATGTATACTTCCCATTTCATCACTTGAAATATTAAAAAGATATATTCAAGGATTAAGATGTAAATTTTTCACTGCTTCATCATAGACATTGTTTTTATTTTTGAGACGGCCTTGTTCTGTCACCCAGGCTGGAGTGCAGTAGCATGATCACAGCTCACTGTAGCCTCAACCTTCTGGGCTCAATCAATCCTCCTGCCTCAGCCTGCCAAGTAGCTGGGACTGCAGTCATGCAACCACCATGTCCAGCTAATTTTTGTATTTTTAGTAGAGACGGGCTTTCACCGTGTTGGCCAGGCTGCTCTCAAACTCTTGACCTCAGGTGATCTGCCCGCCTTGGCCTTCCAAAGTGCTGGGATTACAGGCGTGAGACACCGTGCCCAGCCCTCCCTTCCTTTTTACACCTTTAAACCTTTCCCGTGCACAGTAGTCATACCATGACTACTAGTAGTTTGGTGTTACTGCCTTTATTTATGCTAAAGTACCAGCATTTTTACCCACCATTGCATCTGCACCCTTACAGCAAATGTCACCATGTTAGTATTCCTGTCAAAACAGTTTGGACCTGGGGGTCTGAGGGCTGCACTTTGGGAACCACTGAAATAGGTACTTAAACCTACTATATATCATATCTTTTCATCTACAAGATTTTTAAAAACTTGATTTCAGTTAATGTTTTTGTAGTTTTTAAAATATGGTTTTGAGGGGTTTCAGTCCAGAGCAGCAACATGTATTCTACTTTGCTTATGCTGAAGTTTACTAGACAAATACTAACCTAATAGAATGAGGTCGTAAATCTAGTTGCATTTTCTTTAGCCAAAAAAAAAACCCAAACTAAAAATTTAAAAATGGTCCATATGGTGTATTCCCAATGTATGCTGAAGAATTTGAAGAAGAAAATGCAATAGTCAGTAAGTGGTATTCTTTAAGAATAGCATTGGGCCAGGCACGGTGGCTCACACCTGTAATCCCAGCACTTTGGGAGGCTGAGGCAGGTGGATCAGGAGATCAGGAGATCGAGACCACCCTGGCTAACACAGTGAAACCCCGTCTCTACTAAAAAACAAAAAATAAGCCGGACGTGGTGGCAGGTGCCTATAGTCCCAGCTACTCTGGAGGCTAATGCAGGAGAATGGCATGAACCCAGGAGGTGGAGCTTGCCGTGATCTGAGATCGTGCCACTGCATCCAGCCTGGGTGACAGAGCGAGACTCTGTCTCAAAAACAAAACGAAACAAAAAGAATAGGATTCATTCTGAAGAGTTTCTTTTAGCCTGTAAAAAGATTTGGGACACTGTAAGAGAGGAATGAGAAGAATGAGAATAGTGAAATAAATCATTATTGAAGAGATAGACTGTTAATGATGTCCTCCTTCAATACAACTTGTTTTTCTTTTCCTTTTTATTTTATTTACTTATTTTTTTTTTTTTGAGATGGAGTCTTGCTCTGTCACCAGGCTGGAGTGCAGTGGCGCATCTCAGCTCACTGAAACCTCTGCCTCCCGGGTTCAAGCGATTCCGCTGCCTCAGCCTCTTGAGTGGCTGGGACTATAGGCATGAGCCACCATGCCTGGCTAGTTGTTTTTATTTTGGTAGAGACAGGGTTTCACCATGTTAGCCAGGATGTCTCAATCTCCTGCCTCGTGATCCACCCACCTTAGTCTCCCAAAGTGCCCAGATTGCAGGCGTGAGCCACCGCACCCGGCCAACTTGTTTTTCTGGTTTTCCGTGGTTTTCATGGTTTTCTGGTTTTCTTGGTTTTCCTTGACTTGAACCTAGTTCTTCTGAAGCTAATATATAATAACAATTGCTTTTCGCCAATTTCTAATAGAAGACAGTACAATGCAACAGAGTAAATGTCTATTAGTGGGTGAAAGTGCATAATGCTTAGTTCATTAGCTTTTTAAAAAATCACATGTAATTGTGTCCCAAAAATATATGTATAATGCATTTATTCGTATTACTTGGTTTGTGTGATAGAATAAAATGTACGAATTTTATGGTGTTTGAATTAGTTATCTATTGCTCTGTAACAAATTGAGCAGCTTAAAACAACAAACATTATCTCACAGTTTCTGTGGGTCAGGATTCTGTCCAGTTTACCTTGGGTTCACTGGCTTGGCCTCTCACCAGGCAGTGAAGGTGTTGGTGGTGGCTGTGATCATCCCAAGGCAGGATAGGGAGAGAATCTGTCTCCAAGCTCAGGTTGGCAGGATTCATCTCAGAGGCTGCTGGACTGGGCCTCCGTTTCTAGATGGCTATTGGTCAGAGGCCTTTTACAATACCTTGTCACGTGGGCCTCTCCATAGGGCACCTCATCACATGGCAACTGGCTTCCATCAGAGGGAGCAATGGAAAGAGCAGGAGAAGGGTGACCAAGGCAGGCATCGTAGTCTCCTTGTAGCCTCACCTCAGAAGTGATGTTATTACTTTTGCTGTATTCTCTTTGTTAGAAGTGAGTCACTAGGTCCAGGGGTGGAATTTTACAAGGGTGTGAATGGCAGGAGGTGAGGGTGATCAGGGCCGTTTAGAGGCTGCCTACCAGTGTTGAAGAAAATTGTTGACTTCTATGAGCTGTAGCAGCAGACAGTGCTATGCAAGGAGAATGGCTGTCTCAGAAGTCCAGCTCCTCACATGGGTTTAAACGTGTTGCCTTTTCCCCCATACATTTTGTTTAAATCCATGGTCATCTTGCCATTTAGTGGTGTGGTTTAATTGCATATTTGGGTTAGTCTGTATGTAAACATTTAACATAGGTGTCTCTGGGTTAAACAGGAATCCTATTCATCTTCTTCACCGATATGGTTTGTGGACTCTGATGAGCCAAATCTGACATCAGTTTTGGAATGTCTAGAAGATGCTAAGAACAACAATTCGGTGAGGAAAGAAGCCAAGCTGTTTTCTCTTTTCCTTATAAACATTATATTTAGAAATTAAATGTTAAGAGATAATATGATAAAAAACATGATTAATAACTATAAACTTAGAGGAATTAAAGTCTGGGTATTTTAAGTCCTCCAAATCTTATTTACTACCTGGTTTCTCTTTATTATTTCCCACATGTATAACCTTAGTTTAGATTAGCAATTTGGGATCTCTTTTTCCCTGAATTCTAACCATTAAGCCAAGCAAGCATTTTGGGTGGAGACCACTAGCCAAGGTGGGAAGTAGAAAGAAGACCAAGGTGGAAGTGAAGGGAGAGATGGGGAGAATGACACCAAAACTACTGGGAGGGAATTGCCTTTTCTTTCAAGGGTCTGTAAGTCTGCAGTAAAAGTCAAAGGTATTCAAATAGGAAGTTTTGTTTTTGTTCTTAGTTTATAAAGAAATATAACTTTCCATGTTGGAAAAATTTTTAAAACTTTTTTTATTATAAAACTCACAAGCAACCATTGTTGAGAAAATTAGTAAAGTACAGAAAAGCAAAAAGAAAAAAATTAGTCTCCCATAAATTCTCTACCTAATATAACCACTATTGACAGTTGACATGATGGCCATTTTCTACCAGTATATATTTTTTCTTTGCTAGTAAAATACATAACCCTTATACATATGTTTAAATAGTTGAGGTCGTATTCTCTATAGTTTTATATTCTTTTCTTTTTTTTTTTTTTTGAGACAGTCTTGCTCTGTCACCCAGACTGGAGTGCAGTGGCATAATCTCGGCTCACTGTAAGCTCCCCCTCCCAGGTTCACACCATTCTACTGCCTCAGCCTCCCCAGTAGCTGGGACTACAGGTGCCCACCACCATGCCTGGCTAATTTTTTGTATTTTTTAGTAGAGATGGGGTTTCACCATGTTAGCCACGATGGTCTCAATCTCCTGACCTCGTGATCCTCCCGCCTCAGCCTCCCAAAGTGTTGGGATTACAGGCGTGAGCCACTGTGCCCAGCCCTTTTATATTCTTTTAAAAAGTATTTACTGTATTTTCCCATGATGTCGTAGTCTATATAGAAAAATAACAATCATTATTTTCAGTTGACATGATTGTTTACCTAAAAATATCCAAAGGAACCAACTGAAAAAAACAATTTTTAAGATTACTGGTTAAAAGCTCTTTTATATAAAAATCAATAGCCTTCCTAAATGTTATTTATAATCACATAGAAGATATAGTGATGAAGTATTTTTTCAGGTATTTCAGCAAAAATTAAATACCTAGGAATAAACTTAGATGTGCAGGACTTTTATCAAGGACAGGACAAAATTTTGCTGAGTGGAATGAAAGATTTGCATTCTATGTTCCTGGATGAGCAGATTTCATGTTATAAATATGTTAGTTATCACCATGTCTTCATATTAATTTGTAAATGTAATTTCTGCTGGGCACAGTGGCTCATACCTGTAATCCCAAAAGTTTGGAAAGCTGAGGCAGGTAGATGACAATTAGCTGGGTGTCTGTGGCACACACTTGTAGTTCCAACTACTTATGAGGCTGAGGTGGGAGGATCACTTGAGCCTGGGAGGCAGAGGTTGCAGTGAGCCGAGATCATGCCTGTGAACTCCAGCCTAGGTGACAGAGTGAGACCCTGTCTCAAAAAAAAAAAAAAAAAAAAAAGCAGAAAAAAAGTGTGTGTGTGTGTGTGTGTGTGTGTATATATATATATATGTATATACATTTCATATTATATATATATTTATATATAAATTGTATATATACATTTCATATTATATATATATATAAATTGTATATATACATTTTATATCATATATAGTGTGTATATATATATACACAAATTTCAGCACAAATTCCAGCAGATTTATTTTTGACACTTGACAAAAACGACTCTAAAGTTAGTTTAGAAGAATAAATAATAAAAATTAATAAAGTATAGACTCTTTCAACCAGATATTAAATAAAATATTGTGGACTAGCCCTGGGCCAGACAGATAAAGTCAATGGAAGTTTAGAACCAGAGTCATGCAAATGAGAATTTAGTGTAAGGAAGAGGTGGTATTTTAACTTAATACTGAAAAGAGAGATTATTCTGTAAATGGTTTTAGGAGAACTATTTGAGGAAGTCTGAGTCTTAACTCCAATTTTTGTCAAAATAAGTTACAGTTGGTTTAAACACATCTATTCTTAAAAATTAGAACAGAAGAATATTGGTTTGAAGATATTTTAAGAGTTCAGGCTGCAGCTGGGCACAGTGGTTCATGCCTGTAATCCCAGCACTTTGCGAGGCCAAGGTGGGAGGATTGCTTGAGCCCAGGAGTTTGAGATCAGCCTGGGAAACATAGCAAGACTCTTTCTCTCTCTCTCTCTCTCTCGATATACATATACATATAAATATACATATACATGTAAATATACATATACAAATAGAAAAAAAAAGAGTTAAGTTTTGTGTGGAGAGCCATGAAGATAAGAGGTAAAAATTAAAGGCTTGATGGACACATGTTTACATCTCCAGCAAGGGGGTTGATGGGAAAGACTGATAGACATAGCTCCATTACTGCTACCTCCTTTTAGGAAGTTGCATCTGAACATCTAAAGATACCAGTTTTATAATAGCAGAAATGAGTTATTTTTCAGTGTCTAAAACATTACATGACATACATACATGCATACATACATAAGTATGTTCATAAAGTTAAATGAAGTAGGATATAAAACTGGGCCTAGTGTTTAAAAAAGTAAATATATTTACATGAAGGAGAAAACAACTCACCTCCCACTCTTAGAGCCTCTGCCAGTTTATCATAGCCTAGTTTCTTGAGAGAATAAGCTACATGTCTTCACCTTTTTTCACTGAGCTCATTATAATCTGGATTCTGCCTTCATCGTTGCACTAAAATTTATCTCCTAGTTGTCAAATCCAGTGGCTCCCCTCTTAGTCCCCAAATTGACCCCTCTGCAGTATTTTGATACTGTTGATTGTTCCTTTGTTGAAACATTCCTCCATTCTTAATGTCCACCAATAAAGAGTTGGTTAAATAAAAATTATAGTGTACAATTTTATAATAGAATATTCTGTTGTTCTGTTGTGGACCAAAAAATGCAGCCAGTCTTTCCATAAGAGCATGTGCAAACTTCTAAGATATATTAAGTAAAAAAGTAAGGCATAAAATATTGTGTATAATCTGACCCCTTTAGTACACAGTGTAAAAACATCTGTGTCTGTGCTTCTTTATACTTACTTTTTTCTCCCCTGGTGGATAAAGGAAACTGTGAATAGTACAACACAATTAAAAAAAAAACTGTGTGTCTGCTGCACCAGGACCTGTGATAATTGGGTATAAAAGACAAAAAAGGCATGTCTCTGTCCTCTGGGAAGGGACATGATAATCGAATGAGACTTCTATCGGATTCTTTTCTCCTGTTTTGATCTTATCACCCTGCCTTGGTCTCCTCCGATCTCTTCTTCCTTGTCCTACTTCTTTCTTCTCTTCTCATTCTGTGCTTTCTCTGAGTAATCTTTGACTCCCATTACTTAAGTCATGACCTGTGTTCCAGGGACTCCTAAATTTGTATTCATCTCCGGAGTTTCAAACCCATATATCTGTCTGCATATCATATATGTTAGGGAATCTCGCTTGGAGTGACATGGGTGTTCAAAATGATGATATTTAAATTTTCACGTATCCATCTCCTAGCACTCTATCTAGTCACATATGCCTAAACCTGGGAACTGTCTTAATATTCTTTTATATACAACTGTTCTCTGACCGCCCCCCCAAACTAGTAAATTTCTAAGACCTGTCCTTCTGAATGTCTCTTACAATTTTCCCTGTGATCTCAGTTTCTTCCTCCCATCCCTCAAACTTTTTGTTTTGCAGTGTCTTCCTCATAATAGTAATTTTTAATTTAAAAAATTCTGTTGTAGCCCTTTCTGTGAGATCTCCTTCTCTTCCAAAGCCTTTGGCTCCTCTGTGCCCATTTTGGCAGGTTGTTCTTCGGGTTGGCTGTGCACATGTCATCTTGAGGTTTTTCTCATCTGCTCGCCTAGAGTACATCCATTGTTTCCTGGATCCCATGTCATCTTTCTTGGCTTTTCCCTTTGTCATTTTACCTGACTATGTCCTCAAGTAAAACCCTGAGAAAGCATGGAGTGGTATATTTTCTGATCTCTGGCTTCTGAAAAAATACAATCCAGTGTTTGGGTTTTGGAGCCAGTCTGAGATAGATTTGAATCTTGGTTCTACTACTTATTAGCTGTATGCCCTTGGGCAGATTCCCTAATTGCTCTATGCATCAATTTCCATTTGCAAAATGGGGGAACCGGTAATAGTATTAGTACCTATGTTTCTAGGGAGCTATGAGGATTAAATGAGTTGGTACATGTAAACCATTTAGAACAGTGCCTGGTGCTTAGCCCATCCCCATCACTATTCACTTTTGTCATAGTCTACCCTCACACTTGATTGATAGTTTGGTTGATTATGTATTTCTAGGTTGAGGATAATTTTACCTTAGAATTTCAAAGTCTGTGCTGTTGTCTTCTAACCAGTCATGGTGGTGAAGCCTCATGCCATCCTGAGTTTCACTCATTCATGCATGACTTTCTCTCTGGAAGCTTTTAGGAGTTTGTCTTTTCCTTGGTGAGCTGAAATAGCACAACATTGTACTTAGTGTGTGTCTTTTTTCATTCACTGTGCTGGGTATACCGAATGGATAGGCCTATGGATCGGCTCTTTCAAAGTTGGAATCTTGAATCTTGTCATATTTTTGTTAACTTTCTCTTTTCCACTTTATTTGTTCATTCTGAAGTGTCTGTTAATTGGATTTTAGTCCTCTTGTCTTGAGACTTGTATGTCACATTATTTCTAATTTTTAAAAAAATTTTAAGTTCTGGAATATTTTTCTTATATTTTGACTTTTAGGAAATTTTATTTGGACAATCAACGTTAAGTTTTGTTTTGGTTATTTATTGTTGCTTAACCAATTTTCCCAAAACTTAATGGCATAAAACTATACATTTGTCTACCTGTCACTACTGTATGGGTTAACTGAGGATAGCTGGACAGTTTTTCTGCTGGTCTCGTTTGGCATCTCTCACTGTGCGGTTAGATGGTGTCAGGCACTGGTCATCTGGATGCTCAGCTGCAGTGGAATGTCTGAGACGGCTTCTTCACCCACAGGTCACCTGCTTTGGTGTTTCTTCATGTGGCCTTCCTCTCTGGCCTCATCATATGGCTTCTCTTTCCCCGAGAGATTAGTCAGTACTTATTTTGGCTACTAGAAGCGCAGATGTGGAGCTGCCAGGTGTTCTTAAGGCTTAGACCTGGAACAGGTCCAGTGTCATTTCTACCTAATTCTGTAGGTTAAAGTGAATCTTGGGGCCAACCCAGATTCACTGTGGGATGGGACTGTCCAAGGACATGATGCTGGGAGGTGTGGCTCACTGGGGACCAACTCCCAAGATGAACCCTGAGTTCTAAGAACTTTTTCTTCTCTGATTATTCCTTATTCATATTCTATTTTTGTTTTATTCATGTAATATATTCACAAGTGTCTTTATGAAGTGATTTGGATACTCTTTTGTCTTCTCCCTAGCATCTCTTTGTTCTTTAATAAATTTTTTTCTTAGTTTATTTTGGTCTTATTTTTCTTTTTAAAACCTTTCCTTAAATATCTATTCTATGTTGCTTATCATTTGTAGTCTTTTTTTTTTTTTTTTTTTTTGAGACGGAGTTTTGCACTTGTTACCCAGGATGGAGTGCAGTGGTGTGATCTCGGCTCACCACAACCTCCTGGGTTCAAGTGATCCTCCTGCCTCAGCCTCCTGAGTAGCTGGGTTTACAGGCATGTGCCACCATGCCCGGCTAATTTTTGTATTTTTAGTAGAGACAGGGTTTCTCCATGTTAGTCAGGCTGGTTTTGAATTCCTGACCTCAGGTGATCCACCCACCTTGGCCTTCTAAAGTGCTGGGATTAAAGGCATGAGCCACCGTGCCCAGCCTGTATGTTCTTTTTAATTCCCTTTTTTGTTCATTCATATTTGAGAGAGGTACTAAAAGACTGGGAGGCTGGACGTGGTGGCTCATACCTACAATTTCAGTGCTTTGGGAGACTGACGTGGGAGGATCACTTGAGCCCAGGAGCTTAAGACTAGTTGGGGCAACATAGTGAGACCCCACCTTCACAAAAAATAAATTTAAAAAATAGCCAGGTCTGGTGACACCAACCCGTAGTCCCAGCACTTGGCAGGCTGAGGCAGGAGGATCACTTGAGCCTGGGATGTTGAGGCTGAAGTGGGCTGTGATCATCCTGCTGCATTCCTGCATTCCAGCCTGGGTGAAAGAGCAAGACCCTGTCTCAAAAACATAAATAAATAAATAAATATATAAAAAAATAAATAAAAATAGAAATAAAAAATTGGGAGTTCTTCATGGCCAAGACTTGCCAACTGATAGCTTTTAGGGGGAATGTATGCTGATTCCTAATTGTCATCCTCTACCCCCCTATCTTATCTCCCAGTGCAATCATAAATGATGGCTGGAACTACTCCATTTCTCTGGAGGTGAAATCTACATTCTCTTGTCTGAGGTAGATATGTTTGCTTGGGTTCTGCTTAAGGAGATGGGGGAGAGCAGTGTGTTTCAGGGCCTGGAAAATGTGTTCTCTATATAGGCTTTTGGTTAATCTCTGTTTTCAGTCTTGCCTGTCAGTCCCACTCTCGGGGGTACCTGGTGTCTGAGTCTAGAACCTTTCCAGGTTGCTGTGGGACAAATTAGCTTCCTTGTTATCGGTGTCCCCCTGACCTCCACTTTGCTTTGCTTTGCTCCATTAATTAACCATTTTCCATTTACTGTCATTTTCTAATGGAGGTGAATTCTCTTCTGTGGGTAACCCCATTTCTTTTTTTTGTAATTGTGTGTTTATATATTGTTTATTCTTCACTGTATTTCTAGTGGAGCCTCAGGACAAAGAGCAGATGGTGGAAATATGTGTTCAGTGTTCAGTTTTTTTCTGTAAGACATCTGCAACTTGTGTTTTTCACTGAATATCACGTGGACTTAATGCATATAGAGCTACCTTGTTTTTCATGATTGTGCCTACAATTCTATGGAGAAATATAATTTGTGAATTACCTGATGAAATTTTCCTAATTTCGAATCATCCTTGCATTCCTATAATAAACACTGTTAGAATGGCTATGGTAATATTTTATTTTTGCATTTTTATTTCTGTATTAAATAAGATTATAGTTTTGTTTGTTTCCTTTCAGTTTCGTATTTCATTTCAGTATCAACGGTGTGCAGGGCTAACTCGGGAAGCTTTACATCTTTTTCCTAAGACCTAGGATGTAGATCTAGTTTACACAGTAGTTTTCAACTGCAGGAATATTTTGCCTCCCATGGGACATTTGGAAATATCTGGAGACATTTTTGTGGTCACAACTGGTCACGGTCGGGAGGTCTTATTGGCATTCCGTGGGTAGAGGGGATGTTACTAAATGTCCCACAACACACCAGGAGAACCCTCACAAAGAATTGTCTGGCCCAAGATATCAATATTGCTGAGGCTGACAAACCCTGGTTTAAATAAATGTCCAATTTGGAGGATGAGTCTGTCTTTTTCCTTCTTCTGCGTATTGGTCTCCAGATTTTCCATTTCTTCAGTTAGTTTTCGTAACTGTAGATTCTTAAAAGAAATGAACACTTCTCCCATACTTCTAAGGTGTTGTAAAGATGTGTAAAGTTTTCACTTTTTGCATCATATTCACATGTGGCTATATGCCCTTTTCTCTTCAAAGGTTTCTTTATCTTGATCACTTATCAGAGGCGTGACTGTTTCATTATCTTAGGCTTTTGAAAGAATCCTCCTTTAGTTTTATTTTTTAAATTTAGTGAGTTTTTTTCTCACATTTTCCTTATGTCTTAATTATTTCCCCTTTTTGTTTATTTTGCTTTTTCTAGTTTAGTGGATCAATGTAATTTAAATTGCTTTTTAAACAAACCTGTAATGGTATACATTTTCTTTGGGTGCTGTTTGACTTTATTGCACAAGTTTTTTAAATTTATTTTTTATTATACTTTAAGTTTTAGGGTACATATGCACAACGTGCAGGTTTGTTACTTATGTATACGTGTGTCATTTTGATGTGCTGCACCCATTAACTCTTCATTTAAAATTAGGTATATCTCCTAATGCTATCCCTCCCCACTCCCCCCACCCCACAACAGGCCCCAGTGTGTGATGTTCCCTTTCCTGTGTCCATGTGTTCTCATTGTTCAATTCCCACCTATGAGTGAGAATATGCGGTGTTTGGTTTTTTGTCCTTGCGATAGTTTGCTGAGAATGATGCTTTCTAACTTCATCCATGTCCCTACAAAGGACATGAACTCATCATTTTTTATGGCTGCATAGTATTCCATGGTGTGTATGTGCCACATTTTCTTAATCCACTCTATCATTGTTGGACATTTGGGTTGGCTCCAAGTCTTTGCTATCACGAATAGCGCTGCAATAAACATACGTGTGCATGTGTCTTTATAGCAGCATGTTTTATAATCCTCTAGGTATATACCCAGTAATGGGATGGCTGGGTCAAATGGTATTTCTAGTTCTAGATCCCTGAGGAATCACCACACTGACTTCCACAATGGTTGAACTAGTTTACAGCCCCACCAACAATGTAAAAGCATTCCTATTTCTCCAAATCCTCTCCAGCACCTGTTGTTTCCTGACTTTTTAATGATTGCCATTCTAACTGGTGTGAGATTGTATCTCATTGTGGTTTTCATTTGCATTTCTCTGATGGCCAATGATGATGAGCATTTTTTCATGTGTCTTTTGGCTGCATAAATGTCTTCTTTTGAGAAGTGTCTGTTCAAATCCTTTGCCCACTTGTTGATGGGGTTGTTTGTTTGTTTCTTGTACATTTGTTTGAGTTCTTTGTAGATTCTGGATATTAGCCCTTTGTCAGATGAGTAGATTGCAAAAATTTTCTCCCATTCTGTAGGTTGCCTGTTCACTCTGATGGTAGTTTCTTGTGCTGTGCAGAAGCTCTTTAGTTTAATTAGATCCCATGTGTCAATTTTGGCTTTTGTTGCCATTGCTTTTGGTGTTTTAGACATGAAGTCCTTGCCCATGCCTATGTCCTGAATGGTATTGCCTAGGTTTTCTTCTAGGGTTTTTATGGTTTTAGGTCTAACATTTAAGTCTTTAATCCAACTTGAACTAATTTTTGTCTAAGGTATAAGGAAGGGATCCAGTTTCAGCTTTCTACATATGGCTAGCCAGTTTTCCCAGCACCATTTCTTAAATAGGGAATCCTTTCCCCATTTCTTGTTTTTGTCAAGTTTGTCAAAGATCAGATAGTTGTAGATAAGTGGCATTATTTCTGAGGGCTCCATTCTGTTCCATTGGTCTATATCTCTGTTTTGGTACCAGTACCATGCTGTTTTGGTTACTGTAGCCTTGTAGTATAGTTTGAAGTCACATAGTGTGATGCCTCCAGCTTTGTTCTTTTGGCTTAGGATTGACTTGGCGATGCAGGCTCTTTTTTGGTTCCATATGAACTTTAAAGTAGTTTTTTCCAATTCTGTGAAGAAAGTCATTGGTAGCTTGATGGGGATGGCATTGAATCTATAAATTACCTTGGGCAGTATAGCCATTTTCATGATATTGATTCTTCTTACCCATGAGCATGGAATGTTCTTCCATTTGTTTGTATCCTCTTTTATTTCATTGAGCAGTGGTTTGTAGTTCTCCTTGAAGAGGTCCTTCACATCCCTTGTAAGTTGGATTCCTGGGTATTTTATACTCTTTGAAGCAATTGTGAATGGGAGTTCACTCATGATTTGGCTCTCTGTTTGTCTTTTATTGGTGTAAAAGAATGCTTGTGTTTTTTGCACATTGGTTTTGTATCCTGAGAGTTTGCTGAAGTTGCCTATCAGCTTAAGGAGATTTTGGGCTGAGACAATGGGGTTTTCTAAATATACAATCATGTCATCTGCAAACAGGGACAATTTGACTTCCTCTTTTCCTAATTGAATACCCTTTATTTCCTTCTCCTGCCTGATTGCCCTGGCCAGAACTTCCAACACTATGTTGAATAGGAGTGGTGAGAGAGGGCATCCCTGTCTTGTGCCAGTTTTCACAGGGAATACTTCCCGTTTTTGCCCATTCAGTATGATATTGGCTGTGGGTTTGTCATAGATAGCTCTTATTATTTTGAAATACGTCCCATCAATACCTAATTTATTGAGAGTTTTTAGCATGAAGGGTTGTTGAATTGTGTCGAAGGCTTTTTCTGCATCTATTGAGATAATCATGTTGTTTTTGTCATTGGTTCTGTTTATATGCTGGATTACGTTTATTGATTTGCGTATGTTGAACCAGCCTTGCATCCCAGGGATTAAGGCCACTTGATCATGGTGGATAAGCTTTTTGATGTGCTGCTGGACTCAGTTTGCCAGTATTTTATTGAGGATTTTTGCATCAATATTCATCAAGGATATTGGTCTAAAATTCTCTTTTTTTGTTGTGTCTCTGCCAGGCTTTGATATCAGAATGATGCTGGCCTCATAAAATGAGTTAAGGAGGATTCCCTCTTTTTCTGTTGATTGGAATAGTTTCAGAAGGAATGGTACCAGCTCCTTCTTGTACCTCAGGTAGAATTCGGCTTTGAATCCGTCTGGTCCTGGACTTTTTTTGGTTGGTAAGCTATTAATTATTGCCTCAATTTCAGAGCCTGTTATTGGTCTATTCTGAGATTCAACTTCTTCCTGGTTTAGTCTTGGGAGGGTGTATGTGTCCAGGAATTTATCCATTTCTTCTAGGTTTTCTAGTTTATTTGCATAGAGATGTTTATAGTATTCTCTGATGGTAGTTTGTATTTCTGTGGGATCGGTGGTGATATCCCCTTTATCATTTTTTATTGCGTCTATTTGATTCTTCTCTCTTTTCTTCTTTATTAGTCTTGCTAGCAGTCTATCAATTTTGTTGATCTTTTCCAAAAACCAGCTCCTGGATTCATTGATTTTTTGAAGGGTTTTTTTGTGTCTCTATTTCCTTCAGTTCTGCTCTGATCTTACTTATTTCTTGACTTCTGCTAGCTTTTGAATGTGTTTGCTCTTGCTTCTCTAGTTCTTTTAATTGTGATGTGAGGGTGTCAATTTTAGATCTTTCCTGCTTTCTCTTGTGGGCATTTAGTGCTATAAATTTCCCTCTACACACTGCTTTGAATGTGTCCCAGAGATTCTGGTATGTTTTGTCTTTGTTCTTGTTGGTTTCAAAGAACATCTTTATTTCTGCCTTCATTTCGTTATGTACCCAGTAGTCATTCAGGAGCAGGTTGTTTAGTTTCCATGTAGTTGAGTGGTTTTGAGTGAGTTTCTTAATCCTGAGTTCTAGTTTGATTGCACTGTGGTCTGAGAGACAGTTTGTTACAATTTCTATTCCTTTACATTTGCTGAGGAGTGCTTTACTTCCAACTATGTGGTCAACTTTGGAGTACGTGTGGTGCTGAAAAGAATGTATATTCTGTTGATTTGGGGTGGAGAGTTCTGTAGATGTCTATTAGGTCCACTTGGTGCAGAGCTGAGTTCAGTTCCTGGATATCCTTGTTAACTTTCTGTCTCATTGATCTGTCTAATGTTGACAGTGGGGTGTTAAAGTCTCCCATTATTATTGTATGGGGGTCTAAGTCTCTTTGTAGGTCTCTAAGGACTTGCTTTATGAATCTGGGTGTTCCTGTATTGGGTGCATATATATTTAGGATAGTTAGCTCTTCTTGTTGAATTGATTCCTTTACCATTATGTAGTGGCCTTCTTTGTCTCTTTTGATCTTTGTTGGTTTAAAGTCTGTTTTATCAGAGACTAGGATTGCAACTCCTGCCTTTTTTTTGTTTTCCATTTGTTTGGTAGATCTTCCTCCATCCCTTTATTTTGAGCGTATGTGTGTCTCTGCATGTTAGATGGGTTTCCTGAATGCAGCACACTGATGGGTCTTGACTCTTTATCCAATTTGCCAGTCTGTGTCTTTTAATTGGGGCATTTAGCCCATTTACATTTAAGGTTAATATTGTTATGTGTGAATTTGATCCTGTCATTATGATGTTAGCTGGTTATTTTGCCCATTAGTTGATGCAGTTTCTTCCTAGCCTCGATGGTCTTTACAATTTGGCATGTTTTTGCATTGGCTGGTACCAGTTGTTCCTTTCTATGTTTAGTGCTTCCTTCAGGAGCTCTTTTAGGGCAGGCCTGGTGGTGACAGAATCTCTCAGCATTTGCTTGTCTGTAAAGTATTTTATTTCTCCTTCATGTATGAAGCTTAATTTGGCTGGATATGAAATTCTGGGTTGAAAATTCTTTTCTTTAAGAATGTTGAATATTGGCCCCCACTCTCTTCTGGCTTGTAGAGTTTCTGCAGAGAGATCAGCTGTTAGTCTGATGGGCTTCCCTTTGTGGGTAACCCAACCTTTCTCTCTGACTGCCCTTAACATTTTTTCCTTCATTTTAACTTTGGTGAATCTGACAATTATGTGTCTTGGAATTGCTCTTCTTGAGGAGTATCTTTGTGGCATCCTCTGTATTTCCTGAATTTGAATGTTAGCCTGCCTTGCTAGATTGGGGAAGTTCTCCTGGATAATATCCTGCAGAGTGTTTTCCAACTTGCCTCCATTCTCACCGTCACTTTCAGGTACACCAATCAGATGTAGATTTGGTCTTTTCACATAGTCCCATATTTCTTGGAGGCTTTGTTCATTTCTTTTTATTCTTTTTTCCCTAAACTTCTCTTCTCACTTCATTTCATTCATTTGATCTTCAGTCACTGATACCTTTTCTTCCAGTTGATTGAATTGGCTACTGAGGCTTGTGCATTCATCACGTAGTTCTCATGCCAGGGTTTTCAGCTGCATCAGGTCCTTTAAGGACTTCTCTACATTGGTTATTCTAGTTATCCGTTTGTCTAATTTTTTTTCAAAGTTTTTAACTTCTTTGCCATTGGTTCGAACTTCCTCCTTTAGCTCGGAGTAGTTTGATCTTCTGAAGCCTTCCTCTCTCACCTCGTCAAAGTCATTCTCCACCCAGCTTTGTTCCATTGCTGGTGAGGAGCTACATTCCTTTGGAGGAGAAGAGGCGCTCTGATTTTTGGAGTTTCCGGTTTTTCTGCTCTGTTTTTTCCCCATCTTTGTGGTTTTATCTACCTTTGGTCTTTGATGATGGTGACGTACAGATGGGTTTTTGGTGTAGATGTCCTTTTCTGTTTGTTAGTTTTCCTTCTAACAGTCAGGACCCTCAGCTGCAGGTCTGTTGGAGTTTACTGGAGGTCCACTTCAGACCCTGTTTGCCTGGGTGTCAGCAGCGTTGGCTGCAGAACAGCGGATATTGGTGAACTGCAAATGCTGCTGCCTGATTGTTCCTCTGGAAGTTTTGTCTCAGAGGAGTACCTGGCAGTATGAGGTGTCAGTCTGCCCCTACTGGGGGGTGCCTCCCAGTTAGGCTAATCTGAGAACAATAAAACAATTTGAAACAAAAATGTCTCCAGGTCTCTTAAAAGGAAGCTGGGGCAGCTTTCTGTAGCGCACTTCCCAAAAATGGGCTGATTTACCTCAAGAGGCAGGGATTCTAGCCTACATGGGATACATACAGGAGAAAAAAATCAGAAAAAGAAAAGAGATTTAAATTAAAAAATGAAAATAACAGTTCTCCCTCATTATAAAGGAAATCATTCTTTTTGTAATAATTTAGATGACAAATATTAAGAAAAATCTTAAATTTGCCACTCAAAACATTCTGGTTTGTTGCTTTTTATATGTTTTTCTGCACATAAACCTTTTAAAAAGTAGAATCACAATATGTAGTCTTTTGTCACTTACTATATTTTGGGCATATTTCTGTGGCAGTAAATATATCCTGGCATCATCATTTTTAATAGCTGGATGTATATTAAGTTAATCACTGCCACCCCAGAGGTGAATTTTCTTATACATTCATTTTAATGGGCTCGAGCAAACATTTTTGGACTGAATTCATAGAAGTAGAATTTCTGGAGGAAAATAATTTTTAGGGTTTTTAATAGAAATTTTCAAATCATTCTCCAGGAAAAGTGACTCCGGTTATACTCCCACCAACAAGGACAGAGCTCCAGGTTCCCCTTTCCATTTGTCATCTTTCCTGCCTTTATACAGAAAATCTCATTGTTTTCATGACATTTCTTCGATTTCTTGTGCTTTTGAATCTTTGTATATGCCATTGGCCATTTTTATTCTTGTGAGAAGTGCCAGTTTCTCCATTGCCCATTTTGGTTGAAAATCATTTGTTTTTTATCTCAGTAATTTTAAAGATTTCTTTATAGTCTAAGGATACAAGCCTTTTATCTGTCATTGAGGTGACAAAACTTTCTCCCAGTAAGTAATTTGTCATTTCATTTTTTCTTCCTTCTTTTCTTTTTCCTTTCCTCTCCCTTTCTTTCTTTTTCTTTCTTTTTCTTTTCCTTGTTTCTTTCTTCTTCCTTCCTTGCTTTCCTTTTCTTTCTTGCTTTCTATTCTTGCTTTCTTTTCTTTTCTCTCCATCCCTCTTTCTCTTTCTTCTTTCTTTCCTCTTTCTTTCTTTCCCTCTCTTTCTTCCTTTCCTTTCTTTCTCTTTCTTTGTTCCCTCCCTCCCTCCTTCCTTCCTTTTTTTTCTTTCTTTCACTAGCCAAGCTCCAAAGTCACACATCACTTAATTTTTATCCTGCCAAATTTGAAAGCCTTTTAACTTCGTGATTTTAGTGTAAACAGGAGCAGGAGAAAATATAATTATCTAAGTCTCGCTGTGTCACCCAGACTGGAGTGCAGTGCCATAATCATAGCTACTGCAGCCTTGAACTCCTCGCCTCAAGCAATTTTCCCACCTCAGCCTGCCAAGTAGCTAGGACTACAGCTATGTGCCACCACACCCAGCTAATGTTTAAAAATTTTTGTGGAGATGTGAATTCTCTATGCTGCCCAGGCTAGTCTTGAACTCCTGATTTCAAGTAATCCTCCCACCTCGGCTTGCCAAAGTGCTGGGATTACAGGTGTCAGCTACTGCTCCTGACCGAGAGTTTAGTTTTGTTTGCTAGTGGTGTTCTTGGTATCTTTTCATATTTGAGGTTTTGGGCTAGTGCTGAAGTATTACACTCACCATCCGAGGTCTACAGGACTTTTGGTTTAATATTGAACAGATGGAACTGTTTAGTTCTGCATCTTTGCAGGTATACAGAATGTGCCTACCAGGAATCTGCTTTATATCCATTGAAAGCAATAAATAATACAGTAAAACTTTGCCTGGCTAGAGGCTTTGAAAGAATGGCGTATTCTGGTTTAATTCTATTACTTTGGAAGTATAAAGGTGAAAAAAATTCAAAACTTAAATTTCCTGTTGAATGCAATTTGAAAATATGGCCAATGATTCCACTTTTCTTCTCTAGTAAGGTTGGACATTCTGATCTACTTGGTGTTTTATTATAGAACTGCTAGTGTGCGTGAGTCTTACATTGTGAAGATACTTTTTTAAAACTTGAGATGTAAGAGGATGTAAACGGTTTTGTAGGAGATCAGGCTGGATGAGAACGGACACTTGTAAACATACTTTTTAGACTAAATCTCTGATTGCCGCTTGTTTTTCTTATGGAACTCATACAAATAAAACACATTGGATGGAGGGTGCGAGTAGGAAGGAGATTCTTGTCTTTTAATTGCATGTCATTGTTTCATAACAAGGCAGAACATATGGTAAACCCTGGCTTTGGACCTACAGAAGGAAACACATTTTACTACCTGCTGTATGCCAGAGGTTCTTGAACACTTGGAGGGATTACTGCAGCACAGATTGCTGAACCCTACTCCAGGGTTCTGATTCACCAGGTCCAGGGTGGGGCCTGAGAATTTGCACTTATAAAAAGGTCTCAGGTGCTGCTGGTGCTGCTAGTCCATAGACTACATTTTGAGAACCACTCTTGTCTATTAAGTGTAAATTGTAGAACTCTAGAAAAAAGCTTAGTTCAGTCTGGGATAAGAAGCACACAGGTTATGGAGAAAATCATGAAAGATTCAACCCTTGATCCCAGCCTAGTGTGGATTTCAGGTAACAAGCAGTACACAGTGACATAACACAATTCTTGGTTTTCATGATTGCAAGTCATAGCCAGGTATCAAGTGAGAAATTCAGTTTCATTTGCAAGGCTTAGAGAGGCCAGGTGATTCTAGAAAAATGGGCCTTGTATTTGTTTTAAACCAGTAAAGAGCTTTAAGTGCTTATTAAATTGAAAGCTTTGTGTTCTTACTTATTTTGTATTTTATTTTATTTTATTTCTTTTGAGATGGAGTCTTGCTCTGTCACCCAGGCTGGAGTGCAGTGGCATGAGCTTGTCTCACTGCAACCTCCATCTCCTGGGTTCAAGTGATTCTCCTGCCTCAGCCTCCCAAATAGCTGGGATTACAGGCACCCACCACCACGCCTGGCTAGCTTTTGTATTTTTAGTAGAGATAGGGTTTCTTCATGTTGGCCAGGCTGGTCTCGAACTCCTGACCTCAGGCGATCCACCCACCTCAGCCTCCCAAAGTGATGGCATTACAGGCGTGAGCCACTGCACCCGGCCCAAAAGCTTTGTGTTTTTAAAGATATTACACATGTTTCTTGTTTTAAAAAAAATCTTAACAATAATGTAGGAGGATAAGACAAACATTTTTCCAAAAAAGAGAAATCATTGTGATTATTTTATCCTCCTGGAATGCTGGATACTATAGTCTGCTTCATTAATCATCAAGCATGCTATGGATTTTCCATTTTTATATGATCTATATCTCAAAAGGTAAAATGTACCAGGTCATGGCCCCCAACCCAGCCACAGATCCCCTCCGATGACAAGACCGGTGCCAGAGTCCATACCACTCCTGAGGCATACCAGACTGGGCCCCCCAACCCCAGCACCTCTGGGCTCCCCTCACCAAAGTCTTCTCAGTCAGCCCCACCCCTTCAGCAAGCCGCTCAGTCCCTGCCCTTGCCAATCACCCCAGGGTGACTTTGGGCGGGTGACTCCTGGGGCTCCTTGCTCCATACTTGGCCCTCACCTTCTGCTGCCCCAAGCCCAACCTCCGTGGGCTCTTTGGGCTTGTGTCTCCCAGGACCTGGGTCCCCCAGCCCCAGGCCCCACCCTCGCCAGTCATCCCTGGGTGACTTTGGGCTGGTGACTCCTGGGGCTCCCTACTGCAGACTCTGCCCTCCCCTCCTGCTGCCACAAGCTCGACCTCCCTGGGCTTCTTGGGCTGGCATCTCCGAGGACCTGGGTCAAAACCCTGTATTTCCCTCCCACAACATGGAGCGGTGACTCTGGCATCGCACTGATGTCCCCTCCCCTGGGAGGAGTGGAATGCAGTGATGTCACAGTGCCCCTAGGAACTGTCATTACTGCTGCAAGACCAGCCTTTGATCTTACAACCCAGTCCCCTAAGTTTTCTCACTCCATTTCTGGTTCCTCTGGTTGCAGCACAAATTGCCAGATGGAAGGGGAGTGGGGACTATGGGACCTATGAGCAAGAAGTTTCAGGCTGCCTTACTCCCTTAACAATGTCTAATTGACAGTGGGAAAAGCTTACACTTCCCCTGTGAGCTCCAAATGTTGACAGTATCTCTGGGTGGCAATGGGAGAATGGGTAAGGTTTGGTTTTCTCACAGGCTTCTACTTTCCAGAGACTTTGACATTTTTTTCCGAGTTCTCCACAGTTCTGGGACCAGACTGCCCTTCAGTCAGTGGTCTCTGAGGTGAGATTTGCCCATCTTCTGTGGAATAGATCTTGGGAAACTGAACTTGAGAGCTTGAATCTTCCTCATATCATCTCAACCTGGGGTACTTTGAGTGTCACAGGATAAATGTGGGACATCTTTCTGAAGCATCATTTTCCCTTGATTCTCTTGAGAAACAACATTAATGTTCTTTTTTTAAAATTTTATTATTATTATACTTTTAGGGTACATGTGCACAATGTGCAGGTTAGTTACATATGTATATATGTGCCATGCTGGTGCGCTGCACTCATTAACTCGTCATTTAGCATTAGGTATATCTCCTAATGCTATCCCTACCCCCTCCCCCAACCTCACAACAGTCCCCAGAGTGTGATGTTCCCCTTCCTGTGTCCCTGTGTTCTCATTGTTCAATTCCCACCTATGAGTGAGAATATACTGTGTTTGGTTTTTTGTTCTTGCGATAGTTTACTGAGAATGATGATTCCAATTTCATCCATGTCCCTACAAAGGACATGAACTCATCCTTTTTTATGGCTGCATAGTATTCCATGGTGTATATGTGCCACATTGTCTCAATCCAGTCTATCATTGTTGGACATTTGGATTGGTTCCAAGTCTTTGCTATTGTGAATAGTGCTGCAGTAAACATACTTGTTGCATGTGTCTTTATAGCAGCATGATTTATAGTCCTTTGGGTATATACCCAGTAATGGGATGGCTGGGTCAAATGGTATTTCTAGTTCTAGATCCCTGAGGAATCGCCACACTGACTTCCACAATGGTTGAACTAGTTTACAGTCCCACCAACAGTGTAAAAGTGTTCCTATTTCTCCACATCCTCTCCAGCACCTGTTGTTTCCTGACTTTTTAATGATTGGCATTCTAACTGGTATGAGATGGTATCTCATTGTGGTTTTGATTTGCATTTCCCTGACGGCCAGTGATGGTGAGCATTTTTTCATGTGTTTTCTGGCTGCATAAATGTCTTCTTTTGAGAAGTGTCTGTTCATGTCCTTCACCCATTTTTTGATGGGGTTGTTTTTTTCTTGTAAATTTGTTTGAGTTCATTGTAGATTCTGGATATTAGCCCTTTGTCAGATGAGTAGGTTGCGAAAATTTTCTCCCATTTTGTAGGTTGCCTGTTCACTCTGATGGTAGTTTCTTTTGCTGTGCAGAAGCTCTTTAGTTTAATTAGATCCCATTTGTCAATTTTGGCTTTTGTTGCCATTGCTTTTGCCTCATTTCAGAGAGAAGTCTGGTATACGCTTGGAAACTTCTGTGTCTATCATCCCTAAGAACATTACTGTTTATTGAGAGTTTAATAAACATTAATGTCCTTAGGGATGATAGACACATAGATTTCCAAGTGTATAGCAGACTTCTCTCTAAAATGAGGCTTGGGTTGTCCTCTTTCTGATAAATTCCCAGATTTAACAGAAAAGCTGCCTTCTGCCATGAGGACACATTGATATGAAAGTGAGAGGTACTGGTACGCTTCTTCACGCTAACAGACCTGTGAGGATGTATGACTCTAAACCACACGGCCTACAGTTCCTGCCTGCTTAATGTTTACTTTTCTACCTCTGTCCCTGGTTTTGGTCCCTGGAAGCTGCTGATTCATGGCAAAACCCCAGAGGTTGGAGTCAGAAGACTGAGTTTAAGTTCCAGTATTGCCTTTTTCTTTCCTCCTTTTTTTTTTTCTATCCATGATATCAATCCCTCTCAGTCACTAACTGATTGTGACAACACCTTGTACAGTTGTTGGTGGCATTAAACCAGATGGTGTATAAGAGTATTTTGTCAAAACTGTAAAGGAGGATGTGGCTATAGGGGCTGATTGTTCTCATGAGTGTTACTACTCTTCTTTCCCACAGTTAAAAGAATATTGGCAGAGGAAGAGCCCTGGCATTCCAGAAGGAGCTAACAGGAAAAAGAAAATCAATGGCAGTAGCCCTGACACAGCCACTTCTGGTGGTTACCACTCACCTGGGGATGTGAGTCTTGGCTGGCCAGGGTCCTGGGGACAGGGGGCCCAAGGGGCAGTAGAGGGTAATTGTTAAGATTGTAGATGGACTGTTGGGTACTGGTTAAGAATTCTGGGTTTGAATCCTGCCTCTCCGTCTGCTAAGGATTGATTAGGGATTGATTAGCCTATGATTTAGGGTAAGTTGTTTGAGGTCTTTGGGTCTCTCTTTTCACATCTCCATAATAGAGGTGGTATTTTTTGACTTCCATTTGTGAAGTGTAAATGAGATTCGTTATTGTTGCTTTTATGTGAATCCTTAGTACATGGCCTGCTGCAAACACCCAGGACACCCAGGAAATGGTTGTTGTTTGATTTTCCTCATCCCCAGTCTCAAGGGGAAGCCAGGCCAATGAGAAGAGCCACTTGCCATCAGGCTGTCCCTTTAGGAGTCACTGAAAGGGCCCCAGGGTGGGATGGTGGGGAGATAAGAACCACGAGAGAAGTTGGCACAAAGGAGTTATGGGAAAAAGGGTCCAAGATAGGCAGAAAAGAAGCTTTTGCCAGTTGATGGGGAAGAAAGGAAATCAGAGGGCTTAGACAGTGAGGGGGGACAGGACATCTCCATGTGCACTCTCATCGTTTGCAGTCAGCAACAGGTATCTACGGGGAGGGCCGTGCATCATCTGCTACCCTGGAGGATCTGGAGGTAAGAGGCCCTGGGCCGAGGTGCAGTGACCCTGCAGGCTAGCCCTCCAACCTCCTCCCACAGCAGGGGCTTGTTGCCCCTCTGCCAGCTGAGGCAGCCCACACACCCCCACCAGCCCTAATGATTATTCTCTCTACCCCTCCCCACAATCTTCCTCCAACTCCTCCTCTCTGCATGCACCTCAGAGCCAGTACCAAGAACTAGCAGTGGCCCTGGATTCAAGCTCCACAATAATCAGTCAACTCACTGAAAACATCAATTCACTGGTAAGAGTCCAGTGGGGTCCCCTGATTCCAGCCTGTGAATCCTGGACTCCAGTTTCCTCTTGGGGCCCTGAAGAAAGGGGCTAGGAGCCCCTGATGCCAAGGGCAAATGGGGAGCTGGGCACCCAGGTCTCACCTGGAGGGACCCCAGAGCACAGAACATGCAGCATGGCTCTTCTGCACTGCCCTCTTTGCTGACTCTCTCTTCTCCAGACACCCCTGCTCTAGTCCTTGCCACACATGCCCTGGGGTTGTCACCTCTCAGGAAAGCACTAGCCTGACTGGTTTTCAGGGGCCCGTATTTCTGCCCTGCCTCAGTCCCTAATTTGCTTTTTGAGTCTGGACAAGCCATCTCTCCTCCTTAGGCTCGTGTTTCTGGAGGAGGTAGAGAGTATCAAAGGTCACTGTTAGCTCAGAGATTTAAAGGCTCCTAGAATGGAAACCTCAGGACCAAGGGCTCCTGTCTGTCCTTTGCTGTCTTATATCTCTGCTATGAAGAACTGTACCTGGCCTGTACGTGCTCAGTAAATGTTTGTTGAGTGAATGCACCTTTCTCAATCGTAAGCTGGCAGAAGGGGGGTGGGCCTTTCTCAAACTCTGTCTCTAGAGGTTCAGCAGCCCCTCTCTGCAGGGCCCTTTCCCCTCTGCTTTAGGCAGGTTCACACATTGAAAGAGGAGAAGCATGAGATACATCAGGTACAGAAGCTTGGGAGGAACTTGTTCAAACTCAAAAACCAGACGGGTAAGATGGGGCTGCCATGACCTAGGAGCAGGACTGGCATCAGAGGGCTGTGAGGGTGACTTAGAATGCCCCGGGGAGGTGGGTAGATGGAAGGGCTTTGAGGCAGAGGGAAAGAGGTCTGTGCCAGGAGATGGCAAGTCTTGTTATCTCCATGAGCCTCAGTGTCCCTCTCAGTAAAGAGGGAGGAGTGCCCGTTGTCAGCCACCCACAGTGCTATCTGAAAGTGACTTGGAAGATTGGCTACCATCCGGGTGTGAGGAGTCATTAGCAGTGAGGCCAAGTTTGGGAAGCCTGAGAGGAGGAGCTGTGCACCGAAGGGAGGATTTTTTTTTTTTTTTTTTTTTTATCCAGAGGCCCTTATTGTCTGCTTCCTTTCTCAGCTGAACCCCTGGCCCCAGAGCCCCCAGCACGGCCCTCTAAGGTGGAGCAGCTCCAAGATGAGACCAACCACCTAAGGAAGGAGCTGGAGAGTGTGGGAAGACAGCTCCAGGCTGAGGTGGAAAACAATCAGAGGTTGAGTCTCCTGAACAGGAGACAGGAGGAGAGGCTGCAGGAACAGGAGGGGTGGCAGGAGGAACAGGAGAGGCTGCTGGACAAGGTGGAGGAGCTGCTGGAACAGGAGAGGTTTTCGGGAGCAGGATGAGAGGCTGTGGCAGCAGGAGACTCTACGGGAGCTGGAGAGGATGCTGGAGTTGGGGTGGGAAGCCCTCTACAAGCAGCGGGCCGAGCCCCACAGCGGCTTCGAGGAGCTGGTGCGTTGCCCCACCTGGGGAGGCTGCCCTCTTCCCTAGCCCTCAAGGCCTTTGTTTCCCCACCTGTAAAATGGGGCATTGTAGCCTTCACATGAAATGGTACTTCTAAAGGCACCTGTGAGCCAGAGTCCTGCTCTGATGGCTGTGGGAGAAAGGGGATATTTTTCTAACCTGCCTCCACCCTTCCCGCTGCCATGGGAGGCAGACACCAAGTTCTGGGGTCTCCAGTTTTAGTGGGTGGCCACTGATTGCTTCTCTCTGTCCAGAATAATGAGAACAAGAGTGCACTGCAGTTGGAGCAGCAAGTAAAGGAGCTGAAGCTTGGTGAGCTGAAAGAGACGGTAACCTGTGACCCATCCAATAATGGCTGGGAGGCAGTCACCAGCCTCTGGGAAGGGGAGGTGCCAGGACAGAGGCAGCTGCAGCCTGAGGGCAGGTGACCCCAGCACCCTCCAGGGCAGTCCTATGACTGTTTCTTGCTTCCTGCCCTCTGATGTTTAGAGGTGGGTAGCCCTGGGCTCCTCCCAGGTCTGGACATCATCATCCCAGCTAGAGGCATGGAGCCCCCCCAATCACAGAGGAAGAGACAGTGGTATAAGAGGCTCCTTGGTGGGGTGTGGTGGCTCACGCCTGTAATCCCAGCACTTTGGGAGGCTGAGGTGGGACAATCACTTGAGGTCAGGAGTTTGAGATCAGCGTGGCCAACATGGCAAAACCTCATCTCTACTAAAATTAAAAAAAAAAAAATAATTAGCCGGGCCTGGTGGTGTATGCCTGTAATCCCAGCTACTCAGGAGGCTGAGACACGAGAATCACTTGAGCCTGGGAGGTGAAGGTTGCAGTGAGCTGAGATTGCACCACTGCATTCTAGCCTGAGACACAGAGTGACACTCTCTTTAAACAAAACAAAATAGAAAAACAAAAAAGACTCCTTAGATTCATACTGGATTCCGGCCTCGGTTCCACTGGTCATAATTCAACTACTTTGCATCTCTAAGTCTCTGTTTAACTTCAAAAGGAAGTTAGCCTTTTCCTTGCAGAGGTGCTGAGGATTAAATGAGATAATACGTGGAAACATTAGGTATGTGGCACACTTAGCAGATGGTGGTTGGCTGCCCCTGCTTTTCCACCAGTCTGTGGCCTACAGTTTAAATGCTGGGAAAAAGGACATGAGATTTGAGGCTGTGGAAGGAGGCATGTGGTTCTAGGCAAAGGAGGCAGTCTTGTACGCCTGGAGCAAGGGGCCAGGGGCCTGGGCAGGCCACAGAGCCCCACAGTGCCCTCGCTACCCTATTAATGGGCCAGGAATCTGGAAGCCAGCCACCACATGCCCTCATGCCCAGGGTTTTCCTGCACGTGGAGCTGAAGAGCCAAGAGGCTCAGAGTCAGCAGCAGCAGCAAGACCAGTACCTGTGTCACCTGCAGCAGTTCGTGGTTGCTTAGTAGCAGGTGGCTGCTTGTCAGCAGCTGGCCTCTGAGGAGGCGGCGCTGCACAGGCAGTTACTGCTGCAGACCTGGCTCATGGACCAGCTGCAGCAGGAGGAAGCTCGGGGCAAATCGGTGGCTAAGAGGGCCCGCCAAATGTTGCAGGAGACCCAGGGGAGGGAGTTGTTGAGGACAGGGCTCCAAGAGGGACAACCTGGCAACCTCTGTACCTTCTCACCCTCTTTCCTGGCCCCTTAGGAGAACCTGGAAGCTACCAGCCAGTAGAAACAGCAGCTAAAGCCCAGTTGAGCCTCATGGCTCTCCCTGGGGAAGGTATGGGAGACTACTCAGAGGAAGAGGAGAGAGCCCCAGGAGGAAAGGGGGACTGTTAGCAGCGTAGGATTGAGGAGTTGGAAGAGACCTTTAAGACAGCTGGTCATTATGCCAACTGGGTGTCCGCACTAAGTTCGGTATCAGTATGGTGACCTCCTGGGAACAGGTCATCGGCTTGCCTAAGGATGGGAGAACTGGCCCAGGTCAGAAAGGGAGCAGGTCAGAATTCCTGCACCAATCGGTAGTGGGACTGTGCCTGGGCAATATAGCAAGATCTTGGTTCTTAAAATTCAAAATAAAGAACAGCTCATTCCCCTCTGGGGAGGGGCTGGCTCAAGGTTACACAGTGAGTGTGGGGGCAGAGGCGGGCCCACTGTACCTCCCTTGTTGGGTTGTCTGAGGACCCCTCTGGCCACCCCCCACAGGAGATGGAGGAGGACATCTGGACAGTGAGCAGGAGGCGCCTCGGCCCATGCCGAACATCCCAGGGGACCTGGAGAGCCGGGAGGCCATGGTGAGCCTGACTTTCCCTGCCCCTACTTTGCCACCTTCCTCTGTGGTCCCTCCGAAACCCCCTTATGTTCTTGGTTTCCCCGCCTTCTGACTTCTGTGGACTTTCACTCCTCCTGGGAGCCAGTGGTCAGACACCATTTCACCTGTGACCAACAGGTGCACTCTGTGAGGCCCGAAAGGAAGGGGCTATGCTCCATCTGCCTGCCCCAGTTGTTATGTGTATACCCCTACAAGAATACTCACCTCTTGCCTTCAGGTGGCATTTTTCAACTCCGCTGGAGCCAATGCCCAGGAGGAACAAAGGGTGTGCTGCCAGCCCCTGGCTCACCCAGTGGCCTCGTCCCAGAAAAAGCCAGAGGTAGCGGCCCCAGCCCCAGAGACTGGGGGTGAATCTGTGTGTGGGGAGACCCACCAGGCCCTGCAGGGGGCCATGGAGAAGCTGCAGGTGAGTAGTCCTGGCATGGGCCAACAAGGGTGGGGTCGGGACAAGGCAGGTGACTCCTGACATGTGACCCCATTATTTTGGCTCCACAGCGACTTTATGGAAGGAGAAGGTGGACCTGAAGGAGCGAGTGGAGAAACTAGAGCTTCAATTCATCCACCTCTCAGGACAGACAGACACCATAGTGAGCGAGAGGCTAGGGCACCGCTGGGGGGAGCTGCCAGGCCATCCGAGGGGCCCCAGCATCTGAGCCATGTCCTCCTGCAGGAAAGTACATCAGCCAGGGGGCAGTGTCAGAGACGCAGCACTGGGAGAGGAGGACATCGTCAGGCTGGCCCAGGACCAGGAGGAGATGAAGGTAGGGTGTGCAACATCTCGGTGGGGGTGGGGGTGGGGGTGAACGTGCGTGCCGGCACCGGCATGGCAGCTAACACCCCTTCCTCCAGGTGAACCTGCAGGAGCTGCGGGGCAGGTGTTGCAGCTTGTGGGCGACCACAAGGAGGGGCATGGCAAATTCTGACCATTGCCCAGAACCCTGCTGATGAGCCCACTCTAGGAGCCCCAATCGCCCGGGAGCTTGGGTGTGCGGACAAGCAGGGTGGTGAGTAGAGCCCTCAGGCGGGGTGGGCAGGCAGGAGCAGGGGAGGATCGAACTGTGCTCAGATTCCCACCCCCCTCTCTCTCTCTCTCTCTGAAGATCTTTGTGAGGTGAGCCTCACTGATAGCATGGAGGCTGTACCAGGAGAGGACAGGGAGGGTTCTCCCCATGACAACCCCACTGCACAGCAGATCCAGCAGCTGCTTCCTGTAATGCAGGACTCCCCAGGAGCACCCAGGCATGGGCAGCAACCCCTGCATGCCATTCTTTTTGGGCTGCCGAGAACAGGGAGATAAACACCACCATCATCTAAGAGCCGGGGAGGGGAGGGCGTAGGTGTGGGAATGGCAAGGTTCCTGGTAAAGGGGCTGGAAGGGAAAGGGGAGGAAGATGGAGGGAGAAGCTGGAGTGCCTGGGGGCTGTGGCAGCCCTCCCCACCCCACACACACTGGCCTCTCCCACGGCACCCAGGCAGTCCACCCACAGTTCAGACCAATGCTCAACCCCCTCAGGCTTCCGCTTCTCTGGTCACCGTCTTCCAACGCACTGGCCCAGGGCCACCTCTTGCTTGGGGAGCCCCACCCAACAGCCACCAAGCCTGACAGAAGGAACACTGCTTGAACCAAAATGGTGAAGCTATAAGGGATGGCTGGCTGGAGTGAATGCCAGAGGCCCCTCTGGGCTGTCTGAAAGCCCAGGGTCCTCTGAGGGACCCTGGGGAAGGCAGGAAGGGCAGGTAGCCGGATGCCATTGGCCATAGACTTCTAAGTCTAACAGGGGAGCCTCAACTGGTTGGTGGAGGGCTGCAGGTTGCATAGGTGAGGCTGGGCCCTTCCTGCTGGGAAAAGCAGAAGAGGGAGACTCTGTGGCAGTAAAGGGAAGTGAGCTGTCTAGGCGGAGCTCAGCTAGGCCAGCATGCATTGTGGGCCCCTTGGCTGAATAGCACAGGCGACCCCTAGAAGCAACAGGCCAAGGTGCGTGAGCCTGCTGGCCAGCAGTAGTGCTTCAGCAGGGGCCAGGGACCCTGCCTTCAGTCGCACGCTAGCAGCTATCATGGTACCTGGGAGGGAGGGAAGGGGGCTGTGTGTCCTTGCATGGCCTATGAAGTGTGTTGTGGGATGACCGCGTGTATAGGACTCTCAGGCTTTTATCCTAGATCACCACTGGATTGCTGACAGATAGAGGACGTGGGACCCTGACTATCACCCCTAATCTGCCGTGGATTTGGCTCTCGGCACTCCCAGGCTGGGAGCTGGATACCTGCCCTGGCAGCATGACTCAGACTGCCTGACAGGTACGGCGTGCCCAGGATGATGTTCCCAGGCCTCTGGCCGCCTGAGTCCAGCCCCCCACACCATAAACCATGAGCTCTGTGCCCTCTCTGATGGCTCCACATCTGCCAGCTTGGGCATGGAGCCCCCAGGCTCAGCCTTGGAGACCTTGAGCAGTGGCACTGAGTCCTGTGGCTCACAGGGAGCAAAGTGAGACAGCCAGCAGCACAAGGACAGAAAGAGGAAAGAGCAAGTCTGCAGCTTCAGAAGGAATGGGCAGGCCTGGGGGTGGGGGACACACACGCACATGCCCGAGTGTGCACACACATGCTGTGAGGCCCCACGGCCCGCATGCACACTCTAACACATGCCCACAAACAACACGCATACGTCGCCTTCCCCACCACCTCCCGGTGCCCAACACCCTCACCGGCCGGCACGTGCCGCGTGGATCTGGGGCATGCAGCCACACGGCACACTGAAGCACATGCGTGGGCAGAGTCACAACACAGATGATCACCCGCACACAGAGGCATTTGCACCAGCTCCCTGCACACTCGTGCCTGGCGTGCTCAGAGGACCACCCATACTGCTCAGGGAGACAGGGCTTGCTCACTAATGTCCGGCTGTCATTTCTCCACCTCAGAGCCTTCCATGGCTCCCTACTGCCTACAGCGTTGAATCCCAACAAGTCATACTCTTTGGACTTTGAAGGTTCTCCACCCTGTGCCCCACCCTCCCCACAGAGCTCTTCCTCATTCTGTCTCTGTTCCCTGCTTTGGCCAGTGGCTATCCTTGATGTGACCCACACTACACCTCTGCCCACACTGCAGCTCTTTACCCAGTTACCCTCCAGTTCCTCACAACGTATGCCTATCTCAGTCATGCCCTGGACTGCATTGAAGCCAGGCTGCCTTGAAGAAACTCTCCCAGACTGCCCTTTTACCCAAGGCAGGGTCATGATTTGCCAAAGGTTTCATTTGTGTTAGCAAGACTGGAGTCGGAGCAGGCATCAAACCTTACATCCCATATGTCACACCTCACCATAGATCTGGGTGCCAAATAGCCTGAAGAGTGTGAAATTATGTTGGCAGTTAGCAAAGTGCTCCTATGGCCGCATCTGCAGTTAACACAGCATCCCTATGACCACTGTCTCCCTTGATCCCCACAGCCATCCTAGGAGAAGGGCAGAATGTCGTCATTTCATAGAAGGGATGCTGAGGCTCTGGGAGGGAAAGGGACTTGCTTAAAGCCCCAGGGTGAAGCAGCATCTCTGGACTCCCAGTCCAGTGATCTTGCCCAATACTATGCTGCTTGCCTATACCCATCTAACTTGGTCATCAGCACGTCATAGGGCAAGCCCCAATCCCTGCTTCATTTTTGTATATGGGCGCTGGACCTACAGCCCCACTCTCCAGCCATTTGGAAAGGGAAACAGGGCACACTGGAAATCAGAGTGAATGTTCTTGGAAGAGGGTCACGGGTCAACAAGGCCCAGCCAAAGCATGCAGTAGAACCATTTTCCTTAGAAATCTTTGGGAGTGAAGTAGGCTTCAGCCACTCCCATCCCTGCCCTTGCAGCTACCACTGCGCCATTAGTTTAGACAGGGTTAGGGATAGAGGGGGAGGGGTCCAGATGTGGAGAAAAAATCAGATTGCCTGTGGCCCCCAGGCTCCTTCCCCAGCTGCTTCTGTCCTAGCTCAGGCCTGGGTGCCATTCTTACACTCTCTCAGTTGTGTGCTCACCCCCGCACACATCACACACCTTGCTGGTCACACAGTCACAGCCTGGCCTCTGCTCCTGTGGTCCAGTGGCTGGACACCCCCTGGGATGGCTCAAAGGAGTCAGGACTTGGAAGTGGGGACATCCGGGTAGCTGAAGGAAATCCACACACCCAGACTCTCAGACCTGAGGTAGGCTCCCCAGGGGCTGGGATAGGAGTTGGACGGAATGGAGGATGGAGGACAGCGAGAAGAAGAAAGGAAGAGAAATGCAACGTGTGGGCAGCCGCCAAGAGTGAAAATAGAGGGAAGTGCCATGCAAGTGCTAGACAGAAGGGGGCAGGTAAGACAAGCCCCACAGCCCCCTCAAAAACGACCACCTCCAGGAATCAGTGCTCCCTGGGGAGCAGGCTCCGCCAGCCCTCAGCCACACGTGGCTCCGGCACCCATGGTCCCAATGCCTTGGATGGAGGCGGCCAGGTCTGATGCTCTGGACTCCAGTCCCATTTCCTTCCCGGCCACGCCCGTCCAGCAGCCTCTTTGGCTGCATTCAGCCCCTACTCACTTGGAGACCCCGCGTGGGGCATGAGCGCACTTGGCGGGGTAGGGGCTGAAGGGATCAGGGGAAGCCTCTAGCCTGGAGGGTACGGGGCACGCTTCCCCAAGGGCGGACCTGGCAAGAGGAAGCCCAAGAGCTGGGCCCCGCCACCCAGGCCGGGCTAGGGACATGGTGGGGTCTGGGCATCCTGGGGCTGGACTTGGGCGACCTGCAAGGCATAGGGAGGGGAGAGATGGGCGGCTCTGCCCCCCTGAGGCCCCGCCCCAGCCACACCCATGCACGGAAGCTCCTCCCTGCTGTGCCCCGAGGCAGTCGCCCAAGCTTAAGCCCAGACCCCAGTGGTGAGAACATCCCAGCTCCACCCCGCCCCGCAGCCAGTGCTCCTTGGCAAGCTCCACCCCTCACTCCAGGTGGGAGCCACCCCGATGCAGGGGCATCCCTCTGTGCGGCCCGGGCGGGGGGTACTTTGGGGCTGTGGGGGGCAGGCCCTGGCACCTTTGTTCCTCAGAGATGCTCTGCACCTGCACCCAGGTGTCGTCCGCGGGCAGGGGCATGGGCATGCTGACGGTGGTCCTGGTGGTGTCACTGATGATGCTGAGCGCCTCCTTCAGCGCGTGGTGCATGCGCAGCATCTCGTCGTGCCACTGTGCCTACTCTGCCCACTCCTCCATCAGTGTGTTCTGGTTCCCACGCGAGTACATATTGGCCAGTGGCTCCGAGATGATGAACTCCGTGGTCTGAGAGTGGACAAACAGGAAAGAAGGTCGGGACCTGATGCCTGTGCTGCCCTACTGGGACTGTGTGCTGGACTTGGAGCCCCTTGGAGTAAGGCTTTTCACACGGGCTTCTATACCGCTTCGACTGGAAGATCCACCTCCCCACTGCCTTTTCTCACTCAGATGGGGACACTGAGGTCCAGAGGAAAAGACACCTGTCAAATGTCACAGATCTGGGAGCGGACTTAGGACCTATCACGCCAAGAAGACACCTGTTTACTCAGTTTTCTTTTCGGAAGGGGGCACTGATAGGGTCTCACTCTGTCACCAGGCTGGAGTACAGTGATGACTGCTCACTGCAGCCTCCACCTCCTGGGCTCAAAGTGATCCTCCAATGTCAGCCTCTTGCGTAGCTAGGACTACAGGCACATGCCACCACCAAGCCCAGCTACTTGTAAAATTTTTGTGTGGAGACAAGGTCTCCCTATGTTGCCCAGGCTGGTCTCGAACTCCTGGGCTCAAGTGATCCTCCCACCTCGGCCTCCAGGAGTGGGAGTGAGACAAAACACAGGGTCCCGAGCTCTGGGGAGCAAGCAGTGTCCTCTGGTGCCAGAAATCCTGGATTTGCCAGCAGAAGTGTTGCCTCTTACTTGCCATGTGCTCTGCATACAGGTACCTGCCCTCCAGGAGCTTCAGTTTTCTTATCTGAAAAATGAGGCCACCTGACCCCTTCCCTGCCCCGTTCGGTGTTGTGGGACAGGGCTGCTGTCAAGACAATACCCAGTTCTGCCCTCCTCCCTGAGTGGGCCAGGTAGCCCATGGAGCCTCTTCCCGGCTTTCCTGGGTGGCACTGCCAGCCTGGCCCCCTGGTGCCCATTCAATCTAGTCCTTCATCTTGCTAGGGCATGGGGAAGCTCTGAGTAACGTGGGACTATAGAGCGCAAGAGGGTTGCTGATGGTCTGGTCCCGTGCCCTCCTCATTCCTCGGCATTCTTGATGAAGGCTCCCAGCAACTGAGGGTACGCAGCAGCTGTAGACACCAGCCTGATGAATATCTCACTGTGGGGAGGGCACCATAGCAGGAGTGGAGCTCCGGGGAAATACAGAACCCAGGTCTGGGAGGTGCTGATGTGAGAGGCCCAAGAAACCTCGGCTTTGCACTTGCTGAGTACCATCTGCACCTCTCAGGAGGGAGAGTGCCAGGCTCAGGTTGTCCTTGCCCAAGCAAGGGAGCTTGAAAAGGGGGCTAGGGGTGGGCTCTGCCATTTTCAAGGGCTGGCAGGGGGACCCCTCTGGAGGTACTTGGGGCAGTGCTGCATGCCGTGGCTCCTGAATGACAGAGACAGCTCTGCGTCCCACAAGACCACTCCCTACCCAGAACTCACTGTGATCATGTGCTGGGTCCAGATGCTCACGCAGCCTCCTGGTGGGAGCATCAGGTATGCTGCCTGCCCAGGACGGCCCACAAAAGAGTCTGCCCTGCTATGGAACAACTCCCGTTCTGCCTTTGGGGAGAGGTGTTCATTTAAACAATGACTGCTCTGGCCCCCATGGCACAATTACCACAGAGCGTCTGCCACTACCCATGGCTGAGAGCTCTAGTTCTTCTCTGAAGCCACCAGGACAGATGAACAGTGGCTTCCCCCTTTTGGCCGACTCAGCTGCCTTTCATCAGCTCATCTGCTCCTAGGATCCACTCTGCCTCTGGCTGGCACCTGATCTGAGCCCCAGGCTCACACCTCTGCCCACAGGCCCCAGCAGCTGTTTCACCTCCGACTCCATCCCCCACCAAGCACTGCCCCTCACCAGCTACTGGGGTGCCACTAGTGCCCCTACATGGTTCTCCCTCTCCAGACCCTTGGGTCCAGCTCTAACTTCCTTCTGGAAACCACACCCCAAGACCCCAGCCCTGCTCTAGGGCCCTGTATCCCCGACTTCCTGCATCCTTCTCCCTCCTTCTGGGAACATGAACTTGCCCCGCCAGCCTGATGACTCCTGGAGGGCAGGACGCCAGGGCCCTGGACCATGGCAGGCCCGGGAGTGTCTGCTGCCAGTGATGCTGGAGCTGGTGCCCATGTCCACATGATGTCCATGGCACAGTGGCCACCTGAGGCTGGGCGCATCTGAGTGGTGACTGCAGAGTGGGGCCCTTACCTCTCCCTGAGTGAAGTTCACCAGGTCCTCCCCTGTGAACTGCCCCCAAACTCACATTCCTGTTCTGTACCCTTGCCCGGAATGTTCCTTTTGCCTGGAATACCACTCCCCATTCCCTGCTCCCGATGGCCTGTGCTCTTCAGAGCCGGGCCCAAACACTGCCTCCTCCCATGAGGCCTTCCTGATGCCAGATCTGCTGGCTCACCTTGGGCCCCAAGCTCCAGATGCAGACCAGAAGGGTCTCTGAAATGAGCAGTGTGGGAGAGTAAGGCTGAGAGCGGGCAAGGACTGGCCTGAGGTCACAGGGCATGTCAGTGAGATCTCTGGAAGGCCCATGGCTGCTCTGTGGGGTTCCTGGATGAGCAGAAGCCCTTGACACACCCTCCTAGTCCTGGTCTGGGCTCTGAGAAGAGAGCGGGGTACACAGGGGTCTGAGGGGCAGCGGCCTGTCTCCACAGCCAGCAATCCCAAAAGTTCAGGACCCGTGATGCCCACCCAGGGAACTGACTGCAATGCAGATTCTCCGGCTCCACTTCAGAGATTCTGTAGGGCTGGCTAGGGTCCAGGAATCTGCACGCTCAGCCATGCCATGGACATGAGTGGGCACCATCTCTAGAGGCACACACCACTCCCCGGAGGATGGGTGTACAGCAAGCTCCCCAGAAACTCTTGGGAACACAACATATATGGGAGCACATCTGAGGCACGTGCACACACGCAACCTGGGACCACCACAGGCACAACCCAAGTCACATGTGTTCCCGGCAGGGAGGCTGGGAGGAAGGCCCTCTACCTGGTCCACACCTCCACTCACCACCCCCAGCTCCTCACCTCCAGCTGGTCTCTTCTGATCTCAGCTGCCTCTCCCTGGAAGATGTAGATCTTCTTGTGCCAGGCCAGCTTCAGTGGGGCTAGTGGGCCCTCTAGGGCAATGGTCACTTGTAGGGTGGCATCTGTGTGCACTGGCCCCACATCCATTGAGAAGGCCCCACATCCATTGAGAAGGCCAGGGTGTTGCGGGAGCTGAGGCTGCCATTGTGGCCAAAGAGAATGGCCCCAACCAGCAGGTCCTGCTGGGAGAAGGCAGTGCTGGCTGAGTGGCCTGCAGCAACTGTCCCCAGCGAGGGCTGTCTGTGACGTGGTAGTGGACCTCATCCCCGCTGCGGATGTCGAGGTTGGTGCCAAGGTGGAGCTCGGCCATGTTGATGGTACCCTGGTCTCCTTGAGGGACCATGAGGCTGGAGCCGTTGGCCACACAGAGGTAAGGCTCCAAGGCCTGCACCTCCAGCACCATGATGGCCTGGTGCTGCCTGTCGGACACCTGCAGCAGGATCCAGCTGTAGTCAGCCTGAGTGCGTGAACAGGACTCGCCTCTTCCTGAGGCCCCTCCTGGATGAAGCAGCAGATGGGCTGCATGGGCTCATCCGTGGCCATGATACTGCCAGAGAGGAGGTCCTTGTGGGTCAGCACCAGCTGGGCATCCACAAAGCCCGAATCAGCATTGCTGAAGGCCATGTTGTCTGTAGTCAGCAGCTGCCACCTACCCCAGGCCACATGGAAGACGCAGCTGATGCTCTGCACAGGGGCGTGGTCATTCACAGGCTGGATGGCCCCGTACCTCCTCCCAGGCCACGTCACCACTGCTCTGGTCCTGGCGGCAGCAGCAAATGGCATATCATCTTCCGTGATCTCGGAGTCATCATGCTGCTAGACCAGCTGGCCACGCAACAGGTCTCCATTGGTGAAGGATGTCACCATAGTGGTCTTGTCCTGTGTCCCACGCTAAGAACCTCCCATGGCAGGGCTGCTACATGACCTCATAGAGGTACCTGGCACTGTTGAGGCTCTTGACGAAGAGCTGGTCAGCAGAGAGGACACACCCACCACCCTCGGGCACCACGAGGACATTGGTGAGGACAGGCATGTCTGGGTCACCGCCAATATGGATGGAGAAGGTACAGAGTGGGGAGAAATATGGTGGAGCTGTGACATGGAAACAGAAGGTGTCCTCCACTGCCACTGAGGCACGTGCCATGGCCCCATAGGTCACCTCTGCAGCCTGTACGTCATCCTGGGTGAAGCCCTGACCGTCTGACAGCATCGTGCCCTGTAGTTGAAAGTTGCCTTTCCTGGGAGCCTGAACCACCTCACAGTGGAAGGTTGGGGGGCTTGGGCCTGCCTCCTCCAGGGTGGCCTCCAGGTGGGCTGTGGTGAGGGCCTCCTGCTGGGTGTTCTGAGTGTGCAGTGGCTCCAGCTGCAGCATCCACACAGTGGCTCTCTGGATGGTCACTAGGAAGGACAGATTGCTCAGGATTTCCCAGCTCACCTGCACCTGCAGATCCAGGTTCTCCACGGTGTCCTCGGTGTAGTGCTGTGGGTCAGTGCTCAGGTACCTCACGTGGCCCTGCTCCACATCCTGCTGGTGGAACGCCTGTGTGACCCACCACTCAGCATCCTCCACCCCACCAGCCCCCTGCTTCTGCAGCTCCCTGAACGGCAGGCCTCCGGTGACATGGAACAGCACGGTCACATCCTGCCCCACGGCGCTGGTCTCCACCAACAGGTTGGTAGGCAAGATGGGCATGGCAGAGCCCTGGGCCAGATGCAGCCCTGTGCTGCGGTGGATTTGTATGGCCAGCTGGACAGCCACCACCTTCAGCATGGCCGGGGGGCTGGCCTGCAGTCCATTGCTGACCCGGAATGTCAAGTCCTGTGTAGGGCCACCACAGTGGACATAGACTAGGCTGCCGGCCTCCAACTCCCAGCAGGAGAACTCAGTCACCGGCTCCCCAGGCTGGTCTCGGTGCTCCACGGGGAGGCCAGAGGGGGTGCCAAGGAGCTGGAAGGTGAGGCCCTCACAGGCAGAGTCCAGGTCATAGGCCTGGAGAACCTCAGGCCCCAGAGGCTTCTGTGTGTGTTCCAGGATCACCATAAGGCTGCCATGTGGGAAGATGATGTGGGGTGGGTCATTGACAGGGTTGACCTGGATGGGCAGGAGGTCTGTTTGGCCCCTCCGCAGGCATGAGGGCATGGGCAACCAAGCCATCACTGACACCTCCAGCACCAGCTGGTCAGAGGTGTCCTCAGGGCCATCGTGGATGAAGCGGGCCTTGCAGTTCACCACGTCCAGGAGGGTGAACATTTTTCATGCCTGGGCACCCAGGACATCCAGCTCGAGCTCGCTGTAGTGTGCCCCTCAGGTCACGCTGAACAGCACCTGGGATTTACGCAGTTCAGCCTCCATCAGTGCCAGCATGGGCTGCACATGCCACCACTCAAGCCAGGCTGTGCCACCCTCGGTCACCACCACTGCGCTGATAGCAGCTGGATGAAATTGGCAAAGACAGGAGGTAGCCCTGGCTCAGGCACGCATGGCTCAGCTAGCTCCACAGACAGCCAAGCCTTGGGAGCCAGGGTGGAGAAAGCTTCATAATGGCCATAGGCATTGTCTACCTCCTCCAGTCTGCAGCCAGCCACCATGTTGTGCGTCAGCAAGGCTTCCCACAGCCCCTGCCTCTAGCCATTGACACTGAGGTCTTCCATGCAGCCAGCCCAGCAGGGAGGCATTGGCAGCCCCTGGTGTCAGGCCTGAGCGGTGTTCCTGGAGGTGATGAGAGGCCTCTGCAACCAGCTCCCCAAGAAGGAGACTGTCACGTGGCTCCAGGTAGCTGAGGACTCCTCAGTTCGTGTGGGGTACTGGTCCATGGAGATTTCTAGCTGGTGAATGTTGATGTGGATGCTGACCTTGTGGGGCTGTGCGTCAGTCACAGGCACACTGTTGAGGAGCAATACAGTACCCTGGCCCTTCTCAACCATGGACCACAGGTGGCCCTCAAATATGTCCACATGGATGAAGTCCCCATGCCAGCCTGCTGCCTGGAAGGCCAAGGGTGCCTGCCAGCTCTGTGTGGTGAGTGTAAACTCCAGGGTTCCTTCATCCTGAGTGCCCCAGGCAGGCAAGGCAGCCAGAGAGTGGGACCCAGAGAAGCCCAGGGCCACATCATCATTGGCAGAAAACTCTTCAGCACAGCCCTCATGCTTATTGGGGGTCAGAGGCTGGAGGAGTCTGCGGCCATTGAGAGCGGCTGCATGGAGGCAACCCCTCAGGGGATGGCTGGTTCCCCTCAGGTAGGGCAGGCCAAGTCTCCCAGTGCTCCCAACAAAGAGCCCATAGGGGACTTCTAGGGGGGCTCCCAGGACTACAGAGGAGGCATTCAGAAACCCATTGACTGACAATGTGGGCCAGTCCTCTGAGACAGTCAGAACTGTGGTGTGGGGGACGGAGCCACTCAGTAGAATTTCTGCTGGGGTCTGCAGCCTCAGCTCCTCCTGGCCCAGGACAAGCCTGACCTGAGGAGAGACGGGGAATGGGAGATGGGGGGCAGCACTTTGAATCCATCATTTCCCTTATAAAAGCACAGTGGGTTCCCCACAGGGGGCCCCAGAGCAGAAAACCTAGGACAAGGGCCTCTGGTGCCACTCCTCTTGCCTTCCTGCCATCTCTTTATTCATCCTCCAAACACTCACCAAAGGAAACTCTGGGCCAGGCCTGGATGGGCTCTGGGGACCCTGGTGTGAATCAGATGTGGTCCTTGCCCACAAGGAACTGACATATAGCAAGATGCTCTTCTAGAAACCCAACCTGTATTTTTAAATTCTCCTCCTCTTTCCTTGAGTGAGAAGCACCAGAAATATTGTCTTGGAATCTAGATTTCACCCCTGGAATAATGGGTAACTGAGAATCCGTTGATCAGTCCCCCTAAGTTTGGCAAAGTTTCTCGAGGTCACTGAAGGAAGCCAGGCTAACTGTTCAGGGACAGGGAGCCCAGGCAGATGCTCTGTGTTCTGGGAAAAAAAAAAAAAAAAAAAAGCTGCCTGACCTGTGGTGGAGGAATATCTCAAGGAGAGATGAAGGACATAGTTCTGTCACCATGACATTGACACAAGAAATGGCTCTGGTATGGTGCTCCCAGATACTAGAATAGGTGATGGCAGAGTATGGGAACTGCAGAGGCAGAACACTAAGAACCATGATCTTGGAGTCCTGGTATGGTGCATCTCTGTAGGGATGTGGCATCACTACCTGCAGAGCTCAACAGCCATCAGCACCAGACTGCACCACATAGGTGTTCAACAGTGACACCTTGTGGCAATGAGCAGCAATGACAGCAGCAGACTGACCAAGCCCTAGTCCTCTTCCCACTGGGGTGTGGAAAGAGATGGCTGCCCCAAATTTGTTAATTTGTTTTTTTTTTCCTTCTAAAATAGAGATGGGGTCTCATTGTGTGGCTCAGGCCAGTCTTGAACTCCTAGGCTCAAGTGATCTTTCCACCTTGGTCTCCCAAAGTGGTGGGATTATAGGCATAAGCCACTGCACCCAGCCTGCCCCAAATTTGGACTAAGACCCTGGGTTCTTAAACTCTTCCTGGTATGGGGTAAGACTCAAGTAGGAGCCACAAGACTCCTTGATAATAAAGCTTGTGGTGTCTTGAAGGATGAAATGGAAAAATGAAGCTGAGGCAGTACTGGTGCTGTTACTCTCATGGACAGACAGTGGTGCTGCAGATAAATTGGTGCAGTGCCACCAGGATGCGCAGGGGTCATGGGGGCCCAGGAGGGGGTCTCGCCGAGGAGGAGGGGATGCCCACACTGAAACTTCAAGGAGAGACTAGAGTTCGGCAGGTACAGGGAATGGGTGGGTCACACACCTGGCAGGAGGAGTGTGATGACCAAAGGCCTGGCTGCAAGTGACCATAAGATGGCCAGGAACTGAAAGCAGTTCAGTGCAGTCAGAGCACAAAGGGCCAGTGAGGGCTTGTGGTGGGAAACATGGTTGGAAGGAGCCGGTGGGCAGAGCCAGTTCATGAAGGATTTACCATTTCTGAGCTGCTGCTGCCCATCCCACAGTGGAGAACTTGAGACCCCAAGAAAAGTGACTTACACAAGGTCAACAGCCAGCTGGGGTTCACTCAAAGCTAGACAAGGAATCTCGCCCCAATCCCAGGGGGACGTCACTCACCTGCAGGTGTCCAGAGTAGAGCTGCAGCAGGAGGTGGTCAGCTGGGCCTGCTGCCAGGAGAAGGAGGGCTTCGGGTTGGGACATGGAGAACTGCAGCTGCAGGTCTATGTCAGTCAGAGCCATGGCCACAGTCACCTCCGGGTGGTTCT